>NC_000006.12:35211515-35514545 GCF_000001405.40 Homo sapiens
CCTGTAGAATAGTCTGAAGGGCTGAGGGTACTCTGGAATCAGATTGGGTGAGTGGCAGCAGGAGAGAAGAGCAGGGAACTGCCTCTTTTTGCCCAGATGTGGAGGAGTAGCTCATCTGGTCCAAGAGGAAAAGAGGAAATCATCAGAGGAAAACTGGTAGGATGAGATAAAAGGCAACTACGGGGCATAAAAATCAATCTTCCAGAGACATAGTGGCTTAGGTGGAAGAACCCACCAAACCTCCCTCCCTGAAAGCCAGGGCAATATCCGTACTCAGAGGGCCGGGAAATCACCCTGAACTGAAGGCCCCAAATAACCCATAATCCCCCTATAGAATCCTCCTTGCCCACCTCAAGGAGGATGTAGGGGCCCTCCCTCCAACCCCCCAGGGACCCGGAGGAGCTACACTAGTGTCCAAAGAAGGCAGAGGCAGAGCAAAGCAAGGCAGCGTGCCATCTCCCCTCCCAGCCGTGGGGGAGCTCCTCGGCTCTCTCTCTCTGTGCCCCCATGGAGATCACAGACACCGTCCGGCAACCTCCACTTCTTTCTCCTTTTTTGAAACCATTCTCTTGTTGGGGGCAAAAAAGATGGCAAATTTACACTTGTCCTCCAACCCTACACATAATTGGTGGCAGCAGGCAAAACCGCTGCAAGGGGAGGGTTTTGCCAGTGGAATGAAGGAGGGAGGGCATCTTAGAGTGACAAGGATGGGAGGGACCTCAATCATCTGACCCAGCCTTGCTGTGGCCTCCACACCATTCCCATGATCTATGTGCTCCCATCCCAAAGGTCATCTTTGATGCTATGCAAGGTTCTCCAGGACTCCTCCCCCAGGCTTCCTTGGGGCACTGCCCCCTTTCCACCACTGAGTGAATCCACTACCCTCTTGTTTTCTGAGGAAACTGAGGCCCATTGACATATGACTTGTTCAAAAGTAATCTTCATCCCAGGATAAGAAGTTTGAGTCTGTTTCCATCCTACTTTTCCACTGAATCCCTAGGAAAGGAAGGGCTCAGCTCTTCTCCCTGGTGGACAGCACCATTGCCAACAAAGTCCTCCCCTTGCCCCAGCTGATGTGGGCAGCCAATATGGAAGGTCTCAGAACTGAATCACCTTTGAGGAGATCTTGGTCATTGCCTCTTCCTCCTGGGTACGCTGAGGGCTCTGTGAGGCTAGTCTGGGTCCTAGCAGCATCTTCCCTGTAGAAAACTGGACCTGGCCTGGTCTCATTCTGAACACAGCCTCACACTCCAAGAAAGTCTTCATAGCCTTTCAAGAGGTCTTTCCTCTTTCCCTTACAATGGAAGGAAAGAAGATACAGAGTGGGTGAACAGTCAAGAGGCAGCATCCATGGTTGGAAGACCCTGCTCCTTCTGCGGTTTGCCCCTGTTTTAAAAATATCCTTTCTCTTTCCTCTGCTTCCCCTCAGTTGGAAGGATGAAGGGTTCAGAATGGACCAGTCAGGACCACCTCTTGAAGCGGGGTGCAGGTTTGGAGGAGCCTCTTGTACCTGTCTCTATGTCTCTGTGTTTATACACATAGACATGATTCTGTGGGGTAGCTTTCGCCCCTGTGCTGACCACATGAGAGTGTCTGTATGTGAGTCCATGTCTCTGCGGGTAGGGTGGTTCATTAGGCTTACCTCCAAGGCCTTAACTGCAAGGGAGTCTGCCCTGGAGCTGGCAGTTTTAGCAGGCGGAGGCTACTTTCTTTTTGGTCCTCAAAGTGGACTCGCATCTAGGAATGGGGACTGAGTCTTGAGGTTGGGGGTGTGGTAGGTGTAAAAGTTGAGAGGTTGTTACTCGGCCTGGTGTCGGAGGCGGTGTGTTCCGAGGTCCTATGTCCCCTGTCAGGCTGTGTCGGTGGACACGCCCGAGTGCCCGTGTGTCCGTGTGTCCACGTCTGCCCCAGCCTCCCCAACACCTCGCACCCTCTTTGTCTCGGGTGGAGGTGTGCGTTCAAACCTGGCGCCGCACGGCCGTCCTCGCGAGCGAGCGCGGGGACGCACCCTCGCTCCCCGACTCTTTCCTAGGGGAGCGAGGACGAGTCGGAGCCCGGTGCTGTTTGGTCTGGAGCCGAGCGGAGCTTGCATTGATCCATTGATTGCGCGCGGTCTGCGCCTGACCTCCCTGCTCCCGGGGAAGCCGTCTCCATGGAGACCAGGCCCGCTCCCCCATCGCCGGATTGTAAATTCCTGCAGGCAGCGGCCCGGCAGCCTGGGGAGGGGGCCACCGCGCCCGGGCGCGCAGGGGGAGCGGCCACCGCGCCGAGGCCCCATTTGAAAGAAAAAAGGGCACGAAAAAGGAGGTGGTGGAGAAGGAGGAGGAGGAGGAGGAGGAGGAGGGGGAGGAGGAAGAAAACGAAAAGGAGCGAGGAGAGGAGGAGAAAGAGGAGGAGGAGGAGAAAGGCGAAGAAAAAGAGCCTGAGAGACGGAGAAAGAGCGAGAGAGGAAGAAAGAGAGGCAGAAAGGGCGTGTTTCTGGCGCTGCGTTTCCCCTCCCCTTTCTCAGGTCCTTCGCTCGGGCTCTGCGCGCTCTCCGGCTGCAGCTCTCTCCCGGCGAAGCTGGGAATTGGGTGGGATTACACGGAGCAGCCCCGCCGCCGCCGCTGGCAGAGGCCGGCTTGGAGAGGGCGGGGGTTCCCCTCCGTCAGTCGCCCCTGGCGCCCCTCGCCTCGTCGCACTCTCCGCCTCGCTCTCCCCGACGTCCGGCCAGGAGGAGCCGGTAGCATCGGGAGCCTCGCGCCGAGGGCGCCGCGGTCCGCGCCCCGCGACTGCAGCCCCCGGCCTGGCCCCGGCGGGGCGCCCCCTCCCCTCCCCCTCCTGCGAGCTGGGATCCGGCCGGCTTCCGCCCTCCCCTGGCCGCGAGACCGGCCCCGGCGGCTGGGCCGCCAGTAGCTCCAGCCATGGGCTCGGGGCGCGTACCCGGGCTCTGCCTGCTTGTCCTGCTGGTCCACGCCCGCGCCGCCCAGTACAGCAAAGCCGCGCAAGGTAAGGAAGGAGGGGCGCGCGGCCTGGGGGCTGTCCTGGCTGCTGGGCCTCAGGGCCTAGGAGCGATTCCCGAGGGGCAGGGCAGGTGCTGGGGAGCGTGCTGCTGTCAGAACCCGGCTCTGTGCACCCGGACTCCCCGGCCAGGGGCCCGACCGCTGGGCGCTGCGCCCCGAGCGAAAAGCCGGACAAGCTGGGGGCGGCAGAGAGGAGTGAGAAACTCTTGGGGGCGGTGGGCAGAAGAGACCACGCGCCTCAGAATTCCGCTCGACTTCATCCACTCCCAGCATCTTCGAAAGACTTCTTGTCTTCCAAAATCTGAGAGAGAATTTTCTCTTCTCTCAAACATTGCCAGAAACTTACGCTGTGGCCTGGAGAGACTGAGGGAATAATGAAAACTTTTCAGCCGTGCCGTATATTTCTTTCCCTTACCCCCAACCCGCATGCAAAGTTAGACATTTCTAAGTTGATGCCTTATCAGTGGAAAAATGTTGAAGAAAAATAGGATCTTTTATGGAAAAATCAACTCATCTCTCACCGGATGGTAGGGGGCTGAAGAAGAGAAGAAAATTTCTGTGACTGGCTCCCGACAGGAATGTTGCGTTTCTGCCTCTTTGGGGTGAAATCTCTTTCGTCTTGCATGGCTTTCATTTCTTATCATAATATTTATTTATTAAGGCCTCGGGTTTCCAATTCCATTTAAATCCAGGTCAGAATTGCATTAAAATAACAAAGTAGAATTCCAGGCCGGGGAGCTCTGACAGATCCCTCTAGGAATTAAAGAGAGACAGGGAGGCCTCCCGCCCCCGTCCCTGACCCCCAGCTCATCGCCTGGCAGGTCCCAAGGCTGTGCAGGCAGAGACTAGGCTGATGTACTACAGTTCTCTCGGGACAGTTTCTCCTCCCCCTTGACCTCTTGCTGTACCCCTCCCCCATCGTGTCCTCACCGACAAGAGATTTATATGGACAAAAAGAAAATTCCTCCTGGCAAGGTTTTGCCCAGGAGAGTATGATTCTGCCTATTGTCCCAGGGGCTCCTGAAGCCAGCTGGGTGAGGAGATGGCTGGGCCAGAAGGAAAGTTGAACTTGGGAGTTGGGGAAGCCTGAGTGTCCGACACAGGTCGCTGTGTCCCAGAGCCTGAGCGTTTGGCTCTTAAGCTGCTCTGTTGTATTGGATGGGCTCCTGCTCTGTGAAGAGGAAGGTGCTGTATCAATGCCGCCCTCCTCTCCCCAAACACTGCCTCTTCAGCTAACCTCTTCCCCCTCCAACCTGTCCTTTCACAGAACTGAAACACTAGAGATCCTCAGCTGTCAAATACTGGACCCTGCCCCCACACCTTCCAGCCCCACACTGCCTCTTTTCCAGTCCTGGTTCCAGACAGCGCATCGCCACTGCCACCCCCAACCTGGGAGCAGCCCCTCTCCTCACTGTGGATTTGTGTTTTCATAAACAAAGCTGGCTTTTGTAGTGTGTGCTGACTTACTCATAACATGGAATTAGGTGGGGAGTTTAGTCTGAAGGAAGGAACAGATATCATGAAGTAACCTAGAGACAAGATAAGGGCCTCTTTCAAGTTGGAGCCAGTGTCTGTAGTGGCCTAGTGAGGCTGTGGACCAAAGGAGAAGCAGTGTATTCGAGGGGGGCCCAGGGGCAGATGGAGACCCCTCCAAGGGACAGGTGCCATCAAGCCAAGGCACTCAAGTATGGGAGATCAGCTCATGATTCAGGAACGGGAGTCAGAATCCCTGCATGGTACTCCAGGGCTTCCACTTTCATTGGACTCCCTGCTGGGTACTGAGGAACATGCTGCCAGAGTGAAGGCCCCTGCCCTCAAGGAACTTAGAGTAGTTTTTGTCCCCAGCTTATCTCATTCACAGGCCACCCTTCCTGTGACTGGACCGCAGTTAGCTTGGTATCCTCCTTCTTTTCTTCTGATCCCTAAGCTTGGCCTAGAATGGAAGCCTTTCATTGACCCTTCTCTTCAGGAAATCTACAAACCCCATCTGCCAGAGGTTGCCTAATAGCAGGTTTGCTGGGTTACAGGGATGTCTCTGGACACAAACTTGCAGGCAGATGCTGCAGGAAGAACTAGTACTGACCAGGCGGGGCAACCTTACAGCCTTACCCATAGACACAGTCTGTGAGCATCAGGGAGGCCTTACCTTCAAACATATCTCCTGGTTATCAGCAGTGCCAGAAAGTGTGCCTTTAATGCCACATGCTTTATATAAAGCACTAGCAGGTCTTTAAAATCAAATACCCTTGGCAAGTATCTTGCACGGAGTTACTATACCTCTGGGGGTATCTGGGTTTCTGTCCCTTTTCATCAGTGATTCCCACAATGGGAAAACCAAAGTCATGTGGAAGGGGGGAAAGGGGGAGACAAGGAAGGGAGCCCTAAGTGTAAAGGTGAGTGTGCGACTGTGCACACATGAGAGGTTCACCACAGTTACCCACAGGCAACATAGCTGGATGTCTGTGTTTCTTGTGACGTAGTTGCTAAGGGTAAACTGCTGTTTTAGTGTCTGTGAGAACTGTATGGAAGAGTAGGTGGGTAAGCCTGTGTGACTGGGAAGGGAGGGAGCATGAGGGGACATGGTTTTGAGTGTTTTTCAAGTGCTTGTCTGTATATTTTAAAGTAGACAGACTGGATAACCAAGATAATTGTTAACTTAAAAGCATTAATTTGCTTTGCTTTTGGTAAGGGGGTGGGTGTTTGGCGGGGGGGGGGGGGGCGGGGGGGAGGCGCGGCGGGGGGGGGGGTGTGTGCAGCAGTGGTTAAAAAGACCTAATCCTCGCATAGGGCTCAGGTTACAGCTGAATGAAAAGGTCTCTCGGCCTCCAGGGAAACTTGTCCCCAGGGCTGGCTCCAGGAGAGCCAGCCTGGCCGTTTAGTTTACCTGGTAGTTTTCTCTCCTTGTTAGGGATAGAGTTTTGATAAAGTCATGCATTTAGAATTTCCAAGTAACCCCATCCCTGGGACTGAGAGCGTTCATGTGGTGGCAAACAGTGTCTCTCTGTCTCGGTGTGTCTCTCCGGGTCTCTGTCTGGGTGTATGTGTCTCTTTCTTTCTCCCACCCTTCTCTTCCTCTTTAATGTGGCTGTTTCCTTTCCTCCCCGCTTCCCTGGGCTCCTGTGGCCAGCTCTTACAGTGAGGGGACTGTTCCTACTAGCCCCTCCCTCCAAAATATGAAATGAAAACCATAACCATGTCAGCGGGTAAGGGTGGCCCCGTGGGCAGCCGGCTATTGCCTGTGCCCTGTCCAGGCCACACTGGAGAGAGGGAGAGTCCCCACTCAGAGCCTGATCTTTAGTCAGTTCCCTCTAAGCCCACCCCCATTTTTCCAGAAGGTGGAGAAGAGGGTGGACTGCTTAGAAATTCCTCAGGAATCCCTTTGACCTCTCTTCTCTCATGACATGTCTCAGAGGTGGGGAAAGCCTCGGGGTGGGAGAGTACAGAGACTTTTCCCTGTTTTCAACCCCTTCCTTCTCATCTCTTTGAGTCTCTGCAGGGTGGAATAAGAGAAAGGGGACTAGAAGACACTAAGGCCAGAATTACTGCAGGCAGAGAAAGAAGACAGTCATCAGCAGCCCTCAAATGAGATTGTTTTTTGAAACCTTCAGGAATCTGAGAGCATGAGAACCGGTTTGAGATGTGAGCAGCTGGGACCTGTTGTAAGAGGAGCCGGCCCTGGGTGTGAGTTTGGGAATGTGAAGTGTGCATTCACACACGTGTGAATGTGTGTGCATGACTCAGGGTGTGTGTGTGTGTGAAGTGCTCTGGTGAGAGGAAAAAGGAAGTGGGGCAATATGCATTTTGTTTTAGTTGGAGAAGTAAAGAAGTGGAATGGCTTGGTCCAGTGCCTTGAACTGAGGACAGGGGAAGGGAACGAAGGGCTTCAGACCTTTTGAGAAGATGGAGCTGGAAGAGCTTGCTGCCTGAACTCACTCAGTCCTTTCCCCCAGCTCTGGTCCCCAAATGTCAGGGTGTGGGCCTCCTTTGACATCCCGTATCCCTAGCACATGACCACTTATAAGAAAGAGTCCCTGTCAGGGCTGGAAACTGCAGAGCTGCTCTGAGGCTGGCAGTGCCTGCAAGAGGCCCAGACCTGGGGACAGCTTCTTCAGGCTCAGAAGACTGGAGTCTGGAAACAGAAGGACTGCTGGGCCTTGGGTATAGAAGCGAAACAACGGCCAACCCAGGGATGTCTAGGGGGTACAGGAGCTAGTCACCTGGGCTAAGAGGGGACAGAGACTCCCCTCCCCCACTGGCCACTTAACATTGGACTGGCTACTCTCCTGTTCCTATGCCCACCCAATGCCAGCCTCAAGTGGCACCGGGGATATAGAGGTATATGGTGCCAGTGGGTTTAGACAAATGCAGAGCCTAAGGATTTGAGCCTCGGAGGAAATCACTGAAATCCCTCTTCTCACTTGTAAAATATCAGTAGGGTTCCCTGCAGCCCTGAGATTCTGCACATCTCACTGAAATCCTTCCTGCTGAAGGCAGAAGGCGCCGGGCCTCCACAGGTTACTCACCCAAATCTCAGGCGCTCTCCTCCTTGGATGCTGGTCCACTTCTGCCTGCCTGAGGCTAGGTCATCTGGATACTCTTCCTTTCTTCCCCCACCCCAGTTTCCTGGAACCCCAAGTAGCTGATAGTTCTTACTGTGTCCATGAAGTGGGTATTTATCCCTGGAAATAGCCCCTGAAGAACACATGTGTGTTTCTATATGTGTGTATCCAACAAAGTTGGGAAGTGGAGCTGAAATATCCGTGTTATGGGAACTGAATATTCTTGGATCTGGGCCCCAGGATTCCGTGTTTCTAGCTCTGAGACTAGCTGTCTGTATTCTGCCCTAGCCTAGACATGTCCCCCTGCAGATCAAGCACTGCTTTGTAGTTGCTGTTAGATGCTGTGCTTTGGCTGAACAAATGGGATGATGACCCCTATATAGGGCACAGTGGTCCTTGCTCTTACCTCTGGTTTTCCCTGTGGTTATAACCATAGCCCTAGAGAGCTGTGGGGTTTGGATTTCTGAGCCTACACCAGGGGCTCTTCAGGTCTGGTCACTGGTGGTAACAAGCTGAGGAAAGACCTGGGCAGGGGCTGCAGGGCTGGAGGGAAGATCCAGGATAAGGAAACACATCTAAGGAATCCCTCTGAAAGTGGGGAGTATCAGGATATGTGGGCATTGGGGGGAGGGCTGGGGAAGGGGAGTGCTTGAAGGGTAGACCCTGGGGAGCAGGTTTACAGAGAGGACGTTTTTACAAGTTTCTAATTATATTTATTTGGAGTTTTCCTCTGGCGGTTTGAAGCTGTTAACAGCAGGAACCTGTATCCCTGGTGTTTGTTTTTGTTTCTAACCAGCTGCTTGGCCCCAGCATAGTGAATCCAAGGGCAGGCAACACCTGCCCACTGTTGCATTGCCCACCCTTTCCTTATTGCAACTGTGTCTGTACCCTCCCTGCCCACTACTCAGCCTTGCTCTCTTCTGCTGCTCCCATGCCCAAAGCCTCAGAGCATCTGCATTCCCACTGCTGATTTCCTCCCTGGATCATGTACATTTCAGCTCCTTCCGCTCCACGGTTATATACTGGATGCATGCTTCATGCTGAACTAAGTGCTGAGGTGGAGTTGGGGGAGGTACAATAATGACTAAGGCATGGATTCCTCCCTCAAGTGCTTAGAGAACACAGTGGGTAGTTAGAGAGCACTGGACTGGGAGTTTGAAGACCTGGATCCTGGCTTTACACTAGCTACTTGCTCTTTCCTGAGGTATCCTCACTGGGCCCCAGATGAGAGAGGACAGTTTGAAGACCACGTGAACCAACCTGCATGAAAAAACTGTACACTTAGTGAAATTATACGAATCTGAAATGAGTTTATTTTTTTCAATTAAAGAGATAATATTACTAATCACAAAACCAGAACCTACCCATGCCCACTGCCTGCCTCTCTGCCCCTCACTCTACAATGTTCTGTTCTTCCCCCACTTCACTACCCATCCTCTAAAAGTCTCTGATTCATGGTTGTTGATTTTGTCCATACTGAAAGGGAGAAAATTCTTGTCCAATTAGGGTTACATTCAAATGATCAGGGAGCTAGATTAGGGATAAGGCAGGACAACAGAGAGAAACTCATCAGGGTCCCCAGTAAGTGACAAGCTTCTGAGGTTCAGACCCCCTTCCCTTCAAATCACCAAACACCAGCAGCTTTTCCTGGCTGTTCAGTTGAGCAGGCTAAGCTTGAGTGAGAGGAGAGGATACTGTTTTTAAAAGGAGAAAGTGCTCTGTCTCCGCCTTGGAATCAACAGGTGGTCATTTGTGTGGTTTTCTGGACTTTCTCTAGGCTACCCTCATCCTTGCATAAGCTTTTTCTAGACTGAGGATGGGCCCAGACTCTCACTGAAGTCACAGTGCCTCAGCCAGTCCCAAACTGGGAAGACAGCCTGGTACTCCAGGCTCTGCCAATCTCCCTGGTTGCTATTTTGATCTGGAGGTAGAGCAGATATGCAGATGTGGGTACATGTGCACATGCTGTGGGTTAGGATATCATGGCCCAAGGCTGGGCTGGTTTTATTTTGGATGTTACTTAGAGGTGAGAATGAGGGAAATCACCAGGGGCAAGCAGTGGAATGCCTGTGTCAGGTGCCCCATCATTGAGAGTTAGCATGGAGGCTGAGGAACATCTGTTGAAGGGGATGCTCTGAAAAGATCCCTGTAGCAGCCCCATATGATGTCTGAAGACCCTGAGACCCTATGACTCATTGGTTCCAGTCTCTTCTGGCCCCAGCACTCATCATATGGATGCCTTTAAGTGGGTACTACCCCTCTGAATTTAGTTTCCTCTCTCCCTACTCTCCACTTGAGACTAAACTTCCTGGGACTTCCCCCATCCAGAACAGTTGTGGGATCACGGAGAGTAAAGAAGTGAGATTTTTCTCTGAGGTAACATAGAGCAGAAGGGATGCCACAGATAGAGACATTATCCACTCACTACTAATGCATCCATGTCTCCATCCACTCGTCTATCTGTTTAACAAATATTTACTAAGTGGCTTCAATGTAGAATTCATCTCTGGTTCACTGCCAAATCCCCAGCACCTAGCACGGTGCTTCGCATGTTGGAGGTGCTCAATAACTATTGAGTGAGTGAGTGAATGAATGAATGCTGAGCTCTATTTCAGTTGCTGCATGGGTTTCAAAGCTTTAGGAGCCATGGCCTCAAGCTCCTACTGCTTCAGTAGGAAAATTATACACATGAACTAAAAGTTAAATAATGGTACAAGGTAGCATATGAGGTATCACAAGCCTGGGATTGATCAGGTGACCAGAGAGCCTGACAGTAAGTCTTAGGAGTCAAGAGAAAGAGTAGATCAGAGAAGGCTGGTAGTGTCACAGGGAGTGTCCCAGCAGAGGCACCTGAACTGGGTCCTCAAGGACATTCAAGGAGAGGAAAATAGCAGAGTGCGCTACACACACCATATATCCTGGGCTAGCCTGGCTGGGCTGAGGATGTCACAGCTATGTGGGTGGGTACATTAGGGCTCTAGGCAGGCTGTTTCTGACTGTCCCACTGGGCCCATCAAATTTGCCCACAATTACCCCCTCCCCTATGGGTGGTAAGGTAATAATTCCTGTGGTAATGGGAAGGTGGGGTGGACTCTACCTAGGGGGTCTGCTTGTCCACAGCCGGCATCCCTGCTCATTTCCATTTGTTACTGTTCCTGAGCTGGGCTTGGGCAAACTTGTGAAGTAGATGAAGTATTTACTTGGGAATCCCACTGCTTCCCTTTTAGGGTACACCTGCCCATCCTCAGAATCTTAGGACTACTTGTTTTATAATAATCCACCCTTTCTGGTCTGACCCTCTGACCCTCATATCCCATACCCCATCCTACCCTTCCTACCTACTTTAGGAGAGTTTATGGAGTGCTCTGCTAGGCGCTAAAGCAAATTCAGAAGAAATGTCAGATGGTACTGGGAAAAGCTGCTGTAGTTACAGACCTGTGCCTTCATGCCAGGACAGGGCGAGGCAGGGAGGTCTTGGCTTGTCTATGGTATCTGTGCAGCCACCACTCTCCCCCACCTCAACTTTGGTTCCAATGCATGGCCTGAAGTAGGAGTGGGATCTCCCTAGCCTTCAAAAAGAATTGTAGAGGACAGCTTTTGGGTTCCCAACTGGCCTCTCACCCACTTCACCCCCATTCTTTGTGCAGTTCCCAGCACAGGTAGAGTAAGCAGTGGGGATGTGTCTCCCCAAATCCTCCCCACCAACACATGCTCACCTGGTGCTGCATTTCCCCACACCAGGCCTGAAATGGGGCTTTGATAGGGAAAGGGAGTTCAGAAAGAATACAGGGAGAAGGTTGGAGAGAAGGAATAATAGTAGCAAACCTTGGCTAGGCATGGCGACTCACACCTGTAATACCAGCACTTTGGGAGGCTGACATGAGAGGGTCGTTCAAATCCAGGAGTTCGAGACCAGCTTGGGCAACATAGCAAGACCCTGCCTCTAAAAATTTTAAAAAATTGGCTGAGCATGATGCCACGCGCATATAGTCCCAGTTACTCAGTAGGCTGAGGTGGGAGGATCACTTGAGCCCAGGATTTCGAGGTTGCAGTGAGCTATGTTCATGCCATTGCATTCCTGCCTGGATAAGCAGAGCAAGACCCTGTCTCTGTTTCAAAAAGAAAGAAAAAAATAGCAAACCTTTGTTGAGCACTTTCTATATGCCCACACTGTGGTGTTAAGTACTTGATGGGTATTAATTCAACTGATGTTCCTGGAAGCCCCATGGGGAGGTACTATGATGAATATTATTCCCACATACAGAGGAGGGAACAGGTAAGTTCAGAGGCTGGCCCAGGACCACACAGACACAGGTAGAGCTAGCAATTGAACTGACAATGTTGCTCCAGAACCTCTCTCTTAACTACTCTGTCATGTGGCTGCCCTGGTCTCTTCCCAGCTTGGGCAAATAGTTTATTGGCATTACCTTGGGAAAGGAAGACAGATAGTAGCCACAGCCTCACCCTGGAGATCCTGATTCAGCTGGTCTAGGGGACATCTGTACATTCACATTTTTTTCAAAACCCCCAGGGAATTCCAGTGTGTAGCCCCAGGGTTGAGAACCGCTGGTTTAAACCAGTCCACACCCAGTAGCATCAACTGGTTTTCCAGCTAGTAAGCACCTGCATCCTGAGAGAACAGGCTAAGATGAGACTGTGCTGTGAGCGTTGAAGGGTCCTTGCAAGGACAAATTCTGGGTGGGCACATATGGTAGGAGAGAACTCTGGAAGAATGAGTGGTAAAAGGAGGAGATACTGGGTATAATTTGGGGCCCTCTTTCACAGCTTTGTCTTAGGTCTGTTCTGCTTCAAAAGACTCCAACCAAACATTGAAGGGACATCTTCCTCAGCAGGTACCCAGCCAGGTGAGGAAAGCTGAACACGCTTTAAAGTATTAGCAGAGCAATTCAGTGACGGCTGTAAATGAACTGAGGAGAACAGTCCCCTTGGACCAGGAACTCACCAGGAACGGGGCTTACAAGGAAGAGCTTTTGGGAAGAAAAATTTGAGCTGGAATGGAAAGCTGAGCATAGTGTGGCTGGAAGAGAAAAATGAGGAATGCATCTGCAATGTGAATAACGAAAATACGCAAATGCATAGAAAGGAATAGGATGGTTAGGTATTGTAGAGGGAACAGGAAGAGATAATGTCTTCCAGAGCAGAGACTCTTTGCTGGAGAGGGATAAGCATTGTGAGCAGGGAGGTAAGGGAGAGGGGTTAGTTAGATGGTGGGAGAAGTCTGGCTGTAGGAGGGGTCTAAAAAATCTGTGGCCAGGTGTAGTGGCTCGCGCCTGTAATCCCAGCACTTTGGGAGGCTAAGGCGGGCAGATCACTTGAGGTCAGGAGTTCGAGACCAGCCTGGCCAATGTGGCAAAACCATGTCTCTATTAATAATACAAAAATTAGCCAAGTGTGGTGGCACATGCCTGTAATCCCAGATACTCAGGAGGCTGAGGCAGAAGAATAGCTTGAACCTGGGAGGCAGAGGTTGCAGTGAGCCGAGATCACACCACTACTGTACTCCAGCCTGGGTGACAGACCGAGACTTCATCTCAAAAAAAAAAAAAAAAAAAAAAAAAAGAATCTGCTGGGAGGCCTGGGTTTGTGGTGATCAGCATCAAGATCCACTCTAGTACTGGTGAGCACTGAATGGGAGGCAAAGGAAAGAATTGGGAGCCCATATAGTCTGACACAGTCTCTAGTGAAGCACCAGCTGATTCAGTCACAGGCACATACCTCTGATATGGTCAGGGGAGCAGTTCCAGACCAGTATCCGTGCTGCTGGACCCAGGGAGTATCTCTTATTCAGAACCCCAGAGCAGTGCTATCCTGTGGTGTGCTAATAGCAGTGCTATTTCTGTGGTGTTGGAAATGTTCCATATCTATGCTTTCCGCCATGGTAGCCACTAGCCACATGTGGCTATTGCGCATTTGGCCTGTGGCTAGTGCAACTGAGGAAGTGAATTTTAAATTAAATAACCACATGTGGCTAGTGGCTGTCATACTGTCTCGAGCATCTATTGCCTGACCAGTGATTTAATACCATCTCAAGCTTCCTGTATTGGGACCCTACTGTTTACCAGATACTTTATTAGCCAATTTACACAAATTATCCCATCAGCTACTCACAGCCTCTCATGAGGAGGTATTATCATCCCCATTTTAAGGGGGAGGAGATGGAGAATAAGAAAACCATCCCTAGAGAAGGGTAGAGCTGGATTTGAATCTGGGACTGACTGGTTCCAGTGCTTAAGATCGTTCTGTGATAGCACATTTCTTTGTACTGTTTTCTGTTTATCAGTTGGACAAACTGATTCTCCACAGAGCACCTTACCATCTGCGAGGTCCCTCTTGCCCTTACCTATGAACTAGTCTTCCATGCCCTCTCTTTTCCATTCTGTCACGTTGGGATGACTTCCCAGGATGGGCCAGCAGGTAGACACCATGCCTATGGAGCCTGAGCGAGGTGGAGAGTAAGTGTAGACAGAGGCTCCCAGCACTTAGAATCAACTGGTATGATGGTTGGCTGCATAGGAGTTGAAGGGTAGAATGAAGAGCTGAACGGAAACCTGTGAGATTTGAGGCAGGGTGTTTGGGGATTTCAGTTCTCTTCTTAGCCCCAGGAAGTTTCAGAGTATAAAAGCGGAGGACAGATAACTGTCTCAAGCTAGGACTCTGGGTATCTATAAATTGGAGAGAATACTGGTCCATGCATCCATTCACTCAGTAAAAATAATCACTTAAGGATTTGGATTCAAAAAGGCTATAATGAGTCCTGAGAATCTGCATTTTAATAAAACCTAGGCAATTCTATGGCCCATAGATCACACTTGGATATCAAATTGTCTTGGTGTCAAATCTCATCTCCTTTCTGTGCTCAGTTGTGGGATCACAGGAGAGTAATGCCTCCCATTCAGTGATCACTCACTTGCAGGCTGCTACTTAAGACACTATTTTGGGTTTCCCAGTTTCCAGCTGGAAGTAATCTCTTTCTCCTCTGATCTGCCCCGTAACACAGGTTCTCAACCTTGACTACACATTAGAATAACTGGAAGAGCTTTAGAAAAATACTGATGGCCCGGCACCAGTCCAGGCTATCTGACCAGAATCTCTGGGGTTGTGGCTTGGACATCTCCTAGGAGAGTTGACTCTGATGTGCAGGGTGGAGGACCCCCTCACCTTATCTCTCATGTCTTCAGGGCATGTACCACATTCTGCTCCATGTTTTTTGTTTCTCCTTTTGGCTGGGCTGAGTCACCTTTGAGCCTCCACAGCTATCATTATAGTGTCTTTCACAAACACACTCAATAAGGCGTTTTCAACTGAATAACATGTTTCTCTATTTCAGTTCAGATTTAAGGGCACCATAATATTGCCTCAGAAGTTGGACTCTTTTCTATGTCCTTTTTTTTTTTTTTTTTTTTTTGAGATAGAGTCTCACTGTCGCCCAGGCTGGAGTGCATTAGCGCGATCTCAGCTCACTGCAACCTCCGCCTCCCTGGTTCAAGCGATTCTCCTGCCACAGCCTCCTGAGTAGCTGGGATTACAGGCACACATCACCACACCTGGCTAATTTTTGTATTTTTAGTAGAGATGGGGTTTCATCAAGGTCAGGCTGGTCTCGAACTCCTGACCTCATGATCCACCTGCCTTGGCCTCCCAAAGTGCTGGGATTACAGGCATGAGCCACCGCGCCTGGCATCATCTATGTCCTTTCCTAACCATCCTCTTTTTTGCTAGATGGTGAGTGGCCTCTTCCTTCAAGTATAGCTGTGTGTGTAGCACCTATTGTTAGAGCTAGGGCCAGGAGACAGAGGGCTAAACACTGGGGATTAGGGCCTGAAGGGCTGCACTTATTAGGCTTCAGGTAGCTGGTGCCAACCTCTGCCAGCTCTGGATGTCTCCATTGTTGGCAGCACAGGGGCCGAGGAAAATCATCCAGGATGGAACATTTTTCCTCTAAAGCTTCTTGGCTCCATGGTGGGCAAGTGGAAGCAGGCCTGGTCTCAAGCAGAATCATGACACAGATGAAGATCCCTCAGATGCCCCATCCCCCTTTCTTCCTCCTTTACTAGTGATTGCTGGACCCTGCCACCTTCCCAGAGACCACTGTTCCCATGCCTTTTCCCTTAACTTTCCCTCTAAGCCTTCTCCGTAAACTCATTCACTTTAAGTTGATTATTCCTAATCAAGTTAAGTGTACTACCCACTCTAAGGGTTTTTTGTTTGTTTTCAAATAAAAAAAGGAGTGTTTCGAATGATGGAGTTTTAGCTGTCACTGTGAATTTAGTATTTTTGAGGGCAGTGGGGGTTCCTTCTGAATTCCCAAAATCAGTGTCTGCCTACTCTGAAATCAGAGAGATGTGAGACAGCACCTGTTTCTGGAGGGGGTCACTGCCTCTGTTTTAGAGAAGAGGGGATTCTGCCCTTGGAAGCCCACCTTCAAGACACCCCTTAAGAGGTGCCAACAGAGGTTCTCATGTGCCCCCTCTGCCCCTGCCAGATGTGGATGAGTGTGTGGAGGGGACTGACAACTGCCACATCGATGCTATCTGCCAGAACACCCCGAGGTCATACAAGTGCATCTGCAAGTCTGGCTACACAGGGGACGGCAAACACTGCAAAGGTGAGGCTGGAAGGGCACCTGGAGGAGAGGGACCTGTGGAAGAAGGCAAACCAGTGCCACTGCCCTCAGTTGGCCACTCTCCATCACATCAAGGCTAGAAATTCCACTGGTCAAGTGGTGGGGGGGTGGTGAGGGGGGCAACTGCATCTTCCCAGAGAGGGTGCCATTTTCTAATTTGCACAAAGGCACCATGCAGGCTAGCAGAGGCCCTGGTGGGGACAGTTCACAGCCCACAACCTGGCTGGGGTGGGAGCATGAAAATCATAAGACTAAGACCTGAGGTTCCCTGACATTGGAACCTTTATCTTTAGACCCTTACACCACATCCACAATGGATGGGAACAGAAAGTGTGCTTCAGAGGAAGTTCATAATGTAAACACATCTTCCCCTCATAATTAAATCAATGCAAATTAAAGTAGCCTTGAGATATTAAATTTATGAGCTTCAGTGTTGGTGAGACTTTAGTGGACAGGGTACACTTGTTAATTCCTAGTTGCATTATAAATTGAAAAGTAATTTTGTAATACCTACCAGGAATCTTAAAAGGTATTTCCTTTGATCCAGGAATTTTACTCTTGGGGACTTATTCAAAGTAACAAAATAATACATGGGAGAAGATGTTCTTTGATGCATTATCTATGATGGTAAAATAAATTAAAGAAATCTAAATCTCTAACAATAGAGAAAAAAATAGAAAAATAATATTCTGCAACCATGTACAATGGTAATTAGAAAGACTGGATGGAGACCTGAAAATGTTCATGACTTAGGTTTAAATGAAAACAGAAAAATGCTAAATGGCTTATAGGCCATGAACATAACTATGTAAACACAACCATAAGGCTGAGTCTGGGGGTGGACAGTGGGTTCGCAGGTGGGTTCAGCTGTCTCAGCTTCCCTTTGCCCACAGACGTGGATGAGTGCGAGCGAGAGGATAATGCAGGTTGTGTGCATGACTGTGTCAACATCCCTGGCAATTACCGGTGTACCTGCTATGATGGATTCCACCTGGCACATGACGGACACAACTGTCTGGGTAAGCAAAGGAGAGGGGATTTGGTGGAGGGATGTCTTGTGGAGAAAGAGATCTTTTCAGCATTTCCTATTTCCCAGGGAAGGAGGAGAGAGTGATCAAGAAGAGCTACATTCACAAGAGAATAAGGTCAGCCTCCCCTTTGAGACTGGCCACTTAGGATGAAAAATCCTGCTGGATGAAAAACATTAGAGGAAAAGCTGCTACGAAATGCTCCTAGGGCAAGGGCCAGGAGATGGGAATAGTGGGTTTAGCCAGTGGTGAGGCATGGTAGGAAGCTGATTTGGCTCCACACAGATATCTTGGTTCTGCTGCTTACTAGCCTTGGGTCTTGGGCAAATCAGCCAATCTCTGGAAATCTCATCTTTCTCCTCTCTAAAATGGGGGTGGGACCAGGTGTGGTAGCTCACACCTGTAATCCCAGCACTTTGGGAGGCCGAGGCAGAGGGACTGCTAGAGCCCAGGAGTTCAAGACAGGCCTGGGCAACATAGTGAGACCCTGTTTCTACAAAAAATAATAATAATAAAAATTAGTCAGTCATGATGGTGCATACCTGTAGTCCCCAGCTACTTGGGAGCTCTTCCTTGGCTTGAGCCTAGGAAGTCGAGGCTGCAGTTAGCTGTGATTGTGTCACTGCGCTCCAGATCGAGCAATCTTATCTCAAAAAATAACAATAAAATAGAATGGGGTGGTAATAACCCACTTGAAGGCTGCTGTGCGGATCACCACAAGACAACATATGAAAAGAGCCCTGTACAATCCTTAGCACATGGTAGGAGCTCAGTAATGGGAAGAATGTTTTTGATGATGACGACAGTGCATCCCTATGCCCCAGGAAGCCTCTGACCCTTACAGGCTTGTTTTCTCCCAGTTCTTCCTGCAATCTCCAGTCTCACCCTCTCCTCACTGATCTCCTTTGTCCCAGGAGCTGGATCAGAGATAAGAGAATCTCTAAGGAACTGAACTCAACTTTGGTCTCTGTCATTTTGGAAAATTACTGGGACCAAGTCAGACTCTTCCCCAAGCAGAAAATCTGAAGCTCATAGCAGAAAAGGATTTGAAATTTGAACCCAGGGCCTTCTCCCAAATTACTTCACCCTGTAGCCACAACAGAAAACAGGCACTAGAAGCATAAAGGACCAGGAAAGGAAGAGAAACAAAAGGAATGATGCCCAGAAAAGCAGGCTGGGCTGGTCCTCACCCACCAATTGACCAAATAGATGAATTCTCTTAAGTCCTATTGGCTGAGAAGAGCCTCCTTACTGCAGAGCTGCCTCCAAACCTAGTCATAACCCATCATTGGACCCAGGCTATAGGTTTCTACACCCAACCCTGGCCTCCAAACCCTGATATCTGCTGGGCCCTTAATCCCAGCCCTGGTCACCTCTCCTACCATTTTAGCTTCCAGGGAAGGGCCTCATATCTGCCCAGTCACCCTTGAGGGCCTCTTATGAAACTCCTTTGGGAAGGGAAGCTGTGGCACTTAGACCAGGACAGTGAGTTGCCTACAGGACATGCACATAAGCTTCTGAGTTCTTTGGCTGCCTTTGACTTTTCTAGGCCCCTGATTGTCACCACATCTCATTTCCCTATAAGTGTTTTGGGGAGAACCAACCAGAGGGACAAGAGAATGATTAGGTATAGAGAGGGTCAAGGGACAAAGATTACCTAGGGTTAGGGTTCAAAGTCTCAATACTACCTTTGGCTCTTAGGGGAATTTTGAGAAAGTTGTCCATGCTCTGGGCCTTAGCTTCCCCACTGAGAATTGGAGGAAAGAGCTTGGCTAGAGTAGCAAAGCCACAAGGTTAGATAGTAAGGGAGCAGACAGAAGGATGGCATGTAGAATGTGGCAAGAGCAGGAAGACAGGGATGGGGAGAAGTCAAGAGAACAGCAAAAGACAGGGTAGAGACAGGAGCAAAGCACAGGAAAGTACACCTTAGCTCTTCCAACAGGTGCATCTCTTGGGCAAGAGCCAGCTGGATCTGGGCCTCTCTGCCCTGGCCAGAAGGGGAAGAGAAGGTTGCAGGATCTCAGCAGAGAGGATGGGAAGAGAGGGGCAGATGAAGCCCTCAGGAGCCCAGATTCTAGCTGCTCCATTTGACAACCAATCTACGTGATGCCTCCTGGGCCAAGGCAAACTGAGAAGGGCCATGGACTTGGGAGGGCAGTAGCTAGCATAGAGATGGAATCAAGGTGTTGAATTGGGGGCTCCAGGGTGAGCTTGGCTCTAGAACCTAGGGGTGGTGATTTGGGGGTGAGAGCCTACTGTTCTCCCTGCCCCCCACCCCCACCATCTAGGGTGTGGCCTGGCAGCTCTCCCCAGATCCCTCCCCGCCAAGTTGTCAGACTTTGTTTTGTTAAGCCAAAATAGGAGAAAGGCTAGGGAATATGGCAGCAAGCCCAGGCACAGGGGGGAGGGGAGGAAGGACAGGGCTGTGGCCTGTCCACAGAAATGGTCCCTGCTCCACAAGGAGGTGAGGCTCAGCTGCCTTTCCCCACCCTGCCCCTCCAACCTCAGCACCATGGCCATAGCTCTGCCTGCACCCAGAGCCACTTCCCAGGTTCCTACATTCCCTGGCTGCTCATTGCAACCAGCTGCAACCCCCAGTTACCTATCCGACCAATGTGACCAATCTCCATCCTTACCTTCATCACTGTTCCTCTTTCTCTGGCTTCTTTCCTGGTGTCCTCTGTCTTCATACCCAGTTTACACAGGTGAGGGAAAGGGAGGCATGGCTTCACCTAGGTGACATTTGAGGTTCAAAGGTCCCCTTTTCCCCCACTTGCTTAGCTTCCCAGCTCTGCCCTCAGGGCAGCCTTTTTACACTTAGTGAAATATTAGCTGACAAGGGTGTGAGGACTTCCTGGCTTAAGGCTGGGCTTAGGGGGTAGTAGTTCTTAAGACTGCCTTTGGTGCTGAAGTCTTGGGATATACCCTGGACCCTGCCTGTACCCCATGACCCCACTGACTACCTATCCTGCACAGATGTGGACGAGTGTGCCGAGGGCAACGGCGGCTGTCAGCAGAGCTGTGTCAACATGATGGGCAGCTATGAGTGCCACTGCCGGGAAGGCTTCTTCCTCAGCGACAACCAGCATACCTGTATCCAGCGGCCAGAAGGTCAGCCCATGACCTGGGATGGCCCCATCCCTGCCCTCCCCAGGCTTCTCTTCCCAGCTGTCCCTCAGCAGCCCCTAAGTCTCACCCTCCATTCTCAACTCAGCTAGCTCCTTCTTCTCTTGTCCTTCAACTCAATCACACCCTAAAGGATCTAGGAACAGACACCCTGTTAGGGCAAAATCTGGGGAAATTACTTTGAGGTTGGGATCAATATGGGATTAAGGCTACTATGGAGTATCCTCTGTGTCCAGACCTGAGGTGGATGTTGTCCCTAATTGTAGATGGCTGAGCTTCTCTAAGCTGCTGCCTATCTGAGAGGGCCTCACCATATCTTTTTCCTTGGATTGGCATGGGAGGGTCAGGCAGGAATAATGGGTTTATATTGGCTGTTTCTATGACTCATGCCCCCCACTCCCACTAGACTGTGACATCCCTGAGGGCAGGGACTATGTCTAACTCATTGTTGTATCCCCAGCACCTAACATACTGCCCTGCGTGTAGTGAGAGTTTAATAAATGTTTGTTGAATAAAATTGCATAGTAAATATCTATACCAATTACCCTCCACTCTCATTGTAGATCTGATTGCTACTGATCTTCTTCCCAGTTTGACTGTAAGCTCTTTGAGGGGAGTGATCACACCTTGTATTTTTCTAGGACCTTCCTAAATCCACCCCATCTCCAGCACAGTGCTGGACACCTATTATACACAATGTTTTGGTTGTTTAAAGGAAAGGGTGATCATTCGTTGGGATGAGTATCAATAGCTAGCTAGTTATACATCATTCAGAACAGCTCTGTGCTCTGCTCATGAGCACCCAGGTCTGTGGGGAAGACAGGAGGCCTGGGACAAGGAGAGTCAGTCCCCTCGTGTTGAATTCAACCTCAGTAGAATTCTCCCAGTTCCCTAGGTCCCCAGTTGCCCCCTGTAGTTTTTCTTTTCTAGACATCCAGGGGTACAGAGCATTCACACCCCTTTCTTCTCTTTTAGAAGGAATGAATTGCATGAACAAGAACCACGGCTGTGCCCACATTTGCCGGGAGACACCCAAGGGGGGTATTGCCTGTGAATGCCGTCCTGGCTTTGAGCTTACCAAGAACCAACGGGACTGTAAATGTGAGATAATTGGGATGGCAGGTGGGGCAGTGGGGTCGGGGGTGAAAACATAGAGGAAGGGTATAGGGCTTCAGGAGCAAGAGGACAGGGCTGGGAGGAAAAGGGAGTATGGGGGAGGCAACTAGGCAAGGGGGCCAGTACCCACATTGTGGAAAACTGTGGATGCAGGGAGGAGCAAGCTGACAGGGCCCTGTCCTCTCTGTGCACAGTGACATGCAACTATGGTAACGGCGGCTGCCAGCACACGTGTGATGACACAGAGCAGGGTCCCCGGTGCGGCTGCCATATCAAGTTTGTGCTCCATACCGACGGGAAGACATGCATCGGTGGGTGAGGCCAGGGGAGAACTCAGTCCACCTGAGATGGGGTGGGGGTGGGACCCTTTGGGAACCAGGGAAGTGGAGGAGTGCATGGGGCCCAGGTGCTGGGCACAGAGGGACTGGTGAGGGAGTTAAGACCCAGAAAATGCCAGGTCTAGTAAGGGACAACTCAAAGAGAGACTGAAGGGCTCCCCAGCCCTCTTCCCCTCCCCATCCCAGTGGTTTTACCACCCTGTTCCAGGAGCCTCACCACCCTCTTCATCCCAGGACAAAGTGTTGCCAAACTGGGAATAATTAGCAGAGTTGCTTATTGACCAAGGCTGTAGTTGAGAAGTGGGAAGAGATCTGGGGAAATGCATCTGCTTAGGCCTGACCAGAGGCCCTTGGTTGACTAGTGTGATAACAGAGGAATTATCAAAGCCCAGTGTCCCCACTCTGCAACTGAGGGTGGGACAGAGTGCTCCTTCCTGGAACAACCATCCCTGAACTGACTGACAGATGGGGTTTCCTGGCTCCAGGTATCTTTTTCCTCTTTATTCCTTCTCTCCTCACTCTCCTCCTGCAACTCCCCTTTCTACTCACCTCACCTTACCCCCCATTTCCTTCTCTCTCCTCCAGATGCCAGTGGTACTCCCTCTCAGCTCCACCAGCAACCCTGTTTCTTCCTCACCAACTCCAGCCTTCCATCTCTTACCTTGATTTGAGGTCCTCTTAATACCTGGATCCCTCTTCCTGAATTCTTAGGCCTTATCTCACATATTTTCAGGTACCCTAGATGAGTTTAATTCCTTAAAGTTAATTCCTAATTCCTTTAGCCTTTAGGTCTTTAGTGCTGAGAAGGATGATGGAACAAGGTTTCCCCTTGGAGAAGGGGGAAATGAAAGGAAGAGGTTTGGCTGAGAGAGAGGCTGTGTCTTTAGCCAGGCAGGGCATGAGCTTGCTGTGTGGGCATAGGTGTTTATGAATGACTGTCCATCTGGTGGGCTGTGGCATGCTGAGGATGGGGGTGTGTGAATCCAGTCACTGTGTATGAAGTTATGTATATCAGAGACATGACATTAACTGAGGAACTAGACTTTCCAGGGACCTGTCCCTTTCACTGCAGGAATAGGAACTGGAGAGCAGATGATGCTCTTACAGGGCTCCCTCAGGCACTTGCTCCAGAGACTGGCACATCCATTTCTAAAGTCCCTATATAATTAAAATCTCCCCTGCCACGTTTCCCTCTGAATTAACTCTTCAAAGACCCCAGAACATTTTTAGGCTCTTCTCATTGCCTTCTTTGGGCTGGTGTGTTTCAGCTCCTTTCATTTTTTACTCATAGGTCTAATTATTTTGCTTTTCAAAGCTCTCACCACCTCCTGGACACATTCACACATCCCCAGTCTCTCAAAAGAAATTGTTTGCAGTGCCCAAAGAAAAGATGCATGAGTCAGGGGCCAGGGATGTGAAGGTCTGATCCCTCTCTGATTTATTTCTGTTCAAAGTTCCAGACATGGTTGCTTCTGAAAACACCCTTACTGAGCTTGGGCTCTTCTCTAACTCAAGACCTGTTCCACCACTGGGCTGTGGCCAAATGAGGCAGAAAAGGCCAAATGAGGCAGAAAAGACCAAATGAGGCTATTCTGGGGTTTACAGCTATATTCTTTCCTAGTTCCTCTTCCTCTTCTCCAATAGAACTTATTTTACCTTGCCATATATCTAATTTTTCTGGCCATCCCTGGTAAGAGGAAACATCATTGCCTGGGGCCGTCAGGACATTCAGATTCGGTGGGAAGACTGAGAAGGCAGTATAGTTTAGCAGAAAGGGCGGCACCCTTTGGGATTTGGGATTTTGTGGTTAGTAAGACTTGAGGGTGCATCCCAGCTTAGGCTTGAGCATGCTCTGTGGTACTGGGCACATGGTTGGTTGCCCTTTCTGAGACTGTTTCAGTTTTTCAGTCACTTGCGGGGAGCTTGGCATCTTTGGGGATACCACCAGACAGGATAAGGATGAGGAGTGAAGCTGTCATAAGGGTCCCAGGGCTCATCATTTGGGGCTACTGGTTTGGGCTGGCAGTGGGGAGGAGAGGGTGGGGAGGGGTCCGGGGCCAGAGGGCCACAGTGGCTTCTGCCCAGCACCTAAACAGCTTTTTTACAATGTCAAACAGGGGAAAGGCGGCTAGAGCAGCACATCCCCACTCAAGCCGTTTCTAATGGTAAATATGTCTGCTCTCTCCGCTTGCTCTCACTGGCTTGCTAGGGGAAGGGCTAACCCGCTGGGGCTCCCACTAACTGCATGCCCACTGGGCCCAGCCTGACTGGGCCCCAACTTGCCAGCAGGGCTATCCTGGCAGCCAGGGCACTGGGCCCATTGGGTGACAAGAAACCTGAGTCCCTAAGAGCTGGCCCGGGAGCTTTCATGTTGGTCTCGTCTTTGTTCCTGTCACTCTCCTTCTGCCCTTCCTCTTCTGCTGTCTCCTCCCACACCCACCTTCTAACACCCCACCCCACTCCCAGCCATCTGCTCCCCACCCCCCTCTACCCAGCCAGCCTCATCTTCCCTGTCATGCCCACTGTGCCACCTGAGATAGGGGTGCGATAGGATTAGATGCCATCCCCTCCTTGGGGCTTCTTTCTTGGGTTCTTACCCACATTAGTTCACAGTCCCAGCATCACTCACCATTCTCTCCTACCGTAATGGCTAAGAGCATGGCATGTGTGTTCAGGCAGACCTGAGTTTGAATCCTGGCTCTGTTACTTTCTAACTGTATGACCTTAGGCAAGCTACTTTCCTCTCTGATCCTCAGTTTACTTTTCTATAAAATAACAGTCCTTCCTTAGGGTTGTAATGCTTGAGATAGTGCATGTAGAGCATCTACCTGGCAAGTGCCTGGCACAGCATAAGCACAGAGTAACTTGTGGTTTTAATATTGTGACCTAGAGAGCAAAGGGGTGAGACTATATGGTCCTGCTGCCCCACCCTGCTCTCAAGAATGCCGTCCTGCACAGGTGGGCGGCTATGCCCAGCTTTCTGTCCAGCCTGGGATGGACATTGTGCCAGCTCTGCTATTCCGTATCCTACATCCTTCAGAAGCTATCTGGCCTTGGCATAAGATCTCTGTGCCCCTCCCCCTGCTCCTGGGCTTAGTGGACCTCTTCTTATGCTAAAAGCACTCTTTAGCGGGTGGCTAGCCTTGGAACCTGAACTCAATGTTCCCTACTAGGTTCCTCCCATGGTCTTGGAGAGCCTCAGGAGAGACTAAAGTGGAAATGGCACAGACGATATCCCACTCCAGGTTGGGCTGTTCCACACATGGGCATTTGAGGGACCAGGGCATGGCCAGGGACCCATAGAGTTAGGCTTCTTTTGGAGCCCTGGCCTTCCTGTTCTCATTGGTGACAAGAGTTGGGCCTGAGTGTGGGGAGTCAGAGACTTAAGAAGATGACAGTACATCCAGTACTGGTCTTATTCAATTCCCTTGATTCTGAGAACCATTCTTCTATCTTCCCTAGTGGAGGTCTTGGGATTCTTTCTCTCTAATGGGAGAATTCTAGTCACCCCAAGAGGACAGTATGCACCACCTCCACAGTCTCTGTATCAGGGGCCTTCACTGTTTGAACTAATGGCTTTTCCTTGGACACATCTGACTTTCCCAAGCTACCATTTAAACCTGTTTTTCTCCTGCTGTGAATTCAGAAAATAGGGAGAGTGACCCATCGACACTCCTCCTACTCTGACCTTTTAGTGAAAGGGAAAACTTACCAGTTAAGAGGGAGCAGCATAAGAGACTTAGCTAAAATAAGGATTTAGGTCTTATCTAGCTCTGAGGTTCTCTAACTCTTTCACTAACCTTTTTACACCCTTCCTTCTCCTCTGGATTCTTCTCTTTCTTTTGCTTCTCCCCTCTCCTATACAACATCTCCCCATTAGCAGAGTAAAACAACAAAACAGCCAGCTTATCTCCATCTAGAACTAAAAGGAGGGTTTGGGAGGAGTTGAAGGTAGATTAACCCAGTATGTGCTACCTCCTCTGAGGATGAGCAGTCAGTCGATCCTGGAAGTGGGATCTTTCTTAAGACAGCTAGGCAGCGGGGAAGGGGAAGATAAATTGATGGGTATCCTTCAGTTGCCTTAGGAATGGCCCGGCTCATTCTTTCCAATCCACTTACAATAAGATTGTCCCACCACAATCCCCACCCACCCACCAAAGACATAGTGGAAAGAGGAAGAAACTCCTATCTGTCCCTTCTGGTTCCCTGGCAGCCAGAACCACCCTCACTTAGCTCCCATCCCTCCCTACTGCCCCCCGCCCCACCTCCTCCACCCCCTCGGCACATTCCTGCCTGACAGCTCTGGCTTGTACCTGCCTCACTGCTGTCCACCTTGTTTCAATCAAGTAGGGGGCAGGGAAGTGGACTGCTTGGCTGTACTTGTGAGGGGATGGGGGTTGGGAGTGATGGGAGGAAAGGGGCTGGGAGCCTCCCTTGGCTTAATGCTCCTTCTAAAGCACAGAGAGGCAGCTGAGGCCTTCCCTCGGGCCTCTGTGGTCTCCACTACCCTCAGAGTTTGGGACTCCTCCAGGCTTGTAACCTCATTACCATCCCCCACTTCCCTCCTAAACAGAGACCTGTGCTGTCAACAACGGGGGCTGTGACAGTAAGTGCCATGATGCAGCGACTGGTGTCCACTGCACCTGCCCTGTGGGCTTCATGCTGCAGCCAGACAGGAAGACGTGCAAAGGTAAGGACTTTGAGAGGACAGAAGCAGAGTGACCTTTGGTAAGGGGCTGAGGTTGGGACCAGAGATAGGGTGCCTATTAGGGGATGACACCTCCTCAACCTCCTTCTTATGAAGAACCCAGGACATAGCTAAGGGTTGTCTCCTATCTGCCTGTTTCATCTCAGTTCAAGGGACAGAGAAGTCCAGCCAGTTCCTTAGTGCCCCCTTCCCCTACCCCACCTTGTTTCCCTACTCTCATTCCTATCCCCCATGGGTCCCTAACCCTCTTAGTTAATGGACATGCGATTCACATTTGCTCCTGGGTCTGGAAGGATATTTGAGCCCTGACTGTGTGTGTGCATGAGGTCACAGGTGTGTTCCATAACCTTCTTACCCCACATTCCTCAGACCTTCCCAGTGGGCTCTGGGGAAATGATGTCTACCCCTCGAAAGGCTGTACTGGTCAAAGGGAGAGTAGGATACTAGTTAGGAGGACTGAAGCTGGGTTCAGATCCCAGCCCTGTCTCCTACTAGCTCTGTGATCCTGGACAAGTCACTTAATGTCTCTGTGCCTCAGTTTTCCATAGTGCTCGCCTCATACTGTGTTGTGATTAAAAGAGTGATTACATAAAAAGTACTTAGAACAGTGCTTGGCAAATGGAAACACTTTGTGTTAACTGTTATTACAGTATAGTTACCCACATTATGCATTCTGTTTCCCTTCCTTTTAATTAGCCAGGTCTGAGGGAGAATGGGGGGAAAGGGTGGAGGAAAAAGGCAGGGTAGCCATACTGAAAATGATGATTCATTAGGTCCATATCCCCTGGTCACAAGGAGTGGGGACGAGGAGGACTGGGCTCGTTCTTTGTGTCTTTTGGCCCAACAGCTGCGAGAGGAGGGGGGAGGCTAGGGCAGCAGGTCAGCCAGCCAGAGTTGAGAGGTTTCCTGCTGGGAAGAACTGTTGACAGGTATGCTAAGAGTGAAGTGAAAGGCTGCCCTCCCTGCCCCTTCCCCCAACCAGGGGTGAGTAGCCTGGGTCCTGTCTGCCACCAGCTTGGGGAACTTGACCTCAGGAAGGAAGCCATTCACCAGCCCCCCTTTCCCTTACTAGTGCTGAAAGCTGCCTCAGGCCTGAGTCTCTCCAGATCTCTCCCAGTCCAGCCCCTTGCCTGGCCCCCAGCCCTCCCCCATCAGCTACCCAGCCTCACTGGCTCTCCTGGAGGTCCTCCCTGCCTGGCCTCTTTCCCAGCTCCTCCTCCTCCCTAAAGGGCTGCCCGTTTTCAGTGAGTCCCTTTAGACCCTCCACCTCTCCTTGCCCCGCACCCCCCCAACCCCCCGTCCTGAGGGACAGGAAAGAGATAACCCTTACCCACCAACCTTTCAGGGAATGGCCATCAGCTGGAGACTAAGGGCTAGCCTGTTAGGTCAAATGCCCACCTGCCCCTCCTCTAGGTAATTCCCTGAGGGCCTGTTCCTAGTTTTGGTTCCAATTTGTCCCCTTATAAGAACACTCAATCCCAGAAGAGAGGGTGTTACTAATGGCCACAGATCCCCTGAACAGGGAAGAAACAGAGACAGGAAAGAGAGAGAGAGACAGGAAAGAGAAAGAGAAAGAGACAGAGAGAGATCAAGAAGAGGCAGGCCCAGGACTCCTTGATTTTTGCATGTCTCTGTCAGTGAGGGAGGGATCTTTCTCCTTGTTTGTTCTCAGCCTTTGATAGTATCTTTTATCCTGTTTTGTCCTCCTTCTTCAGATATAGATGAGTGCCGCTTAAACAACGGGGGCTGTGACCATATTTGCCGCAACACAGTGGGCAGCTTCGAATGCAGTTGCAAGAAAGGCTATAAGCTTCTCATCAATGAGAGGAACTGCCAGGGTGAGCAGACTCAGCCAAAGGTGAAAGCCTTAGGAGAGGTTCTTGTGGGAGAGCTTCAAGGAGGCCAGAGGGCTAAAGTCTTAGAAACTCAATAGATATCACACAGAGTCTCTAGAGGCAGTGTCATCCTGCAAATTAGCAAATGGTACTCTTTCCCCTCAGCGGACTAGCTCCATATCAAAGCATTCAGCCTGGCAAGGACTGAGGGATGGATTTCACCCCAATTCATATCCTTGGCAGAGTAGGACGTACCTAACCACACATGGTGGGCCCTGACCTAAAGGCACCAGATCTTGCAGTTCCTAATTCCAAGGACTTCAAATAGAGGGGGCAGAGAAGATGGAATGGCATTGTTAAATCACTGGTCCTAGAGCTAGGACATGAATAGGAACTCTTCAGTTCAAGGGGGAAAGCCAAGGCCCCTCACTTGGGTCCTTCACCTGAGCAAGGGTCAAGTGCTCCAAGACAGATTCAGTGGCTTGAATCTTTGCTCTTCCAGATATAGACGAGTGTTCCTTTGATCGAACCTGTGACCACATATGTGTCAACACACCAGGAAGCTTCCAGTGTCTCTGCCATCGTGGCTACCTGTTGTATGGTATCACCCACTGTGGGGGTAAGCTAGTAAGCTTGCACCCCCAGCCACCCTGGCCCCCTCACCTCTTCACCCTCCAATTGAACAGGTCCTTGTGTTGGCTTGTGGCTATGGGCAATCCCTGGATGCATGCACCATGTCTGCATCCGCTGTGACAAAATAGGAGGAATTAAGACAGCTTTTGAAGAACTGGGAGACTGCGGAAACAGCATCCTGCCTCCAAAATTCCTATCTCCCATTCCTATAACTGTCCCTGAACCCCCACTCTCAGCTCCCAAATGACAGTCTCACTGGTTGGGAGGAGTGGAAGGCTTTAAAAAGCTTGTTGGCTTGGCCCCTTCTCGATCATTCCTTTGGGGACAGAGATAATTGGAGGAGGTTTGAGCTCTTCTCAGGCCAGTAGTCATCTTACAGTGCCTAGAATGCCTTTTTAACTTTTTTAAATTGTAAGAATATTTAACAAGAGATCTACCCTCTTAAGTTTTTAAGTGTACACTACAGTATTTATGTGCCTATAGGCACACTGTTGTACAGTAGATCTCTCGAACTTATTCATCTTGCGTAATGCAGGGTACCTGAAACTCTAACCAAAGGCCCTCACTCACTGCCTACTCTCCGGCTCCTCCTCCAACTCCATCGTTGTTTTTCTGTCTCCCTACTCCTTCCCCCAGATGTGGATGAATGCAGCATCAACCGGGGAGGTTGCCGCTTTGGCTGCATCAACACTCCTGGCAGCTACCAGTGTACCTGCCCAGCAGGCCAGGGTCGGCTGCACTGGAATGGCAAAGATTGCACAGGTGGGCAGTGCCCTCTGCTGGCCAAAGATGACACTGCCATTTCAGGGAGCAGTTGGGGTTCTGGAAAGCATAGAGTATCACATTGGGGAAAGGTGTGAGGTGGAAAGGGTGGAGAATGTAGCCATTTTGAGTTAAAGACATGAAATTTGTAGTAAACAATCCCATCATCAGTCTCCATGGGTACAACAATAGTTATGCAAGTAGCTGATTCCTCCAAATTACCCAACTGAGGGAAAGGAATGCATTCATTTGCTCAGGCCTCTCTCCCCTTCCTAGAGCCACTGAAGTGTCAGGGCAGTCCTGGGGCCTCGAAAGCCATGCTCAGCTGCAACCGGTCTGGCAAGAAGGACACCTGTGCCCTGACCTGTCCCTCCAGGGCCCGATTTTTGCCAGGTACATGGGAGGAGGGTGCTGGAGAGCTTTGGAGGAGAAAAGAGGAAGGACTGGCCGTTCAGGCAGCTCCTTCATTCCCCCTGGATTCCTCCAGCCAGCGGGGGTTGGGAAGGCAGGTCAGAACTGTGACAGGCTCCTTTTCTCAGAGTCTGAGAATGGCTTCACGGTGAGCTGTGGGACCCCCAGCCCCAGGGCTGCTCCAGCCCGAGCTGGCCACAATGGGAACAGCACCAACTCCAACCACTGCCATGGTAAGCACCAGCCCAGAAGCCCTGTTCCCACCCTACTCTCTTACATTAATCCCTTATTTTTGTTCTTCATCAATCCCCTGGCCTTCCTTTCTCCTGGATCCTCTTTTTTGCCCTGTAATTCTCCAACCCTGCTCCCTCACTCCCTCTGCCCTAACATCTGATCCCCTTGACTTTCATAATCTCACTCCCCCAGCCAAGCCCCTGGCTTATTACCCAGCTTCTCAACAACCCCTACGGCACCCCCGACCTCCATGGGCATCCCATACTGTGCTGAGTTTCTACCATCCCTCTAGAGGCTGCAGTGCTGTCCATTAAACAACGGGCCTCCTTCAAGATCAAGGATGCCAAATGCCGTTTGCACCTGCGAAACAAAGGCAAAACAGAGGAGGCTGGCAGAATCACAGGGCCAGGTTTGGACTGGGGACCCCATTCCAGTTGGCTGTCTGGCCACTAAATCCTCCTTACCCCTCAGCTCCTCTGCTTCCAAAAACCCACCAGAACCCTGAACTCTAGGCAGAGCAGAGGAAAAAGCAGCTGTAGGCATAGCACCCAAGGAAGTCCCAGAATATTCCCCTCCACCAACTAATTAGGACCCTAGACTAAAACAGGATTGAGAGATAGTTACAGTTAGAGATCTGGGGAGGTCTGTCTGGGCTGGGAGTGAGAACTTTCCAGGGGATGTCCCTGGGGTTGACAAGCCCTCTCTCCCAGGTGGTGCCCCCTGCTCTGAATGCCAGGTCACCTTCATCCACCTTAAGTGTGACTCCTCTCGGAAGGGCAAGGGCCGACGGGCCCGGACCCCTCCAGGCAAAGAGGTCACAAGGCTCACCCTGGAACTGGAGGCAGAGGTCAGAGCCGAAGAAACCACAGGTGGGACTGGGGGCACTGTTGGGAAGAGGACTGGAAGGGGAGGGCAGAGGTGGGGAAACCACAGGTCTCAGCAGCAAAAGGAAGGGATGGAGCCTGTACTAGGGGCAGACCCTGCCTGGTGCCAAGCCTAAAAGCTAGTCCCTCTTACCATGCCCCTCCTAGCTCCCAGCTTTGCTCCCCTGCCCTCCTGCTCACAGCAACTCTTTCTCCTCCCTGATACACACGGCCATCCACCACCAGCCAGCTGTGGGCTGCCCTGCCTCCGACAGCGAATGGAACGGCGGCTGAAAGGATCCCTGAAGATGCTCAGAAAGTCCATCAACCAGGACCGCTTCCTGCTGCGCCTGGCAGGCCTTGATTATGAGCTGGCCCACAAGCCGGGCCTGGTAGCCGGGGAGCGAGCAGAGCCGATGGAGTCCTGTAGGCCCGGGCAGCACCGTGCTGGGACCAAGTGTGGTAAGGGAGCTTACTGGGGAGCAGGGATGTAGGAAAGACCCAGTTTGGGCCTGACTCAGAGCAGGACCCTTTGTGGCCTCAGATGCATTTCTCAAATTATGAGGCAGCCAGGATGCTCCTGCCCGCTGTCCTCCCTTCCTTGGTTCCAGGCTGAAATCTAGAAGGATGCCAGGTGGGGCCAGCAATCCTCCTGCACACGGTTTTGACCCTCCTATCCCCCCAAGTAGGATTGTGTTTGTTCCCTGACAGAGATTCTCCCTGAATCGGGGGTTGTGGCGGGGAGTGGGAAGGGGAGTCCCAGGCCTGGGTGGTGGGAAATGCGGGGGTGGGTGGCTAGCGCGGCCGACTCTCCCTCAGTCAGCTGCCCGCAGGGAACGTATTACCACGGCCAGACGGAGCAGTGTGTGCCATGCCCAGCGGGCACCTTCCAGGAGAGAGAAGGGCAGCTCTCCTGCGACCTTTGCCCTGGGAGTGATGCCCACGGGCCTCTTGGAGCCACCAACGTCACCACGTGTGCAGGTGCCAGGGGAACAAACAATACAGAGTGGGGTAGGGTGGGCACTGGGATGCCCATGGGCATGGGATTTCCCAAAGGGCAGGCCCAGGCTCCAGGCCACTCTCTTAGTCAACATCCTGTTTGTATACCTTTGTCCCCTGAGATCGGGTGACCCCATGGGGATGACTCAGGACCATCCCCATCAGAGTTGGGCCCTTGATTCATTGCAGGTCAGTGCCCACCTGGCCAACACTCTGTAGATGGGTTCAAGCCCTGTCAGCCATGCCCACGTGGCACCTACCAACCTGAAGCAGGACGGACCCTATGCTTCCCTTGTGGTGGGGGCCTCACCACCAAGCATGAAGGGGCCATTTCCTTCCAAGACTGTGACACCAAAGGTGAGTAAGCTACTCACCTCCCTGGGGGATGCCCCAACCCCAACTACTCCCAAAAAACTCTCCAATTTCCCAGAGGGGACACTGACCCACCATTTTCTCCAAACCAGTAATGGGCCCAGCTACTTGACCAACCATACCATCCTGCTTCCAGGACCCACCCTGCCCCTCCACTAGTCCCAAGCTTGGGAACTGAGAAATAATTAACAGTCCCACTTACCCCTCCACTTTGGAGAACTGGTGGCATATTCTCCTCCATATCCCAAATGAGTTTCTATATAGGTTTGGCACTGTGCTCAGCGTCTGAAAGAAAAGGATTGGCACTGTAGCCAACCACTCTGTAAACTCTGTTTTTCCGTGGGCTTAAATTCTGGCATGACTGGGAAAGATTGAGACCCTAGAAAAGAACTTTGATGTATCTGATCTCCTGATTCTCCAGGATGAATGTATCCTGTCCATCCCATGCCCCGTAACTCCCACCTGCCTACCATCTTGATTCCTGCCCTTCTCCCTTGCCTACAGTCCAGTGCTCCCCAGGGCACTACTACAACACCAGCATCCACCGCTGTATTCGCTGTGCCATGGGCTCCTATCAGCCCGACTTCCGTCAGAACTTCTGCAGCCGCTGTCCAGGAAACACAAGCACAGACTTTGATGGCTCTACCAGTGTGGCCCAATGCAAGAGTACGTGGCAAGCCAGGCTGTGCAAAAGGGAGGAGAGAGGCCTGGGAGCAGTGGACATCTAAAGGAGGGGTGTGAAACCAACAGGGAGCAGGGCTGGGGGGTGGAGGAGCAGGAAAACTCCACCTTCCACCTCTCCCCAACTCACTCAATCTCAAGGCCAGTTGCTAGGCTGGACCCTGTAACACCCTCTCCCTGGAGACAGTTAATGAGGAAGCAGAGACAGGTGAAGTGAGAAGAGAAGGTACTAAAAGGGCAGGAAGGAAGATGGACTCAGAGCTTGGAAAATAATGATGAACTAGAACGCAGACTTCCCATAAATGTCTGACCTCTACTTCAGAACTCTTCAATTCCCCCAGCACACTTCCCCACTGACTTCCCTTCTCTGTCTTGTTTTATCCACTGGGGTTTGGCTGCAGATCGTCAGTGTGGTGGGGAGCTGGGTGAGTTCACTGGCTATATTGAGTCCCCCAACTACCCGGGCAACTACCCAGCTGGTGTGGAGTGCATCTGGAACATCAACCCCCCACCCAAGCGCAAGATCCTTATCGTGGTACCAGAGATCTTCCTGCCATCTGAGGATGAGTGTGGGGACGTCCTCGTCATGAGAAAGAACTGTGGGTGGCTTGCAGAGCTGGGCCAGGGAAGGGCAGTCCAAATCTGGTTAAGGCGGAGAACAAAGAGAGAGACTGATACAGGAAGAAATGGGGCAGTGAAGTTAGGGATCTATGAGGGTGAAATAGTGAGAGGCCTTTAGGAAGAGAGAAGCTAACAAAGGAAAACAGCAATGACACATGTTTGGTAGAAAACAGAGTTAAGAAAGCTAGCAGTGGGGCTAGAACTCCAATGGCGTTACATGTATCACTTTCCTATCCTAGCATTTTTGCCATTCCATTCATTTAAATGTCATATTTATTACACTATGTGAGTGCCCAGGTATCAAGGAGGAATTGTGGAATGAGCCCAGTGGGCAATGGGAGAGGGTGTGGGGTAGGGTGTGTGTATGCGAAGGGGGAGCCTTTGTCAGAATGATTCTCTTGCCCTATACCCCCACCACCAGCTGTACAGCCCACGTTCTAGGAGGGCTTGGGTAGCCTGCCCTGCTGCTCTACTGACCTGCTGCTTGCCTTCCCAGCATCCCCATCCTCCATTACCACTTATGAGACCTGCCAGACCTACGAGCGTCCCATTGCCTTCACTGCCCGTTCCAGGAAGCTCTGGATCAACTTCAAGACAAGCGAGGCCAACAGCGCCCGTGGCTTCCAGATTCCCTATGTTACCTATGATGGTAAGCCAAGGAGGTGGGTGAGAAGGGGAGGTATGTCAGTTTTGAGAGGGAACCAGGAGAGCAGGAAGAGCTCCCGCCCCTGAGCCCCTCACCTTGGTTGACTTTGCAGAGGACTATGAGCAGCTGGTAGAAGACATTGTGCGAGATGGCCGGCTCTATGCCTCTGAAAACCACCAGGAGATTTTAAAGGTGAATGAATATTAACAATAATGATAGCTAACATTTAATAAGCATGTAACAATATATAGGCAATAGGCTAAGTGCTTACATGAATATTCTCACTTGATAGACACAATAGCTCTATGAGGTAGGTGCTTTCTCCATTGCTTCTTTACAGATGGGAAAACTGGGGTATAGAGAGTTAAAGAACCTGCCCCATGGGAAGCTGGGATTTGAGCCCAAGCCTATCCGACTGCAGCGTCACCCACACTATATTACACCTTGGGGAAAACTTGGAAGAGAAAGGGAAAGTGAGGAGAAGAAATGTCCCTACCTCTTCCAAGAGACATAGGGAAAGTGAAGTATAGAAAGATACTTTTGCATAAGTCCCTTCCTTCCCCTATTCTCTCCCCAGGCCTCATTAAGCAGCAGCAGATAGGCTGCGTGTGGTGGTTCACGCCTGTCATCCCAGCACTTTGGGAGGCCGAGGCGGGTGGATCACATGAGGTCAGGAGTTTGAGACCAGCCTGGCCAACATGGTGAAACCTCGTCTTAATTTTGTAAAAATACAAAATTATCCGGGTGCGGTGGCAGGCGCCTGTAATCCCAGCTACTCAGGAGGCTGAGGCAGGAGAATTGCTTGAACTCAGGAGGCGCAGGTTGCAGTGAGCCGAGATGGCGCCATCGCACTCCAGCCTGGGTGACAAGAGTGAACCCTGTCTCAAAAAAACAAAAACAAAAAAAGCAGCGGCAGATCTAGCACAGCTTTCTCAGAATCAATTTATGTACAGACTTCTTTTCAAGGAAAATAAATACTTCCAACATGGAAGAATGGACTAGATGCCCTGGGTCGGTGAATCCCAATTTAAGAAAATCTTCCTTAAGAAACTATAGTCTGGCTGCGCATGGTGGATCATGCCTGTAATCCCAGCACTTTGGGGGGCTGAGGCGGGTGGATCGCCTGAGGTCAGGAGTTCCAGACCAGCCTGGCCAACATAGTGAAACCCCGTCTTTACTAAAAAAATACAAAAAATTAGCTGGGTGTGGTGGCGGGCGCCTGCAATCCCAGCTACTCGGGACCCTGAGGCAGGAGAATTGCTTGGACCGGGGAGGCAGAGGTTGCAGTGAGCTGATATCATGCCATTGCACTCCAGCCTGGGCAACAAGAGTTAGACTCAGTCTCAAAAAAAAAAAAAAAAGGAAACTATAGTCGTAGTCATAGAATTATCCTTCATAAATTATCACTGCAAAAAAGTTAAGTGTTAGCAAAATATTTTTATATTATCATCAAAATAAAAGCCTTGACAACAAAAATCACCTAGAACTTGCAGACTTCAAAGAATATACTTTTAATAATACTTTTCAAACATTTTTAAAGCATCTGAACCCTTATTTCAAATCAAATGTACTGTGGAATTCCAACACATAAAGCAGTGCAGCTGTTCTGATTAAAGTGGGGTAAGAGGCTGAAACCCCTACTTCTTATTTGAAAAATCCACTGACGCCATGGAAGGAGCACCAGCCTAGGAGCCAGAAGACCTGAGTTTTAATGCACAGTGCCTGGCACCTAGTAGGCTCTCCACATACCATGCTACTGTTGTAGACAGGGTGGTCAGGAAAGGCCTCTAAGGAGAAGAGACCCAAATGAGGTAAAAGGGCTCCCCATTAGAAGATGAGGGAGGAGCATTCCAAGCTAAGGAGCATGGGAGCAATTTAGTGTGTTCAGGAACCTCCAGAAGGCCAGTGTGGCTCAGCAGAGGGAGCAAGAGTGGAGGTGGAAAGCAAGATACAGATCACATTCTGCCAATGAGTGATAAAAGAAACCAGAGAAGAGTTTCAAACAGGAAAAAGATGAACTAATTAAAAACACAAAAAGTCACTCTGGCTGCTGTGGGGAGAAGAGTCTACGGAGGGACAAAGGTAGCATGGAGACCAGTTAGGAGGCTACTACAGTACTCCAAGTCAGAGACAGTGGTGGCTTGGGAAGATGATAAGTGGTCAGACCCAGACATATTTTGAAGGTAGAGTCAATAGGATTTGCTATACTTGTAAGCAAGAAAGAGGATTCAAGGATGGCTCCAAGGATTGGGGCCTAAGCAACAGAAGGATGGAGCTGCCACTGATTCAGTTGTGGAATTCCAGAATAAGGGCAGATGGTGGGAATGGGAATCCAGAGTTGCCCTCTGGATATATTCAGTATAGGATGCCTAGTAGACATCAAGAAGGGCTGCTGAGTCATGGTGTTTCTCTTTCCCACCCCCGACGGTGAGGCTGACATTGCTCCCTGCCATCCTTTGCAGGACAAGAAGCTCATCAAGGCCTTCTTTGAGGTGCTAGCCCACCCCCAGAACTACTTCAAGTACACAGAGAAACACAAGGAGATGCTGCCAAAATCCTTCATCAAGCTGCTCCGCTCCAAAGTTTCCAGCTTCCTGAGGCCCTACAAATAGTAACCCTAGGCTCAGAGACCCAATTTTTTAAGCCCCCAGACTCCTTAGCCCTCAGAGCCGGCAGCCCCCTACCCTCAGACAAGGAACTCTCTCCTCTCTTTTTGGAGGGAAAAAAAAAATATCACTACACAAACCAGGCACTCTCCCTTTCTGTCTTTCTAGTTTCCTTTCCTTGTCTCTCTCTGCCTGCCTCTCTACTGTTCCCCCTTTTCTAACACACTACCTAGAAAAGCCATTCAGTACTGGCTCTAGTCCCCGTGAGATGTAAAGAAACAGTACAGCCCCTTCCACTGCCCATTTTACCAGCTCACATTCCCGACCCCATCAGCTTGGAAGGGTGCTAGAGGCCCATCAAGGAAGTGGGTCTGGTGGGAAACGGGGAGGGGAAAGAAGGGCTTCTGCCATTATAGGGTTGTGCCTTGCTAGTCAGGGGCCAAAATGTCCCCTGGCTCTGCTCCCTAGGGTGATTCTAACAGCCCAGGGTCCTGCCAAAGAAGCCTTTGATTTACAGGCTTAATGCCAGCACCAGTCCTCTGGGGCACATGGTTTGAGCTCTGGACTTCCCACATGGCCAGCTTTCTTGTCTATACAGATCCTCTCTTTCTTTCCCTACGTCTGCCTGGGGTCTACTCCATAAGGGTTTACAAATGGCCCACAACACTGAGTTAGTGGACACCGGCTAAATGAGGAAGAGCAGCAGGCATTGTCATGGTGAATGCCCCGCTGTAGCTCCCTGAGAGAAAGACTGTAACTCTGCAGGACAGAAACAAGGTTTTAAAGCATTGCCAAAAAAAAGAAAACAGAAAGAAAAAATGTATCATCTAAAGGACTAGACACAGAACAATTGGAAGTCAACTTCAAACACTAATCCCTTTTCTTGTCTTCCCTGGCCCAGCCACCTCCTCAGCCCCATGTGATGCTCCCTGGGGGAGCCCTACTCCCCTTGCTACATGTTGTCCTTAAACATGGTTATTGACCTGAAGCCAGCCTAGGCCTTGCCCTACAGTTGTTTTTCCCTTGTAGCCCCAGCTGGCTTGTGGGCTTCACCAAAGAGGACCCCACTCTGAAGCCAGCCTGGAGCCACCTACCTCTGGCCTCAGGCTGTGGGCAGCAAAAGGAATGTGTGTGCACTTGGCGAGCCTCCTGCCCACCCTGTCCACACCTAATAAGTGCAATCATTTTGAGTCTTTCTATGTTGTCTAGACGGAGGGGTTTTTGTTTTCTGGGTTTGTTTTTTGTTTTTGTTTCTTCTTCCTCTATTAGCAAAACCCTATTTATAGCTGCCCAAGAGAAAAGAGTGTATGTTTGGAGTGGAAGAAAATCGGTTTTGAATCTCATGAACCTTGAGTGCTGGAGCATCTGATCTGTCTCTATGCCACCACTGGCCACCTAGAGCCCTTGGCTGTGGTAATCCAGGGTAATTGCGCAGAGGCATCTGATGTGTAGGAAAGTAATTCTGGGGATTTGATGGAGCAGAAAGGAGAGAGACCTATGTTTGCTAAACCAATCTTGCTATCCCTATGCCTCTCCATGGAGTCAGTGTGGACCTCATGATTATAGAGGCCAATGGAACTGGTCAGTGATTCTCTACCCCAAGTAGGGAAAACCTCCATCTTTTCCCTGTCTTCATCCTGTTATCCCCTGGTGTACACATGGAAGAGGACCAGGACATACCACCTGGGGATGGGCTGACTCAGGGTCCCGAGGCCAGAGACAAAGCTGTGGGAGCCAAGAATAAGACAGAAGGCATCAGATATTTGCCTGGCTCTGGTCACTTCCCTTTGAAGTTGACTTCAAGCTTAGCTTCCTCAACTACTGTTTTTCAGAAGGAAGAAAGAATCAAATGGAAGAAGAATCAAGTCCATGCCCAAGCCCAAAGCCTGCACACATTCTGCCCTTAATCCAAGTGTTGCCTATAAAATTATTTTCTGTTTTCTCACTCTAGTTCCCCCAAAGCTGTAGTCCCAATCAATCAAAGGCTACCAACTGAGTCCTCAGGTTCATTTCTTTTTTTTTTTTTTTTCTTTTTAACTCTCCTGGTAACTCACAGAACAGCTCAGGTTCATTTCTAGGTGACTGTCCTAGGCTACTGCTCCCCCAGGAGACTCAACACTAAATAAAGGAGTCTGACTCCCTGCCCTCCCATCAGTAGCATTCATCAGCCAAAACGGCCATAGCAGTAGGTAGCCAATGACACAGCTAGATTCCCTGACAACCATTAGCCAACATCATGGTCCTTGTGGGTAGAGTGTCTGGCTACCTTTGTCTTTCTGGGTCAAGGAGGGCCACTGTAAAGATGCAAAATGGCTGCTTCCAAACAAGGGAAATGGTCATTTAGTATGAGTGTCTCTGTACTTCCCAGGAAGCACCATGAAAACTGCTTTAATCAACTCTGACTATCCTAATTCTCCACCAGAAGCTAGGATAACTTTCTTTCTTTCTTTCTTTTTTTTTTTTTTTTTTTTTGAGATGGAGTCTCGCTCTGTCACCCAGGCTGGAGTGTAATGGTGCTATCTCGGCCTACTGCAACCTCCGCCTCCCAGGCTCAAGCAATTCTGCCTCGGCCTCCCAAGTAGCTGGGATTACAGGCATGCGCCACCGCGCCCAGCTAATTTTTGTATTTTTAGTAGAGATGGGGTTTCACCATGTTGCCCGGGCTGGTCTTGAACTCTTGACCTCAGGTGATCCACCCGCCTCAGTCTCCCAAAGTGCTGGGATTACAGGCATGAGCCACCGCGCCCAGCCTAGGATAACTTTCTGATTCCTCTCTGCCAGCCGTTTTGCGTCTCTTGGAAAGCCAAACGGTGACCATGCTTCTTAATTTATGCCTTCAGGGTCTGGCTTCTCCTTTCTCCCTTCCTTTCCTGTCACACCATGCATACATACATACAAATACACATCCTTCAACCATTTATTCCATGGCTTATGAGACCTGCAAATGAGTTCCACAGTACGGAAGGCATAGACCACTAGGCTTCTTAATTGATGTCAAGGCAGATCTTGGTGAGCAGGTAAAAACCTGCTATTGTCCACCAAGTTTAATTTAGGTCCTCCAAGTTGGAGGGTTAAGAACCCAGGCAAAGCTGCTGCTGAATCTATGGAGGAGGCTGGCCCTGGGACATCAAACTAGGGGTTAACTGGATTGAATGAGGAGTCAACGCTCAGGGACATTCTAGGTCTTTACAGGTCAGACAGAAGAGAGGTTTTTACCATTGGAGGGAAATGGAAAGATGGTATAAATAGGATCCCTTCATGAAGCAACCCAGAGGCCTCTCTGCAGCGTGTAGGGTGTGGGGCGACAGTATTGTGGGGCTTCCATTCATCTTAGTACAAAACCTCACCTGCTCTGAGCCTGGAAATGGGAGGGCTTCACGCACCAAGTAATGCACACCAGAAAGGCACTTATATCCTCAGCAACATGGCAGTTCCTCTTTACTTCTCTGCCTCCCTCTTTCTATATTATCAGGCCATGCCTATTCCTACAACCTGAGACAACTCTTGGAGTCAGAAGAAAACTGACCAGATCCTGGATCTGAGCTGCCTGCTCCAGGCCTAGAAATCCCCAAAGGCTGGCACTGAGCTGTGACTGCTTTAACAGCCCCCAAGATTTGGTCAGTTTGAGGTGGTGGAGACTCAGATTTGTTGCTGAAAGTTCAGTAACACAGTCCTGGTCTTTGGCCCTAGAGAAACTTTTTATATGAGAAGTGTTCTCTATATACATGTTTGAGGTGACTCTGGAATGGATTATGAGGTCATATCTCAAAATGTCAGAAAACGTTATAGAGCACTCGAACTTTTGTATTTGCTGCTTAACCTCAATATTACAGCCACAAACAAGGGGTACCAAGACAAAGTATAACTGAGCATAAGCAGAAAATGTTAACCCTCCAGGTTTCTTTCTTAAGCACAATAAAAGTGGGAGCGAACAACACAAGGATATTTTTACATTTGACCCGTCTCAAAAGTAGCACACCCTATCCTTGTGCCATTATTTGTACAAGGAAATATATGATTAGAAGGAATAGAACCCCCAGTTGTCATCAGCTTTTTTAGACACCACAGGTTGTAGCAGTTTGAACAAACTGAAAACTTTATACTTCTGTGTGAGCTGAACTCAAGTTTCAGAATAATCATCGCCATGTGGGAGGCTTTTTGTTAAATGCAGAAGAAATTTCAAAATATTGTATTTATATCTGCCTTCCACTGCTGCCAATTTAGTAAGCATCTCCTATACAATCGACAATAAACAGCAAATGATGCAGTTCATAGAGTATTTTGCACTTGGGGAAAAATATGTATCTGAATTGTAAAAAGAAATGTTTGGATTTTGTATGTCTTTTTTATTATTATTAAAATACTAAATGAAACTCCTCAGCCCGGCATCTTTTCCTCTATCTCAATAGCTTATCCCAGAGCCAGAAAAAGCCTTGAGGAGACAATGTCTTCTGGCTTCCAGATAAAACTTAACCCAAATTTTTTGGCAACTCATCCCTAATGATTTTAAAATTTGAAAAGGCTTGTCTTTTCTCTGTCCTTAAAAGCAGCATCAAGTATTATCTCCTGAGGGGGATCTAAGGAGTGGGGGAAATTTATTGTTCCTCCTCTCCACAGTACAGTCCACAACAGCTGGCCAGCCCACAGGTGGTTCAGCACCTCCCTACTCAGGATGTCCCACCTCTAGGAAAGCGCCAGCACTGAGGGTCACCCAGTGTCATTCTTTGTATGCAGTACACTCTTAGCCACCAAATAGTATTGTGAAATACAGATCATTTAGTCACTACCACCATCACTACTCCTACAGGGCAGGAGAAAGCAATCTCCAATCTCTATTATAAATGAACAGTCCCAATTTCTAGGCTCAGAGATATAGATAAAACTTTGCTGTTGCAATTATATAATTCCCTTTCATGAAATTTTATTGGATTTAATATCTACATGATATAGCCATTTAAGAGTATAACTTGAGCAACAAGGAAAAATCTACCTGATCAAAAAACATGTGGGGTGGCCTATCAGAATCTTAAACTTACCCTTTAGCATCTATAATGAAGATACAGATGAAGTACATTCATTCCATAATTACTGAGATCCTATTATATGCCAGGTAGTGAGCACCTGCTCATCAGCTTATTGACAATAGCCATGCTCAAGATCCACACTCCTCATGTAACTTTCTGATTATAATTGATCTTCCCAGATAAGATTTACCCAACAGGAGCGATAATCCAGTTCACTTGGTGGCTGTAAGTATAAAAGAATGCACTGGCATTCTATTATGTACATTAACTTCCTATGAGTTTGATTTAATGTGACAAAACATGAACACCTTTGTGTGGACTGACCCAAAATCACACTTCTAGAACTGCAAAGCCAAGGACCATATCCATGACCTTCACACTATACCAACTTGGAGCCATCCTCTTTGACTTCTCTCATAACTCACTTCTATTCTAAGAACAACACGTCTTCCTCCTTACTTCGTAGGACATTTGCTTTGGTGTCTCAAAATAATGGATAGTCAGGGACATTGGAGTTTGGATATGCCTATATTAAGAAGTCTTCCAAGTGGGGTAAATGAAGATTTTTCCTAGGGTACGTAAGACTGCAAGGAATACCCAGGAAATAGCCTCAAATCAGTCTGAGGAGAGTTTTAAAGGAATAAATTTCCAGATCCTCAACTTCCCTATAAAATATTTTCTAAAACCAGGCCGGGTGCACTGGCTCACACCTGTAATCCCAGCACTTTGGGAGGCTGTAGCGGGCGGATCGCCTGAGGTAAGAGTTTGAGACCAGCCTGGCCAACATAGTGAAACCCCATTTCTACTAAAAATACAAAAATTAACCGGGTGTGGCAGTGCACACCTGTAATTATAGCTACCTGGGAGGCTGAGGCAGGAGAATCTCTTGAACCCAGGAAGGGGAGGTTGCAGGGAGCTGAATTGGGCCACTGCACTCCAGCCTGGGTAACAGAGCAAGACTCCATCTCAGAAAAAAAAAAAAACAAACAGCCGGGCGTGGTGGCAGGCACCTGTAATCCCAGCTACTTGGCAGGCTGAGGCATGAGAATCGCTTGAACCCAGGAGGCGGAGGTGGCAGTGAGCCGAGGTCGTGCCACTGCACTCCAGCCTGGGCAACAGGAGCAAAACTTCATCTCAAAAAACAAAAACAAAAACAAAAAAAACGGCCAGGCACAGTGGCTCATGCTTGTAATCCCCGCACTTTGGGAGGCCAAGACAGGCAGATCACAAGGTCAGGAGTTTGAGACCAGCATGACCAACAAGGTGAAACCCCATCTCTACTAAAAATACAAAAATTAGCCGGGCGTGGTGGCACGCGCCTATAATCCCAGCTACTCAGGAGGCTGAGGCAGGAGAATCGCTTGAACCCGGGAGGCAGAGGTTACAGTGAGCTGAGATCATGCCATTGCACTCCAGCCTGGGTGACAGAGCGAGGCTCCGTCTCAAAAAAAAAAAAAAAAAAAAATTCTAAAAACCAATCCATTTGGGAGCCAGCTGACATATTCATGCACATTCTCCACTCTACCACTGCCCCCACTTTCACCATAGTCCTTGTCCTACTTTACAAAAGAAAGGAATGTCTCTCCCCTACACTGAATCTTGATGCATGGTCCAGGGTGTAAAAACCTGAGGAGCTTGGAGGGAGCAATTATTTTCCACTTCATATCAAAATATTCCCATTGCAATCAGTCTTCCTATTTTATCTTATATAAAATGTTTATTATTTTCTACCTCCTAGTAAAAAGTGAAATTGCTAGCTGCTCAATTCATTATTTCTTAGCAAATACAGCTTTCCTTTCTAAAAAATACAGAAGAAAAAAATTTGTGTAACAAGATTATTAGTTATTTCTGATTTTTAGACATGATTCTCATTTAATTGTTCCCAAAAGCTGAACAACAAGAGTTTGATGAAAGCAGGCACACACATTTACCAAGGGAATATATGCCTTCTATATGACTTCTCAAAACTGATGGATTTAACTATACATTATACAGCATTATTCCTAATTATATAATGAAAAACAGTACTATCTTATTTTTACCATTTATTATGTTAATAGTAGGTCTAAATAATTTTAATCTTGACTGGTTTATCAGTGGTCCATTTTATAAGCTATAGTTAATCATTTATTTCCTAATAATTTTTATAATATTCCTCAAAATGAATGTTAACATATTTATTTGAATGGAAGAATAAAGTCAGACATGTTTCTAACAGAAAGTAGGTCTGATTTGGCTGATTGGTTTGAAATGAAAACTGGCTTTGCCAATTCCACAAATGGCAGTTGTTTTCTATACAGTGAATGAGCTGAATCTGCATTTCAGTTTAACAAAAAGTTCTTGAAGACATGTAATAATTAAAGAATTTTACCAAAAAATATTGTGTAGGCAAAGAAGTATGGAAATCAATATCTGATTAACAAAGTGTCTCTGAGTGTAAAGGTCACAGATAATTAATAATCATGTTTAATAAAACCAAAACTGAGACTCTAATAACTAAATCCTTTTGGAAGTTCAGTGGTTTCTAATCCTTTGCTTTTAACAAAATTAAAAGAAGACTCTATTTGATAGTATTAATAGATCACTCTGTGATTGTTGGCATATAATTTAGAAGTTCAAAGACTCAAAGAATATCATTGTAACAAATCTCTTCCTTTCCCAATTGTGGAAACAAGGTTTCTCAATACTCATGTCTATAAAAATAAAAAACAGGTAAAGGATTGATGTTGCACCTTATCTCCTTCTACCATTAGGTAATATTAATCCATGAATACCTGAACTAATTGGGGAGAAACACCATATTTCTCATTAACAGATGCATTTTCAATAAAAATTGTACTTTTTAGGTTTCACAAGTCATAAAAATGTTAAAAATATTTAGGAAAATTTAGTATTTAGTAATATTTAGTAAAAAAAAAAAGTTTAGTAAGTTATATACTAATGATTACAGGAAGTGAATGGAATTCAAAGTATAAGGAGAAAGAGAACCATATAAAATTTCTGTTGAAGAGCTTGTTCATATATTTTTAAGTGGATGATGGTAGGCATTAGATTTTTAGGGTACTTGGAATCCACCGGATACTTTTTTTTAATGTGAGACAGTCTCACTCTGTAGCCCAGGCTAGAGTGCAGTGGCACGATCTCAGCTCACTGCAACCTCCGCCTCCCGAGTTCAAGTGATTCTCCTGCCTCAGCCTCCCGAGTAGCTAGGACTACAGGTACGCACCACCATGCCCGGCTAATTTTTGTATTTTTAGTAGAGACAGGGTTTCACCATCTTGGCCAGGCTGGTCTCGAACTCCTGGCCTCGGGATCCGCCTGTCTCAGCCTCCCAAAGTGCTGGGATTACAAGCATGAGCCACTGTGCCTGCCCTGCCAGATACATTAAGAATGATGTAGACCAAGTGTGGTGGCTCATGCCTGTAATCTCAGCACTTTGGGAGGCCAAGGCGGGCGGATCACGAGGTCAGGAGATCGAGACCATCCTGGCTAACACCATGAAACCCCGTTTCTACTAAAAATTAGCCAGGCATGGTGGCGCATACCTGTAGTCCCAGCTACTCGGGAGGCTGAGGCAGGAGAATTGCTTGAACCTGGAAGGGGAAGTTGCAGTGAGCTGAGATTTCGCCACTGCAGCACTCCAGCCTGGTTGACAGAGCGAGACTCCGTCTCAGAAAAAAAGAATGATGTAAGTCTTAGTTTAAGATGTCAAAATTTGAAATTGTATCCTCTATAAGTATTTAAATTAATGAAGGAAAATTTAGGTATCAACTTAAAAATGAACAAGAGGTACATAGCTCTTCAAAATTCTTTTATGGGTTCATTCTAAAAAATGTCTGAAGATCACCAGCCTATATGTTGAGTGGAAGGGATAGGAGAGAAACTGCTAGCAATGGTCTTCAATACTGCCCTCCAAAATATCCTCACCAATTCTCCTGAGAACCTGAAATTACCTTCCATTAGGATCATTACTTCAGATTCAGACACTGTTTCCCAGAGCTCTTGTTAAATGTATAATTGCAGAGGTGACTGGCCATCAGATTACGATCCGTAAGGAATGTGAGAAAAGACAGATATATATATACAGAGAGAGCTATGGAAAAAGGGTGGTTGGAGAGGGACAAACTCAGGTACAGCCTGAGTTCTATTCCCTGCGGTATTTCTAACCCTCAATTCATATTATAAGAGGAGCTACTTAATCTTCTCTCTGTATCTATAAGGTACTTTTTCTTTTTCTTTTTTTTTTTCTTTTTTTGAGACGGAGTCACACTGTTGCCCGCGCTGGACTGCAATGGTGCGATCTTGGCTCACTGCAACCTCCGCCTCCCGGGTTCAAGCAATTCTCCTGCCTCAACCTCCGGAGTAGCTGGGATTACAGGCGCCCGCCACCACGCCCAGCTAATTTTTTTGTATTTTTAGTAGAGAGGGGGGGTTTCACTATGTTGACCAGGCTGGTCTCGAACTCCTGACCTCGTGATCCGCCCGCCTCAGCCTCCCAAAGTGCTGGGATTACAGGCGTTTAAGCCACGGCGCCCGGCCTATAAGTTATTTTCTATGGGAAATAACTTGTCAAACTTCCACCAAAAAGGAATGGAAAGAGGGCAGCATAGTGGCCAGGCAGTTTATTTCCATACTAGGAGATACAGAAGGGATTAATTCTAACCGTAGGAATTCTAACCATCAAATGTCACTCACTGGCCTACCTAAACTGAACTCTGGTCCCAGCCAGAACAAGTCAGGAAGAGGGGATGTCTAAGACCGAAAGGGGGGCTTTCTAGTTAAGCTCTTCAGGCAGGAGAGGAAAAGGATGCCCGCATCCCCAAAGACACCTTTAGCTACCACAAGCCCCAAACCCCGTACTTTGTAACTGTGTCTAGTTTACGTCCTTTAAAAATTATTCTTATTAAGTTAAATTGTTTTCGGGGCGGGGAAGATACAAAAGAAACCAGTTAAAGTCTGAAAGGATAGAGAGGGGAAAGTTTCTCACCTCATTCTTCCAGCCACCCAGTTCCTCTCCTAAAAGGCAATCTTTACCAGTTCCTTCTCTAACGCCCCTCCTTTTTAATTTGATTTTTTACCGAAAGCTCGCTCCCTTTTAATTTTCCCTCAGGTTTCTGAAAATTTCCCAATCGCAGCCCCTCCCAGCAGGGAAATAGTAAAGGGGCTTGGTTTTTATGTTCAACCCAAAGCAAGCCTACAAAAGGGAGTAGTCGGTTTCGAGCCTGACGGTGGAGCTGACGCGGGAATGAGAGAGAACCTGAGAAGACCGCCAGGGCGCCCTCCCTGCGGAGGCGAGTCCCTCACCGCCCCTCTACATCGTCCTTTTCAATAAGGAGCTCTTAATACCTGCAACTGCTTCCTTCAAGGGGTGGCTGGAAGATCAGTAGGCAAGGCCTGCGGACTGCGCACCTTAAAGCGCTTCGGGACCGTAAGACAGTGAGTGCTGAGCGCGCGGCCGGGAAGAAGCCTGGAGGCTCTGAGCTCGGAGGACAGAGACCGAAGCCCCAGGGCCTGCGTCCCTCACAACCTGCGCCTCCTGTCCTCCCGCGCTACTCCCGAAGCGCACCTTCTCGCCCGCAGGCCGCAGAAGTGATGACGCAAAGCCCTCGGGGCCTCCGCCACCTCCTCACGCTTCTGCTGGACCGAATCCTTGGAATGGACAGGTAGCGGTTCCCGATTGCTATAGCGACGACCCGGCTCCGAGCCGCGCCCAGGCCCTGACCCGGGCGTCGTGACGTCAGCACGCCTTCCCTGGGCGCTCAGCCTCGCTGGCCATGCGTCACCCCGGCCTTGGTGGGGGCGGGGCTCCGAAGAGCTCGGTTCAGATCCCGGCCGCCTGGGCTCCAGGAGCCCCGGAACCAGGATAAGTTGGATGGCTGCCGCGGCGAAGCGGGGGGCGGGGTGGACCGTGCCCGGTATTTTCTATACGGGTTCCGGGGCCCGGTAGAGGCGCGCCAAGAGGAAAGGAAAGTGCGGCGGCCCTGGAACCTGGATATCGCGCGAGGCAAGCTGCGCGCGGGCGGGCGGGCTATGGCGCAGGCGGGTTGTGGGGCCGGCGCTGGTGGCGGGGCCCGGTGCATGGCGGTCTGTCGGCGGAGTCGCCCTCGGGGGCTGTCAGGTTGGTGGCTGCGGGAGGAGTGGGCCAACCATGCCCAGGGCGGGAGGCCGGGCGGGCGCAGGACCCCGGGAAGGTCCCGAGCCCGGCGTGCCCACCTCCCTCCGGCCCTAGCAGGGCGGCCTGGCCGCTGGACCGCGGCCGGGCCCCCTCCCCCACCCAGGGTCCCTGCCCCTCTTTTCCGCCTTGCGGCTCCTCCCCCGTGACTCCCAAACCTCACCCCGTGACGGCGCCCGCCTCCACCCTTGTGACCCCACACCCCACCCACTGACCCCAAGACCTCACCAGGTAACCGTTGGTTATTATTCATTGGCTGCTAACCCAGGAATTTCCCCAGCACTTCTCAGAGACCCACCAACCAGTGACTCCCTCAGTTTTAATCCGGTGACTCACATGACCCTGAGATCCCCACACTCCTCCTTAGTGACCCCCAAACCTGGGTAACCCTCCTGGCCCAGTAACCCCCCCGATTCTACCTTGTGTTCCCCACAAACTCGGTGACTCCCCTCAAAACTCTGCTGGCGACTCCTAAGCCCTACTCCAATAGTTTTCCACGCACTCACCTTGTACACAACCCTCAGTATCTTTATCCTGTAGCCGTATGACCCTCGTTCCACGTCTGCCTTTATCCTAAAATCACCCCCACTGGCATCTCTCTCTGCGATCCCAGCCCTTCAGTGTCAATCAGCACATGACTTACAAGCGTCCAGCACCTTTCTGGTGCTAAGGAGGATATAGAGATTAATATGAAGTAGTAATAATTGGAGGCATCAGAGAATTCTGGATCAATCCAGAATCCAGTCAATCCAGTGTGTGGTCCCAGCTCTGTCACTGCTGTGCTTTAGGGACCTGTGAGAAGTCCCCTCCTCAGTCTGGACCTCAGTTTCTCATCATGACTGTGATGAGGTTGGGTTAGATGATCTTTGAGTTTCCTTCCGTCTGTGAAATTGTGAAATTATGCAGTTCTCAGTCAAGATAATAATTTTTTGCAATCATTTTTGTACCCCACCCTGGAAATTTCCTCTTGTAACCTCATCCCAGGATCTGCTTGCATCATGAACCTTACTCCCTCATTCCCGGATCACCCTCTTCACTCTTCATAGTGCATACCCATTTCCCTTGATCAGGCCCCATCAGTTAACATGTTTGCAAAGCAGTATAGCAGAGTGCTTCATTTGGGGGCATTGAGTTCATAACAAACCTAGGTTCCAGACTGATTCTGGCCCTTCAGCTATGGGACTTTTGGTATATTATTTAGCCTGTCTTAACTTCAGTCTCCACCTCTGCGAAGGGAGAAAATAGTAGTGCCTGACATAACATATGTAAAGCACCGGGCACCATGCCTGGCTCATGGGAACCCTTAGCATAAGCTGTTGTTAGAAATGAGAAGCTGCTATGGATCTTACTCTGTCCTGAGTGCTAGGGATTTAACAGACTGAACATGTGGCCCATACCTTGCATTATGTTGCTACTACTGACATCTTGGAATCCCTATCTTCTCATCTCTGCTGTAGCCTCACTTCTCTGGTTCTTACCCTGATTTTGCCTCAATAACGATTGGCTTGCTGAATACCTACTGTGTGCCAAGCTCTGGATATATAAGTTAAATTTACGTCTCAACAGCCCCAAGAGTTAATTATTATTATATCCACCATTTTCCCTTCCCATATTTTTGTTTGGTTGGTTGGTTGGTTTCAGAGAAATGAACCAGAAACTCTCACAGCTAAGTAGCAGAGCTAAGATTTGAACCCACAGTTTAAAAAAACAAAACAAAACCCTACTCCATTGCCTGTCTTTCCCCCAGACTTACTCAACCTCAGCTCCTTATTCCTTATTTTCTAGTAATTCCTAAATACAACATCAGCTCGTTCCTTGATCCCTAAGGTTTCTGTTCTTGAGCTCCTAGCCTCAAGAGATCCTCCCACCTTAGCCTCTCAAGTAGTTGAGATTATAGGCGTGAGCCACCAAGACTGGCCCTGACCCCCAAGGTTTCTATTACCGTTTGCCATGTAACTTGGTGACTTTCTCATCCTGCTGTTCATGACTTTTGATCTCATATCCCCTGAAGCCCCTGCACCTTGTAGGGGAGGGAAAATATCTTCTTAGGTTCATGGCTTAGGCCCCTATAACAACAGATTTAATAAGAGAAGATTATATACATTTATTTAATGTAAGTTTTATGTGACAGGAGCCTTCATAAGGAAATGAAGACCTAAAGAAATGATTAAACTTGTATATTTTTATACTAGATCTGATGAAGAGTGGATAGTTGTGGAAAAATACAAAAAGGGTAATATCAAATAGTAATAAACTGGGAGAAACTTAGCAAGGCCTGTTTGTTCAGACTCTTCTCTGTGTCCCTGTGTCTTCACAGATAAGGGTGCTTCTTTCCTCTGAGTATAGGGAGGGCACCTCTTTATGAGGAGGGTATTATGACCTGCTTCAGGGGAAAGTCAGAAAAATCCTTCCTAGGTTTTGTGATCTGCTTCAGGGGAGAAGAGCCTCAGAGAAAGTGAGAGTGACCTTCCTACTGCCATTTTCTCAAGTTGCCATATTTTGGAGTAGTGTCTTGAACCCAGTCAACTTCTCTCTTCATCCTTTGCCCAAATATCTCTTGTTCTATGAATCTTTGACGCTTCCAGCCCTTTCCCTGTGAACTCACTCACCATACAGTGTCTCCCACCTCACTGGCACTTTACCCCAAATCCTTTCATCTTGTTAAGTCCCTTAGCCCCAGGAATCCACAAGTCTGTATGCTCTAAAACCATCTAGCCCAGTTGCCTTTCATCCTATTTTTTAGTCTCAGTGTTCTACTCCCACCACCCCACCTTCTGCCATCCTCAGCCACATTCTGTGACCTGAAACCTTCATATAATTTGTCCTTCATTTAGTGACCTCTTGATGTGACTAGCTTCAATGGAATCGGCTCCTTCCATCCCAGCATGAAGCAATCCTGTATAACTTGCACACCCTCCCATTCTAAGGCCTCTCCTCTCATACCCTTGCCCAGTATCCTGTGAGATCCTGCCTCTCAGATTCCTCCCTCACCTTTTCAAACCCGGATTGTCTTTCACCCTTCCACAGGGCCTCCTCTTCCTGCCTTCCTCTTATTTGTCCCCTCAGCCATCCTCACCTCACCAATCTTGATAATTGATTACAATATAAATCTCCCTTCCATCTCAGGTCTGCTCCTTTCTTCCTCCACTCTCTTGTGCATCTATCTCCAGGGCCATGCGTATGCCCCTGCTGCTTTCAGCTCTGCTTCCTTCATATGCTGCACTGTTCCACCAAACTTCATCAGTCTCTTCGGTTTATCCAGAGAACTACACTCTTCTCTGGGAACTTCTGATGACTTCTGATAATAGATCACCAAAGGATCTTGGTTTTTTAGAGGGCAGGGAGAGAGCCCTTTGAAGTCCTTCAGAATCAATCTAGCTGTGTCTCCTGGACACCCTCCCACTATCCTATCCTGTTATGAAGCTGCTTGCTGTATATGCCCTCAGAGTAGAATGCTTTGGGTGTCAGCTTCTGCAGGCACTGAATTAGCCCCATTGTTTTCCAAGCCCTGGGAAAACTTGATAATCCCCAACCACTGAAGTCTGAAGAGTCAGTAGCAAAATGTGACATCAAAGATCCACATCCAAAAGTCTATTCTGTGGGTCACCAAATTCCCAGGTCTCTTATAATGTACTTATTGGCTGTGCAGCAATAAATACAGCAGAAACTAAAACTAGAGTTGAGGAAAGGGTATACCCTGGGTTCTACAACTGCTGTGGGTGGATTTTAAAAAGGAGTTCTTGCCTTAGATTTGTTTACTTAGGGCACAGAACTTATTCTGCCTTGTATTTGAGTTATTTGTGTACTTTTCTCAACCCCACTCTGTGAGCTCTGTGAGAACAGAGACTAGGTTTTCTTTTTTCTTTTCTTTTCGAGATGGAGTCTTACTCTGTCACCCAGGCTGGAGTGCAGTGGTGCAGTCTTGGCTCACTGCAACCTCCTCCTCCTGAGTTCAAGTGATTCTCACACCTCAGCCTCCCAAGTAGCTGGTGTTACAGGCGCCTGCAACCATGCCCAGCTAATTTTTGTATTTTTAGTAGAGACAGGGTTTCACCATGTTGGCCAGACTGATCTCTAACTCCTGACCTCAGGTGATCCACTCGCCTCAGCCTCCCAAAGTGCTAGGATTACAGGCATGAGCCACTGCACCTGGCTGGTTTTCTTTATCTTCTGTCTTCATCTCTTCCCTCACATTTAGCAGGTAGTCAGTACTTACCTGTTGGATTAAATTAACTCACTCAGAAATTCTGCATCAGGTGTACAAAAGTAAAAGCAGTTCATGTCTACATTCATTTTGTGGACACAACACCCCTCCCCAAAGTTCTCCAAACATGATAATGGGCATGTCCCTTGATTTAAACGTCGGTAATTTAGACACTTCCTTTTTTAGTCATTGCTCGGGTGGGGGAATGGGTGTAAGTGCTTTTCTTTTTCTACTGTATTTCTGGTAAGATAGGTTGTTTGACGCAGTTGCTCAAATACAGTGGTAACAGCATCAGGGGCTGTCTTATATAAATCTGTTCTCAAGAAAACAGCTAGTTTGAAATATTTAGTGTGGGTTGCAGAGACGATTAAGGAACAGAGGAAACCAAGGAGGCAAAATGTTGGTAATTTTTGAAGTTGGATAATGGGTTCAAGAGGTTCATTATACCATTCTTTCCATTTTTGTGTATGTTGGAAATCCATTATAAAAAGATTAAAGGCAGGGGCAGCTAGGTGAACAAGTGCAAATTTAGCACTGTTCCTTGGAAAACACCTCAGAGCAAATGAGCTACTGTTTCTGAATCAGTACTGTTATCTAGGTTAAGTAGTATATTTAGTCCTAACCTTTCTCTGACCTCTTCTGTTTGTGAGATATCAGGATGCTAAATTTAAAAATTAGCACCCTGCAGAATTCTGTACCTAGTGGCCTGGGAATTGTAACATCCTGGCATCAAGCACCTGTTGCACTGCTTCTCAGCTTAGGTATGGTTTCTGGTGGAATAGGGCTGGACTGGACCTGAGAAGAGGGTGAGGCAGTAAGGAGGAAAGAGGGACTGAGGGCTGGAGAGAGACCAGAGCTCTACTAGGGTCTTCCCCTTCTTGCCTAAAGGTTTCAAGTTACTGGGAGATCCTAAAGGTATATATATTCATTCATTCACTGATTCATTCATCCCACAAATATTTGGTGAATATCTGCTGTGTGCCAGGTACTTTTCTAGGTACTGGGAATAGAGCAGTGAGCTCACTGTTTGAGGAATGGACAGGGTAGAGACAGACAATAAACAAATAAGTAAAATATATATTGAGAAAATTAAGCAGAGAAGGGAGATAGAAAGTGCCAGGAGTAGGCCAGGTGCAGTGGCACACACCTGTAATCCCAGCACTTTGGGAGGCTGGGTTGGGTAGATAACATGAGGCCAGGAGTTTGAGACCAGCCTGGCCAACATGGCGAAACCCCAGCTCTACTAAAAATACAAAAATTAGCCAGGCGTGGTGGCAGGCACCTGTAATCCCAGCTACTCGGGAGGCTGAGGCACGAGAATCACTTCAACCCAGGAGGCAGAGGTTGCAGTGAGCTGAGATCACGCTGCTGCACTCCAGCCTGGGCGACAGAGCGAGACTCTGTCTCAAAAAAAAAAAAAAAAGAAGAAGAAGAAGAAGAAAATGCCAGGATTCTGGGTGTTAAAATTTTAAATAGGGTAGTTGAAGAGGTTCCCACTAAAAAGGTAACATTTGAGCAAAGACCTGAAGGAAGTTAGGGGGTAAGTCAAGCATACATCTAGGGGAAATTTATTCCAGTCAGGAAGAACAGCAAACACAAAGGCCCTGAGGCAGGAATGTGCCCTATATATTCAAGAAACATGAGGAAGCCAGCCAATACGGCTGCAGTATATTAGTGAGAGAAGAAATGGCAGATGTTGCGGTGGGGGTGAATTGGGGGCAGATCACACAGGCCACTGGCTTGTAGTGTGAGTTGTGAGTGAGATGGTAGCCATTAGAGAATTCTAGGCAGATAAATAACATGGCCTGACATATTGAAAAGGTCATTGTGGCTGCTGTGTTGAGAATAAGCTATAACGGGGCAAAAATGGAAGGAGAGAAACTGGTTAGGAGGCTACTACAATAGTCTAAACAAGAGAAGTTGGTGGCTTGAACCCAAGGTGAAGCAATGGAAAGGTGAGAAGTGGTTGGCTTCTGGATGTATTTGGAAAGGAGCCAACAGGATTTGCTGATGGACTGGATGTGATATATAAAAGAAATAGCAGTTGAGGGTGGCTACAATTTTTTTTTTTTTCAAGACATCTCGCTCTGTCGCCCACGGTGGAGTGCAGTGGCGTGATCTCAGCTCACTGCAACCTCCGCCTCCTGGGTTCAAGTGATTCTTCTGCCTCAGCCTCCTGAGTAGCTGGGACTACAGGTGCATGCCAGCGCACCCGGCTAATTTTTGTATTTTTAGTAGAGATGGGGTTTCACCATATTTGCCAGGCTGGTCTCAAACTCCTGAACTCGTGATCTGCCTGGCTCCCACATTTTTGGCCTAAGTAACAAAATGGTAAAATTCCCATCTACTGAAATTGGGGAGCCTGGAAGGAGGGCAGGTTGTTAGAAGGAGGAGATAAGGAATTCACTCTTGAACATGTCAAGTTCGAAGTGTTTTTTGGATATCAAAGTCGAGATGTTGAGTAAGCAGCTGGATATTCAAGTCTTTTGGAGCCTAGGAAATGTCTACTCTCAGGAAATAAAAGAACACCATCACCTGGCAAGAGACAGCGGAGTATGGGAAGAACACTGGTGGTCAGGTGTTAGGCCCTGCTCTGCCACCAGGTAGCTATGTGATCCTTTGGGACTCCTCTGGCAACGCAGGCCTCTGTCTCTTCATCTGCAAAATGACTGCTTTATTTTATTTTATTGTCTATTTCTTTTTTTTTTTTTTTTTTTTTTGAGACGGAGTCTCGCTCGTCACCCAGGCTGAAGTGCAGTGGCGCCATCTCGGCTCACTGCAAGCTCTGCCTCCCGGGTTCACGCCATTCTCCTGCCTCAGCCTCCTGAGTAGCTGGGACTACAGGTGCCCACCACCGCGCCCGGCTAATTTTTGTATTTTTAGTAGAGACGGGGTTTCACCGTGTTAACCAGGATGGTCTCTATCTCCTGACTTTGTGATCCGCCCGCCTTGGCCTCCCAAAGTGCTGGGATTACAGGCTTGAGCCACTGCATCCGGCCCCTTATCTGTTTCTTTGACAAGGTCTTGTTCTGTCACCCAGGCTGGAGTGCAGTGGCGCAATCATGGAGGCTCACTGCAGCAGTGACCTCTCCAGCTCAATCAGTCCTCCCATGTCAGCCTCCTGAGTAGCTGGGACTACAGAGATGGGCACCACCACGCCTAGCTAATTTTTGTATTTTTGGTAGAGAGGGTTTCACCATGCTGCCCAGGCTGGTCCTGAACTCCTGGGCTCAAGCCTCCACCTGCCTCGGTCTCCCAAGGTGCTGGGATTACAGGCATGAGTCACCACACCCAGCCAAAATGACCACTTTAGACTAGGAATGAGTTGTGTTCTCAGCCCCTCCTATTGTGGGAGTTGATGAATTAAGTGCTTAGAATAAACATGATAATATATGTGTATCTGAGAGCATTTTGGAAACTGCTGAGTTCTACACCAGGTAGTGGTATTGGCAATAAGATTTCTTCCTTCATTCGCTGAAGTAATACCCAGTGAGTGCCTGCCATGTGGTGGGCACTATGTCACATGAGGATACGATGATGGAGAAGACGAATCTGTGCCCTCAGGGAGCACCGCAGACAACCCCCTGTTGTGGCTTCACTGCCAAGTGCAGACGAAACATGGGGCTGGAGTGTGACATTAGCCAGGGAAAGCTTGTTCCTGATCTGGGTCTCCGTGGAAACAGTGAACGTGCATGTCAAAGATGAGGCAAGATGGTAATCCCGATGAGGGAAAAGTCATCCACTTAGCTGGACTAGGGAAGAGTTGGGAGTGGTTGGGAAGGGTTGGAGTGGTGGGGGCTTCAGTTCCTTCCCTCCTCCATTCTTTCGTTCAACATTTACTTCCTTGCCAGGAGCTTCTCTTAGAAGCTCACAGTTCTGTGGTAGATGAAGAGTTTCATATCTGGTCTCAGGAGTTCAACTTAGATATTACAATAAGCAGAACTGAATCAGGATTCAAATCTGAGCTAAAGAGCTCAGTTAGCTATGTAACCTAGTAGTATTAATCATTTGGTATCTGTGGGCACATTCTTTGTTAGGTGCTAATTAGGCTGAAAGGCATGCTCTCCAGGAACTTAAATTATAATCACTGTAACAGAAAGTAAGAATGTTATTTTCCCCTAAAAGAGTCAGGTGTTAAGGAAAACACACTCCGTGGCAGTGTAACCCTTTAACTGCATCTGGAAACTGTCCCTGTGGCTGTGTTTATTCTTGTGTCATTTAGATGTCTACGTTTATATCGTGAGGAGAGTCTCTTTGACCAGATAAGAGTATAAGATATAGCTCATCCTAATTGACAAAATTAGTCACCCACAAAATTAGTTTAGAGGAGACATAGTCAACATCTACCACGTAATGGAATGGGGAAATTTTGTCCTGGAGAGTGAAAAAAGAAAAAACAAACAAACAAAAAAAACGAAACCTGGCCGGGTGTAGTGGCTCACACCTGTAATCCGCACTTTGGGAGGCTGAGATGGGCAGATCACGAAGTCAGGAATTCAAGACCAGCCTGGCCAACATGGTGAAACCCCATCTCTACTAAAAATACAAAAATTAGCTGGGCATGGTGGCGTGCAGGAGAATTGCTTGAACCAGGACCCAGGAGGCGGAGGTTGCAGTGAGCCAAGATCGCACCATTGCTCTCCAGCCTGGGCTATAGAACAAGACTTCATCTCAAAAAGAGAGAAAAAAAAAAAAAAAACCACCTGCAATACAAATCCAAGTGCAGCTGAAGCCATTGTCTTTAACAGATGGCCCTAACCTGTTTTGAGTGCTGTTTCCTAAAGCTGCCAACAAACTTCAAATGCCTTTTACCCTGGCAGCTATCAGTCAAGATATAGAAATGTGATGGTCTCACAAATCCTATGCAATTGTCTCTTTTGCTGGCAAAAGTATGAGGCCAGCCGGGTGTGGTGGCTCATGTCTGTAATCCCAGCACTTTGGGAGGCTGAGGCGGGTGGTTCACCTGAGGTCAGGAGTTCGAGACCAGCTTGGCAAACATGGTAAAACCCCATCTCTACTAAAAATACAAAAATTTGCCGGGCATGGTGGCAGGCGCCTGTAGTCCCAGCCACTGGGGAGGCTGAGGCAGGAAAATAGCTTGAACCTGGGAGGCGGAGGTTGTGGTGAGCTAAGATCATGCCATTGCACTCCAGCCTGGGCGACAGAGCGAGACTCTGTCTCAAAAAAAAAAAAAAAAAAAAAAATGTATGAGGCGTACTCAGGCTCCTCTCTTCCAGTTCAGAATCAGAAGGATTTGTGATGTTGGACAGGTCATTCGGGGTCTCAGGCTCATTATACTGTCATTACCTGGAAGCCAGAGTGCCTCTTTTCTAGTGCCTCTATTTGACATTCCCTTAGAGCTGGCCCTCTGGTGAATAGTTCATCCCTAAGAAGGCCAGATACAACTTGTTACCCTGGTACTATCTCACTTCATCACTTCATTTGTTGGGAGTTCCTGCTACTTTTGGATGGTTGATAAAGCATGAGACCCATACAGTTAAGATAAGAACCAAGGAACTGGGAGCTCTTTGAGGTTGTAGAACTGACTTGAGGCTTTGATGTTGGGGATTTGGCAGGGGTGCCTAAGACCAGAGTTCTTTCTCTGAGATCATCTTCTCAACCCAGGAAATACTGTCCTGTGGCCACATGGAGCAATGAAGGGGAAAGGTAGACCCTGCTTAGGCCACCACTTCGTCCAGACCCACCCTTGTGACCAGGCTGGGGACACACATGTTGAAGCCACCATGTCCTCAGGTCCTGTATAGACTTGCTGTTGCCTCATGCTCAGCTGATCAGCTTTCCATATGATGTTATAGAATGGCCTCCATGAATCACGAAGCTCAGTTTTCGGATGTGCTTTTGCTGTAGATCAGTAACATGGAATCCATCATATCAACACTGGACTCTCCATTCCTCATGTATGGAGAATCATAGATATTCCTGTAACCAACAAAGGGAGTACAAAGCATGCATTTAGACTTTCTATTTTTAATTTTTTATTTATGTTGCGTAGGTAACACATTCTCAAGGCTTTTTTTATTTTTATTTTTTTATTGAGACCAAGTCTTGCTCTGTCGCCCAAGCTGGAATGCAGTGGTGCAATCTTGGCTCACAGCAACCTCTGCCTCCTGGGTTCAAGTGATTCTCCAGCCTCAGCCTCCCAAGTAGCTGGGCCTACAGGCACGTGCCACCATGCCCAGCTAATTTTTGTATTTTTAGTAGAGATGGGGTTTCACTATGTTGGCCAGGCTGGTCTCAAACTCCTGACCTTGTGATCCGCCCGCCTTGGCCTCCCAAAGTACTGATTATAGGCATGAGCCACTGCACCCAGCCATTTGTTTTTCGTGGAGTATAAAAGATATTCCCTGAAAAGTCGCCCTTCCATCGTCATCACCACTCAGTCATCCTTCCACAGGCAACCCTGGTTAGTAATTTTAATAATTTCTTGACTATCCTTCCACAGATTTTGTTTGTTTGTTTGAGATGGAGTCTCGCCCTGTCACCAGGCTGGAGTGCAGTGGCGCAATCTCGGCTCACTGCAGCCACCTCCTGGATTCAAGCGATTCTCTTGCCTCTGCCTCCCGAGTAGCTGGGACTACAGGTGTGTGCCACCATGCCCAGCTAATTTTTTGTATTTTTAGTAGAGATGGGGTTTCACCATGTTGGCCAGGATGGTCTAGATCTCTTGACCTGGTGATCCGACTGCTTCAGCCTCCCAAAGTGCTGGGATTACAGGTGTGAGCCACTGCGCCCAGCCCACAGATTTTTTAATGCCAATGACATTACATAAAAAGCACTGTTGAACCCGGGAGGCAGAGGTTGCAGTGAGCCAAGATCACACCACTGCACTCCTGCCTAGGCGACAGAGCAAGACTTCGTCTCATAAATAAATAAATGGCACTGTTTTATACCTAGCCATTTTTTTCATTATGTTTTGGAGATCTTGCCATGTCAATATGTAAGGAGCTTCCTCATTTATGTCTACGTAGTATGGAAGTTTGATATTGATGGACATTTATGCTGTTTCTAAGTTTTTGCTTTTATTACATGCAGAGATGCCATAGATAACCTTGGACATGTGCCATTTTCACGCATGTCCATCTACCTGTAGACTAGATGTGAAATTGCTGGGTCAGATAATATGTACATTTGTAATTTTGGTTGCTATTGTCAAACTCTCCTCCATAGAGATTTTGCCAATATGTTCTCCCACCACCAGCAATGTATGACTGTGCCTGTTTCTCCACAGCCTCATGGACATTGCTTTGAGTTAAGAATATAGCAGATTCTGCTGCACAGTGGCTCACGCCTGTAATCCCAATACTTTGGGAGGCCAAGGCGGGCAGATCACCTGAGGTCAGGAGTTAGAGATCAGCCTGGCCAGTATGGCCAAACCCCGTCTCTACTAAAAATACAAAAAATTTCCCGGGGGTGATGGCTCGTGTCTGTAGTCTCAGCTACTTGGGAGGCTGAGGCAGGAGAATCACTTGAACCCTGGAGGTGGAGGTTGCAGTGAGCTGAGATTGCACCACTGCACTCCAGCCTGGGCGACAGAGCGAGACTCCGTCTCAAAAAAAAAAAAAAAGAAAAAAAAATATATATAGCAGATTCCCTGAAGATCAACATAGGATACTGAATCATGGGGTCCCACTGTGACACTATTCCACAAGACAAACAAAACACGGCACATCCCAGTTTGAAGAATACAGCCAGGCACAGTGGCTGATGCCTATAATTCTAGCACTTTGTTGAGGCTAAGGTGGGAGGATCACTTGATCCTGGGAGATCAAGACCAGCCTGGGCAACATAATAAGACCTCATCTCTACAAAAATTTAAAAATTTAAAAAAAGAAAAATTAGCTGGGCATGGTGGCACGCACCTGTAGTTCCACCTACTCGGGAGGCTGAGGTGGGAGGATCGTTTGAGCCCAGGAGATCAAGGCTGCAGTGGGCTATGATCATGCCACTGCACTCCAGCCTGGACAGCAGAGCGAGACCCTTTCTCAAAGCAACAACAACAACAAAAACAGTTTGAAGACTACTGCATTAAAAATATATCCACCAGGCAAGGTGGCTCATACTTGTTAATCTCAGCACTTTGGGAGGCTGAGGTGAGATGATCACTTGAGGCCAGGAGTTCAAGACCAGCCTGGGCAACATAGCAAGACCCCATCTCTACAAAAATAAGTAAATAGAGATAGATGTAAGTAAATAAATAAATTAGCCAGGCTTGGTAGTGCACACCTGTAGTCCCAGATATTTGAGAGTCTCAGGCAAGAAGATTACTTTAGTCTAGGAGTTCAAGGTTGCAGTGAGCTATGATCATGCCGTTGCACTTGTAGTGTGGGTGACAGAGCAAGACCCTGTTTCTGTGTGTGTGTGTGTGTGTGTGTGTGTGTGTGTGTGTGTGTGTATGTATATGCACATATATATATCCAAGAGGTAGTTGGACTTCTGGTAGTTAAAGGAAGAAAACTTCTTAAGGCAGTTCTCCACCTTGGTGTTTATGCCAGCATGAATTAGAAAAGAAGTAGATTGATGTTTTTCATTTTCTTTTGAGACAGGGTCTTGCTTTGTCACACAGGTTGAAGTGCAGTGGCACAATCATGGCTCTCCAAAGCCTCAACTTCCTGGGCTTGAATGTTCCTCCCACTTCAGCCCCCGAGTAGCTGGGACCACAGCCATGTGCCACCATGCCTGGCAATTATTTTTGTAGAGACGGTGTCTGCACCTGACCTCAGCCTCACATTGATTTTTTTAAGACGGTGTCTCGGCTGGGCATGGTGGCTCATGCCTGTAATCCCAGCACTTTGGGAGGCTAAGGTAGGTGGATCACTTGAGGTCAGGCGTTCGAGACCAGCCAGGCCAACATGGCGAAACCCTGTCTGTACTAAAAATACAAAAACATTAGCCGGGCCTGGTGGCGCGCACCTGTAATCCCAGCTACTCTGGAGGCTGGGGCAGGAGAATCGCTTGAACCCAGGAAGTGGAGGTTGCAATGAGCTGAGCTCGCACCACTGCACTCTAGCCTGGGCAACAGAGTGAGACTCTGTCTCAGAAAAAAAACAAAAAACAAAAAACAAAAAAAAAACGAGTCTCACTCTGTTGCCCAGTGAACTCTGGAGTGCAGTGGTGTGATCTCAGCTCACTGCCACCTCCACCTCCCAGGTTCAAGCGATTATCTTGCCTCAGCCTCCTGAGTAGCTGGGATTGCAGGCGTGCACCACCACACCTGGCTAATTTTCGTATTTTTAGTAGAGATGGGGTTTCGCCATGTTGGCCAGGGTGATCTCGAACTCCTGACCTCTAATGATCTGCCTGCCTCAGCCTCCCAGTGTGCTGGGGTTATAGGCGTGAGCCACTGCACCTGGCCAGACATTGATTTTTAAAGCCCAAGTCAGGGCCAGGCACAATGGCTCACACCTATAATCCCAGTACATTGGGAGGCCAACGCAGGCAGATCATGAGGTCAGGAGTTCAAGACCAGCCTGACTAACATGGTGAAACCCCATCTCTACTAAAAATACAAAAATCAGATGGGCATGGTGGTGCATGCCTGTAATCCCAGCTACTCAGGAGGCTGAGGCAGGAGAATTGCTTGAACCCGGGAGACTCCATCTCACAAAAAAAAAAAAAAAAGAAATGGGGGTCTCACTATGTTGCCCAGGCTGGTCTCAAACTCCTGGGCTCAAGGGATCCTCCCACCTCAGCCTCCCAAAGTGCTGGGATTTCTTTTAAATGGCGCTTCTTCTTTTAAAAAGAAGAAAAAAAAAATTGAAGAAAAAAAGCAATATGCTTTATGCAAAGATGTGTTTTAGCTGTTTAAAACTTATGTTAGTGCAAGTTTGTGTTACTAATTTCCTGTTTTCTCTTCAGTGTTTAGAAACCCACAGAACCAGGCCTGTTCACTAGGTTTTTCTGCGTGTAGTGAAGTATTTTTCTATAATAAACATTGAATCATTTTACTGCAACTTTTCCAAATCTGGTTCTGATTTGTTTGCCACTCATCTTCATCAGCCTTCATCCCTCCCAAACTAATGTGTCTTTTTTCTCATGAGAAGTTTTCTATGTTTACAAATGAAGAAGTTTCTAAGTGAAGATTAAGTCATAATTATTTTTGCTAATCAAAATTGAACATTCTTTTCAGGCAAATGTTTTTGTTGTTGTTTTCTTTTTTTGGCTTCTAAATACAGTTGCCCTCTGGGCTGGCTGAGGCAGAGTACAGAAAGCCTTGTTCCAACTGTCCAGAGTTCTGGTTGGCAGAAGACAATAGAATAGCGAACAGGTGCCTGTAGTCAGCACAGCCCAGCTTGTGTGTGGAGCGCAGTAGGTCTCAACCATGATAAAGTGGAAAAACACAAAAACCATGGCTACTCTTTAGTTTCCTATCTTTCACATCCCTTATTTTTCTCCTTTGAGGAGGCAGTTTAAGCACATCTTGATTCATGGAGAGACCTAAAGATCCAAAGTATCTAAAAAGTTGGGAGTAGTGGCACACACCTATAGTCCCAGCCACTCAGGAGGCTAAGGCAAGAGGATCGCTTGAGCCCAGGAGGTTGAGTTTACAGGAGCTATGATCACTGCATGCCAACCTGGGCAACAAAATGAGATCCTGTCTCTAAATAAATAAAAGGTTTTTCTAAATGTTCTCTCTCCTCAATAATTACAATTTATGTTTTAACATTAAGAAACACATCGATATATTGCAAAGGTGAAGGGTTGTTTTCCTGCATCAGGACCAGTAATGGGTTAAGTTTATTTAAAAGTGCAGCAGGCCGGGTGCAGTGGCTCACGCCTGTAATCCCAGCATTTTGGGAGGCCAAGGTGGGCGGATCAAGAGGTCAGGAGTTCGAGATCAGCCTAACCAACATGGTGAAACCCCGTCTCTACTAAAAATACAAAAAAATTAGCCGGGCGTGGTGGTGCATGCCTGTAATCCCAGCTGCTCACGAGGCTGAGGCAGGAGAATTACTTGAACCCAGGAGGCGGAGGTTGCAGTGAGCCGAGATTGTGTCATTGCACTCCAGCGTGGGCGTGAGAGCAAGACTCCATCTCAAAAAAAAAAAGAAAAAAAATTGCAGCAAACAGAACTGGATTTGCTCCTAGTTCTGGGAGAGTCAAGAGTGCTCCCTTCTGTCTTCACTCTTTTCTCACCTTCCGCTCTCCCAGTCTGTCTCTCCCCTATACACAGCTCAGGTCATTGCAGAGCTAGTAAACCTTATATCCTACAAGGAGAAAACAGAGCAGCCACCCTCACTGCCCCTCTGCCCTGTCTCGGAGGGCTGCAGGAGTAATGAGTCTGAACCGGCAAGTGCAGGCAGAACTCACACATAGCCATCCTGAAGCAGTAACAAGCCTTTCTTTGGCTCTGCCCATGTCACTGTTGTTAGTTCAGTGCCAGCATGGGAGGATTCAGAGTAAACCATCATTGAAAGAAAGTACAGGGAGAAAAATGGCAATCAGGGCACTGGTAGATGCCTAGCAGCCACAAAGCTTCCTCCTCACCCTCTGCAGTCAGGCTCTTTTGGAAGGCAGCTTCAGAGATTGGGAAAGGTCAGGGAACAACAGTAGCCTCTTTTAAAGGTTTGTATTACGAGACTTAGGAAGGAAACGTGAATGAGTTGAGGTTATTTAGCCTGTACGCGAGAACATGAAAAGGAGTGGAAATTTGTTTTCTTTGAGTCTAAGAAGGGTTATTTTGGGAAGTGTGGCTACCAGCTATTCCCTTTTTCCATTGCGGGTAGGCCAAGAAGGTCTGGGTTTAAGTTACAGTGGGTGAGATGGAAGTTAACCCGTATTCAAGTGTTTTGAGTGCTGACGGTGTGCCAGTCACAGTGAATTAGCAGAAGGAAGAAGTGCGCCAGATATTGAGAAGTATGGGCTCTGGGGCCAGCCAGCCTGGCTTTGAATTCTGGCTTCAACACATAGTAGTGTTGGAACCTTGGACAAGGTACTATACCTCTAAGCCTCAGTTGCCTCATCTGTAAAATGGGTATAATATACCTACTTCCTCATCAGTTATTTTTAAGATTAAGAGTTAATATAGGTAAGGTGCTTTAAAAAGTGGCTGGTATATATTAATCACATTTATATGTGATAAAAATAAATATTAGCATGAGCAGTAGAAAGGATCTTAGGGTAATTTGGGCCAGCATTTCATTTTACAGATAAAGAGGCAGACATAGAGATAGAATCGAGATTAGAAGCCAATTCTGTAGACTTCTAGTCCAGGGTGGTTGCCACTAGTCCTAGCTGTTTTAGGACTTCGTATTGCTTCAAAAGCATTTCCCTTTAGGTTCCTCTTCCTTCCCCTCCTCCTGATAGCTGGTATTTCTAGAGTACAGGCATATGTGCCCTCATTTAATCCCTTACAGCAGGCTATGAAGCAAGTGCCACTATTATCCCCATTTTCTCAGAAGTGACATCTGAGGCTCAGAGAGCCTGCCCAAGGCTACACAGAAGTTCAGCCTGGATTAAAACCCAGACCTGACTTCAGAGCCTGTGCTCTTAACCACACCACTGATTTTCCTTAGAAAGTCCCAGTGGAGTGCAGTTGTGCTCAGTTAAACCATGTGAGTATTTGACAGAGGTGAGCTGCAGGAGCCACAGGGCCCAGGGAGTCTGAGGATATTTTGCAATCCCTTTTCAACCTATGTCTGCTTTGTTTTTATTTTTATTTATTTATTTATGGGTTTTTTTTTTTTTTTTTTTTTGAGACAAGAGTTTTGCTGTTGTTGCCCAGGCTAGAGTGCAGTGATGCAATTTTGGCTCACTGCAACCTCCGCCTCCTGGGTCCAAGCAATTCTCCTGCCTCAGCCTCCCAAGTAGCTAGGCATGTGCTACCACACCTGGCTAATTTTTGTATTTTTTTTTTTTTTTAGCAGAGGCGGGGTTTCACCATGTTGGTCAGGCTGGTCTCGAACTCCTGATCTCAAGTGATCCGCCCACTTCGGCCTCCCAAAGTGCTGGGATTACAGGCATGAGCCACCGTGCCCAGCCTGCTTTGTTTTTAGACCTGGTTTCTCTTATGTGTCTTCTGACACAGTGCAGTTACACTAAAGCGGGTTACCCAAAGAATCTACCTGATGAAGAGAGTGAAGCTTGAAGGTCAGAGCAGACCAAGAGAGGCCAGGAGCAGAGCTCTTGTGAGACAGGGACCACGTGGAGGTTATCAGGGCTCTGGGCAAGGATGCTAATAGACCAGAGATGTCAGATGTCAGAATCCCCACCTTGACCAGTGGTTCTTCACCATTAATCCCTATCAGACCCTGATGACAGCCTTGGATTTCCCTCTCTCCTGGAAAATGCAAAGGCTCACACACCAAAAAAGTATTTTGGAGTAGCTTCAAGTTTCATAAACCCCCAGCTTCACCTCTGTGCTTCGCAGCATAGTAATTAAGGTCACACTCTGGATTAAATGGCCTAGGGTGAAATCCTCCTTTACTAGTTAGCTGTGTAACCTTGAGCAAGTTACTTAACTTGGTCTTGGGCCTCCAGTTCCCTCACTTTTAAATGAGGATAATCATAGCATTTGATTGTAGGATTGTTAGAACTAAATGAGTTAATGTATGTGACATTCCTAGCACGTGGTTAACTCTATAGTAGTGTTCACTATATAATAGTATTGCTGCCCTTGCACCTTAGCCCATTTAGTAAATGTTTATGGACAGAATGAATGAATAATTCTAGTTGAGATGCCATGCCTGGGGTAGAGCATTCCAATCAGCGTGTCGCAGTTGGTCTATAGGTTTTTTTGGGTTTTTCGTTTGTTTGTTTTTGAGACGGAGTCTCACTCTGTCGCCCAGGCTGGAGTGCAGTGGTGCAGTCTTGGCTCACTGCAAGCTCCGCCTCCCAGGTTTATGCCATTCTTCTGCCTTAGCCTCCCGAGTAGCTGGAACTACAGGCGCCCTCCACGCCCGGCTAATTTTTTGTATTTTTAGTAGAGACAGGGTTTCACCCTGTTAGTCAGGATGGTCTGGATCTCCTGACCTTGTGATCTGCCCGCCTCAACTTCTCAAAGTGCTGGGATTACAGGTGTGAGCCACCACGCCCAGCCAGTTTTTGTTTTGTTTTTTTCTTTTTTTTTGAGACGGAGTTTCGCTGTTGTTGCCCAGGCTGGAGTGCAATGACACGATCTCGGCTCACCGCAACCTCTGCCTCCCAGGTTCAAGCAATTCTCCTGCCTCAGCCTCCCAAGTAGCTGGGATTACAGGCATGTGCCACCATGCCCAGCTAATTTTGTATTTTTAGTAGAGACGGGGCTTCTCCATGTTAGTCAGGCTGGTCTCGAACTCCTGGATGGTCTATAATTTTGCCAAGATATTGATCCGCTCGCCCCTCAGGGCTGTCAAAGCCCCAGTTGGTCGCTTCTGGCTTGAAGCAGTGACATCTGCAATGTGAACTTCTGACTTTAAGCAGCAGCATCTGCAATGCAATGTACAAATATCTGTCTCTCTAGGTCCCCTGACATGAAAACAGTTTGGGTAGCACCAGTCAAAGATATCGGTTGGTAAGTCGTGAGAATCCAGTAGGCAGTCCAGATTCCAAGTCCAGGAGAATTTTGAGAATGGATGTCAAAGAGAGTCTTCACGACTGCACTGAGTTTAGAGGCCGTGGGCTTCCTGCAGGCTTCACAAGTGTTGGGGTCCACTGCTAGAGCAGGCTGCACACCACAGTGGGTACAGAAGATATCCTGCCAGCAGGAAGCTTCAGTGCTTCCCACCTTGCACATGAGGGACCCAGGGAGTCACTCACAGGATGTGTGGAGAGCCCACAGTGTGAGTTGCTGGAGAAACCACTGTGACGCAGAAACCAGGCTAGAGCCCAAAGCCTTGTGTAGGCAACGGACATTAAACAGATAGTGATGAGTACTGAAGTAGGTTGAGCCCAGAGGTGTGAGTGCTAGGAAAAGGTGGTACCTAGGCTGTGGGAGTTTATAACAACCCAGCCTTGTATGCAAGGTGGACTCTAAGAGCTGTAGGAAACTATGGAAGGGTTTTAGTCAAGGAAGTGGTATGTTTAGATTTGTACTCTTTTTTTCTTATAAATCTACTTTTATTTATTTACTTTTCATTAGCTTAAGTCCTTGAGGGGCACAGCGTCACACAGATTCTGTGTTCAATAGCTTTAGCAAGATTGCTTGGGAATTTAGCACAAACCATGCCACTGTTTCCATGGGCCTGAGTTTACCTTTCCCCAGATTATGCTGGTTTTCTTCAGTTTGCTGCCAGCAGTCAGTGTGTTGTTCTTTGCTTTATACATGTAAGTACATCTCTTGCCTAAATAGAATTAGTTTCATTTCGAGCATAAATACCTTCAATTTTTTTTTTTTTTTTTTTTTTTTTTTGGGACGGAGTCTCGCTCTGTCGCCCAGGCTGGAGTGCAGTGGCGCGATCTTGGCTCATTGCAAGCTCCACCTCCCAGGTTCATGCCATTCTCCTGCCTCAGCCTCCCAAGTAGCTGGGACTACAGGTGCCCACCACCACGCCCGGCTAATTTTTTGTATTTTTAGTAGAGATGGGTTTTCACCATGTTAGCCAGGATGGTCTCAATCTCCTGACCTCGTGATCCACTGTCCTCGGCCTCCCAAAGTGCTGGGATTACAGTCGTGAGCCACCGCACTTGGCCAATACCTCAATTTTAATAAGAGCTGTGTCCTCGCTTTGGTTCTGGAGGCCCCACTTACAGCTAGCAAAAAATGGCCTTGGACTACAGCCTTCCAAATGTATTGTATTTATCTTATTATTATTTTTGAGACAGAGTCTCTTTATCACCCAGGCTGGAATTCAGTGGTATGATCAAAGCTTACTGCAGTTTCAAATTCCTGGGGTCAGGCAGTGCTCCCACCTCAGCCTCTTGTGTAGCTAGGATTGCAGGCATGTGCCACTACACCTGGCTAATTTTTTTTTTTTTGTAGAGACAATGTCTTGCTGTGTTGCCCACATTGGTCTTGAACTCCTAGCCTCAAATAATCCTCCTGCCTCAGCCTCCCAAAGCACTGGGATTACAGGCATGAGCCACTACACCCCGCCCATATTTGCCTTTTGGAAGTCCTGTTCTCAGCAGGCCTCTACAGGCTCCAAGATAGTGGGAAGAGAGCTTTTTTTTTAAATTCACCCTGACAGCATAAACATGAATGTTAGAACATGAGTTGGAAGAGGCTGAGGCAGGAAGATCACTTGAGCCCAGGAGTTCGAGGTTACAGTGAACTGTGATGGAGCCACTGCACTCCAGCTGGGCGACAGAGTGATACTTTGTCTCTAAAAAAGGAAAGAAAAGAAAATGAATTGGAAACAGACAAAAGTTTATCTGAGGACATAAGTTATAAGGCTCCTTATAGTTGTCCAGAGGTGAAAGGTGAGACATGCCTGAAATAAGTACCTGGACTTTTAAGGGAAAAGGAGGACTCAAGCATGATCCCCCCCCCCCCCGCCCTGAAGTTCTGGGTGGAAGGCGATACCACCCCTGGGATAGGGGATACTGGAAGTACAATAGTTCTGGAAGGTTGGGACACATTGTGAGTTCTGTTGAGGACTTATTCCACGTGTGGTACATGTGGGATGTTCCCTGAGGATGGTTAACAAGCTCAGTAGATAAATGGGTCCGAGCACAGGAGAGATGTTGGAGTAGGCAGAGAGAACCATCAGCAGTGGGGTTAACTGCCTGCCTTCAGCAGGGCTCCTTCCTAAGGGGAGAAAGTTTAGAAATGGGTTTTGATCAGTGATTTCTTACTTTATGACCAGTTTGATTGGCATGCTTCTCTTCTATGCTTAACTTTTAGAATTCTTAGATAATGTGTATTTTGAGCCCTTTTCATAAAAACCAATATAGTTCACTACTTTGAAGAATTCATCTTTTTTCTTCTTGGCTGGCTGGCCTCATTAACTCCTTCCCTGAGTGTCTTTGCGATAGGAGAAAGCTGGTTAACTCATAATGTGATACTGTTTATTTTCTTAGATTTGTGACCCAGAAGGAAATCTCTGACCTCAGCTGTGGCTCTTGGTGCTGGCCAGAAGCCAACTTCATGTCTGAGTGCACGAGCAGCAGTTTGCCATGGAGAGCTTGGGGCTGCACACGGTGACCCTTAGTGATGGGACAACAGCCTACGTCCAGCAAGCTGTCAAAGGTAAGTATTTCTGGGGACCTCAGGATCCTGCCCTGTCCCTCAGCCTCTGGAAAGGAGTGTCCATTTCTAAGAGTCCCACCATCACCTTGCCCTCCCGCCTGCTTACCCTTGCCCACCACCACAATTTGCTCTGCATTAGAATCTCCTGTGGTGCTTGATGAAAAGGGAACTCTAAAATAAAATGCTACAAGTCAGACAATCCCAGTCATAGGAACCAATACCTCTCAAAGACAGAATTCCTAATATGTAATAAGCAGTTGATAAATATTTCTGGAATGAACACAGTGTTAGTTATGACTCCCTGCTTTTCAGATATCCCCTGTCACAGTTTTTTAGTGCTTTCTAGAAGCAGTTTATCATCTTAATTCAAGTATATTCAAACATTCAAACTACTAAGCATCTGCCATGTACAAGATGCTCTTTTAAGCCAGGCATAGTGGCTCATGTCTATAATCCCAGCACTCAGAAGGCTGAGATGGAAAGATCACTTGAGGCCGGGAGTTGGAGACCAGCCTGGGCAACATAGCAAGACTCTTGTCTCTAAAAAAAATAATAAAAATAATAATCTGGGTGCAGCAGCATGCACCTTTAGTCCCAGCTATTCAGGAGGCTGAGGCAGAAGGATCACTGAAACCCAGGAGTTTGAGGGTTCAGTGAACTATCACTGCACCACTGCACACCAGCCTGGGTGACAGAGCAAGATCCCATCTCTTAAAAAAAAAAAAAAAAAAAGATACTCTTCCTGATTCAGAGAGGAACACCCAAGCAGAGATCTCATGCCCTAATCCCCACTAGGGGATGCCAGAATTGAAAATATAGGACATGTAGTTAAATTTGAATTGGACGTAACAATGAATACTCTTGTAGGATACATACATCCCAAATGTTGTAGGGACGTATGTATACCACATACTAGGGACATACATATACCCCTTATAAGGGATAGACATATATAAATGTGGGATTAAGCTGGGCTTGGTGGCATGCACCTGTAGTCTCAGCTACTTGGGAGGTTCAGATGGGAGGATCTCTTGAGGCCATAAGTTTGAGGTCAGCCTAGACAACAGCAAGACCCCATCTAAAAAAAAAGTAGGGGGTGTTAAATACTATAAAATACTAAAATAATAATACCAAGTTCTAAAAAAAAAAAAAAAAGTATTGTTTATCTGAAATTCAGATTTACCTGGGCATCCTGTATTTTATCTGGCAATTCTATCCTTACACTGAAGGTACTTAAAATCAAGGTAGGTGTGGAGTCAGAATAAAGTGTTTAGGGCAAGGCCTGCAGGCCAGGGACACTTTTCCTTTCTTGCCAGTGTTCTCAGGCAGCCAGATAGCATTCGTGTCTTCCTTGGACAGCACCTTGAACAAGGCAAATACTGCCTTGTTCCTACTGTTCATTTGGCGTTTTCTGGACTCCATGATTGTCACTGTCCTCCTGAAGCACTGTCATTGCAACATTGCCCTCCTTTATTTCAACACACTCTCAGAATATATTTCTGCTCCTAAGTTTACAGATAAGTTGTTTATTGATTTCATTTTAAGTTGTCTGTTTCCTGATGATGACTAAGGAGTCCCCTTAATCTCATCAGTAAGCACTTTCCATATGACAGTGTGTGGGGGTCCCTTCTGGAAAGGTTTCTTGTCAAGAGCTGTCTGTGACATGTGGGTTCTTGTTGGCTTCATCTTCTTGAGAACGCAACTTCTCTAGAATGCTTTTGAAGCCTGAAACTCTCTGTTTGCAGACTTCCCACTCCAGGTCTTGCCCCTCCAGTGCAGTCTCCATGGGATGGAAGAACTTAGAACTCTAGCTAGGGTTGTGTTTACTCCTTGGACCCAGTTAGTTCCCGTGCCTCAGTCTTCCACTGAGAATTAATGGTCAAACAAATGAATAAAAAGCAAGTGACCACACCTGACCTGAGAGAGCCACTCTTTCCTTATATCTATCCTTCTTACGTATTTCTTTATTCTGTCAGTCTTCCTGGCTGTTCTTTGCCCACTCTGTAGTGTTGCAGTGTGCACTTACACACACACATATGCAAACACACACTCACTCACAACAGATTTTCCCTCTGCTCAGGGTAGAGCTCTCCTTCAGAGACCAGAACCACACTTTCCTGAAAGGCTTCTCTGACTTCTCCTCTGAAGCTTTTGACTGAGGCATTTTTGTCTCTGTCTGCTGGAAGCCCTAAAATTGTAAGAGACTTATCTTTAATTAGGATGAGTATAAAATGTATTATTCAAACCCAGCATTTTAAAAGTGGAAGAATGTGCTATTAATAAATGCACTAGGACTGTTCCAGGCAAACTGGGGCGTATGGTCACCTCTCTGTAATGGGATATGAGGCCCTTGTCAGTCAGCTGTTCTCCCCACTGCCTCTCTCCATTGTAGTCTCTGGTTGTTTGAGGAAATAGTAGGCTAAGTTTTTTCTTCAGACAACTCTTCTCAACATTTTGTTTTCTACCTTGAAGCAGTACCCACTCTGCTGGCCGTAGCTTGCTGATGCTTTCAGAACCCCAAGTACTGATGCCCTTGCCAGGACAGATAAATTGTTAAAATGAGGGTAGCCTACTGCTCTGTGGGTGGGAGGGAAGAAAATGGGTTCATCTTCCCCCCATCTCAGCTGCCTTTCCTATTTCTTACCTTTATCTCCACCTTACCTGCCTTTGGTTAGTTGTAGGACTGTTAGTTACTGACCCCAAGAAGACTCAGTTTGGGAGCAAGTTTGGGGATTCCTCTAAAGGGGAGACGTCAGCAGAGACTTGGGCTGGAAGTAACTGTCTTTCCCACCTGAGCGCTCAGTTTCCTAAACCTCAATCTTCTAAGGAAAGGACAAATCACTTGTCATTAACTTTTTTTTTATTTTTTCTTCCTTTTTTTTTTTGAGACGGAGTCTCACCCTGTAGCCCAGGCTGGAGTGCAGTGGCGTGATCTCGGCTCACTGCAACCTTCGCCTCCCGGGTTCAAGCGATTCTCCTGCCTCAGCCTCCCGAGTAGCTGGGACTATAGGCATGTGCCATCACGCCTGGTTAATTTTTTTGTATTTTTAGTAGAGACACGGTTTCATGATGTTGGCTAGACTGGTCTCGAACTCCCGACCTCAGGTTATCCGCCTGCCTCAGCCTCCCAAAGTGCTGGGATTATAAGTGTGAGCCACCACACCCAGCCTTACTTTTTTGTTTTTTCTTTTTGAGACAGGACCTCACTCTGTCACCCAGGCTAGAGTGCAGTGGTACAATCTCAGCTCACTGCAACCTCCGCCTCCCGGGTTCAAGTGATTCTCCTGCCTCAGCCTTCCGAGTAGCTGGGACGACAGGTACCTGCCTCCACACCCAGCTAATTTTTTTGTATTTTTAGTAGAGACAGGGTTTCACCATGTTGGTTAGGCTGGTCTCAAACTCCTGACCTCAGGTGATCTGCTCGCCTTGGCCTCCCAAAGTGCTGGGATTACAGATGTAAGCCACCGTGCCCAGCCTTTTTATTTATTTATTTTTTATTTTTTTCAGACAGGGTCTTACTCTGTCACCCAGGCTGGACTGCAGTGGCATAATCACGGCTTACTGCAACTTCTGCCTCCTGGGCTCAAGCAATCCTCCCACCTCAGCCTCCCGAGTAACTGGGACCACAGGCATGCACTACTACATCCAGTTAATTTTTGTGTTTTTTGTAGAGACAGGGTTTTGTCACATAGCTCAGGCTGGTCTCAAACTCCTGAGCTCAAGCGATCCACCCGCCTTGGCCTCCCAAAGTGTTGGGATTATAGGCATGAGCCACCGAATCTGACCATCATTAACTCTTCAATCTCCCTTTCTTTCCTTTCTCATTTCTCTTCTTCCTTCCCCCTCTGTCAGACTCACTGGACACAAGGAAGGGTCGTCTAGTTCTAATTTCAAGAGCCTTATTAGAAGTGCTTTCCAGTAAGGTAAAGGAAGAGTAATATCTTAGGAAATCTGGAGGCTTGTTAATTTTTATGCTGCTTGTTGTGTTGCCTTAGGTGATCTAATTTTTTACTAGAAAATTGAAATGAAAAATGAGAGGTCAATGAAGGAACATTACTCAACAGTGGCAGTGGAATAAGACCTTCATGGACACATAATAGCATAATAGTTGTGCTCACATAGTTCTCTATTGCTTTACTTTCCATTTCTTCTAAAATGCATATTGGGCTTATAATAAAAGCTAGGATTTATTGAGGGCTGACCATATATACCTGGCACTCTTCCCAGTTTTTTATATTCGTTAACTCATTTAACCCTAACAGCAACCCTATAAGAGACACAGTTTTCAATCCCCATTTTAAGAAAAGGAAACTGAGGCACAGAGAGGTTAGTTAAATAAGCTGTCCAAGGTCACACAGCTGTTAAGAGGTAGAGCTGGAATTCAAACTCTGGAGGCCTGGCCTGGTTCCAGAGTCTATTGTTTTTAACCATTAAGCTATATATCCTGCCTTCACAGGGGCTCCTGGTCTTAGCACACTGTCATAGTGAGGGATGAGGGGATATGTTTTGATTTTGTTAGTTTGAGCTATATCTGAATTTTGACCCACTGGGGCTCATCCAGGTTTAAGGGCCATTAGTTCAAGTCTCAGCAACTTACTATTAGGTTGGAAGTTTCCACTTGGCTGGGCATGGGTAGAATAATAAGTGAAGTTATTCCTCCTGTTAGTAACTGGAAGGGAATCTGTTGGGAGGTGATGGGTTCGGCAAGGCAAGTGTCTTCACCCTTAGTGTCTCAAGGCCCAGGCCCAGGGAGACAGAGCAAGGGAACAAGGAAGATGTTACCCATGCTTAGACCTGCAGGCTCGTGCCTAGAGACTCAAATAAGCCTCAGCTAAAAACAGGCAGGCGTTTCTTAGCCCTCTTCTGGTCCTGGCCCATTTCTCTCTATTTCCACTCTTAACAGGAGAGAAGCTTCTTGAAGGGCAGGTGATCCAGCTCGAGGATGGGACCACCGCATACATTCACCAGGTGACGGTACAGAAAGGTGAGGGCACCCCAACACACCATGCCTTGTCGAGGGAAGCCTGACAGCCCCCACCAAGGGACCCCTCCATGGCACTGAGCTCCAGGGAAAGGCAGGCATTGCTCTCGTTACAGAAGCTCTCTCCTTTGAGGATGGTCAGCCTGTGCAGCTGGAAGATGGCAGCATGGCTTACATACACCGCACACCCAGAGGTAGGGTCACCATCATCACAACTCGGGGAAGGATGGGAGGCAGGACTGGAGGATGGGGTGGCAGGACTGGAGGATGGGATGGCACACAACTGGGGTGTAGACATGGGAGCTGTCATCTCCATGGTACACACATGCTCACCTGGATTAGCAGCCTTGCCCACCTTCCCTGGTGCAGACCACAGGAGCAGCTATGTCTGCAACTGGGAGGTGAGCCTTGGAGATCAGTGACGTGGACTTTGATGGTGGCCTTGGCTCCAGCACAGCCACAAAGTCTTAGGGCTTTAAATAGGACCCGAGGATATCATCCAAGACCAGGAAAAAAAACTAATATTTTAGAATGAAGCTCCTAAGGTGCTGAAGAATAACAATTTATTCCTTCCGCAGGTGGTTTCTTGAGTGACTGTTGCATGCCTGGCGTTGTGTTAGGTGTGCAGTATACAAGACAGAACAAAGTCAGACACAGTCCCCGCTCTCCTAGAGTCTAGAGGGGGAAACAGAAGTGAAACAAGCCATCAGTGATGAACTGATCATTACAAACAGAGATCAGGCTCAGGGAGGGCTTCTCTGAGGTAGTGATGCTTGAGCTGAGAGGTAAAGAATGAGGTAGACTTAGCTGGGGGAAGAGGGATGGCAGGGAGGGTTCAGTACTTCAGGCAGAAGGAATAGCATGTGCAGGCCTAGAGCTGGGGGGAAGAAAGAACAGCACATTCCAGGAACTGCTAGGAGCTAGAGCCCTGGGAGTGAAGGCAGAATGAGCAGGAGGAAACTGGAGAGAGAAAGACAGGGCTGGTGCACTCTGGGTTTGAGTGTCAGGGTGAGGATTTTGGTCTTTATCCTGAGACCAGTGGGAAGCATTTAAACTGTTGAGGCAGTTAAGTGACATGGTCACATTTGTGTCCCGCAAAGATCCCTCTGGATGTTGTGCTGCCTGGAGGGAACTAGAGGGGGTGAGGAGCGACTGGTCAGGAGGCTATTGTGGTCATCTAAGCCAAAATGATGATGGGCCCCTGTCAGGTCCTCAAGGAGCTTGTGAGTTCCCATTTAGTGTACCATAGGAGACCTCATCCTTAGGTGAGACAGCTGCAGAAGGAGGGCCAGCAAGAGTGAATCACAAAGTGAAGGGCCATGAGAAATTGGATGTTGAAACCCTCCTTGGTATATGTATCTCTCATTAACTTAAAGCTAGGGTCCCAGCTGTATCTCTTCCCCTTGTGTGGCATCAGGGCTAACCGCGTGTTCCCTGCAGAAGGCTATGACCCCAGCACCCTGGAAGCCGTCCAACTGGAAGATGGCTCCACTGCCTACATTCACCACCCTGTGGCTGTGCCATCGGAGAGCACCATCCTGGCCGTACAGACAGAGGTGGGCTTGGAGGACCTGGCAGCAGAGGATGATGAGGGCTTCAGTGCAGACGCAGTGGTGGCCCTGGAGCAGTATGCCAGCAAGGTGAGCACGCACAGCGTGACACGGTCTGTCACTCTAGACAACCGGGCCTGGCCTGCGCACTGCCTCTTGGCCCTGCCAGAACTTCACCTCTCAAGAGGACAAGGGCAGCCCTGTGCTTGGGCACCATGTGGGATATTCCCTTTGCCCCTCCACCCCAGCTCCCCCAACTCACCTGTCACACATCATTGTCTAGGGCATGCAACACAGCCTGGCCTGGCCGCTGACAGCTGTTTACGCTCACTTTTGTTTACGCTGTCTTTGCAGAGGGAAAGCTGCCATAAGAAACAGTGGCATCCTTATGCTGAGGAGTTAGGCCCAGCTTCACTTTGGCTGCTGTAGTAATCCTCTGCACTAGCTGGGAAAGCCCTGCCAGTGACTTGTATTAGCTTTCTAGTCCACTGAGGTAATTGTATTTATTTCTTCTCTGTGACTCAGTCATTTGGAAAATTAACCTCAGTGGGCTATGACAAGGGCATGTGCAACAGAACAGCTGGGATTCCTGGATTATGAGGCCCACACAGTAGCTCAGCTGGAAAGGAAAAGGGTCCTGGCTCTGCAAATACCAGTCAGTCCAAGTTCTTTCTGCCGAAACCATGGTCCTGCATGTGGGGAAAAGGGTACAGACATCTCTGAGCTTTCCAAACCAGGGTGTTCCCTTCCTGGAATGACTACAGAGCCTCAGGCTGGATGTGCCAGGGCTTCCTGCACGTTCCTTCCTTCCAGCAGTTTTACCCGAAGATGGGGGAGGTTTTTTATTTATAATGAAACCAGTGTGACTGAATGATGGAGGAAAAAAGGAAGTCCTCATGTCTTTTCAAAATGAAGCACAGGCCGGGAGCAGAGGCTCACGCCTGTAATCCCAGCACTTTGGGAGGCTGAGGCAGGTGGATCGCTTGAGTCCAGGAGTTTGAGACCAGTCTGGGCAACATGGCGAAACCTCATCTCTACACAAAAATACAAAAACAAATTAGCTGGGCATGGTGGTGCGCACCTGTGGTCCCAGCTACTGGGAAGCGGAGGTGGGAGGATCAGGAGGCGGTGACTGCAATGAGCTGAGATTGTCCCACTGCACTCCAGCCTGGGCAACAGAGGGAGATCCTATCTAAAAAAAAAAAAAAAAAAAAAAGTCACAAAACTTTACAGTAGGCTACATTCACTCCCACCCAGGTTCCCTGAGGTATATCTTAGAGACCAAATTTGAGACTCGATGTTGATGTAAAGAGAAGTGGGTTTTATTTAAATCATGAGCCCTGAGATCTATGCTTGCTCTACCTCTACCTAGTCCAAACTTGGGTGAGTCCCTCCTCTCCTCGACCTCAGCTTATTCCTAATATGATGAGATGGGACCAGATGATCTCAGAGGTCACTTCCATCCCTGATGTCCCTTGATTCCCGTGATTACCCCAGGAGCTAGTGAGACATGGAATGAAATCCAAGTGCCTGTGTGGGTTAGCCCGCCAAGCAGGTCAGGCCACCTCTGACCCTACCCTCTACCCAGAAGCTGTTTAAGTGTCCGTGAAGCTCTCAGCTGCTTGAGCCTCTGAGCTGGAGCCTAACTAGACAGACCTTGCCATGAATTTGGCCTCACCCCTCTGTCCCCTGCTCACTGTAACTTGTAGAGTTCAGTTTCAGGAGCTCCTGGAAAGACCAGAGTGTGATTCTGAAGCATTCTAGAAAGAAAGACTAAGGGATAGTCCCACCAGGACCCTGCCCAGGAAAGCAGAAGAGCAATAAGGGCTCCCTGCATCCAGAGGCTGGTGTGAGATGGGTGGCTTTAGCAATATCCCAGAAGAGGAGACAAAAGGGGAGGACTTGTCAGCTGGGTGCTGTCATTAGAGCTGACATTTCTGGTGGAAACTGCAGCACTCCCCTGGGTGCTTCTGGTCGTGGCCACCTCACTCTGGGCCCCAAGTCCTATCAGATGAACCTAGGTGAGCTCATCTCCACAGCAAGCCCCCTTGTTTATGTACTTTTAAGCACTAGTTTCGTGCCAGGAGGAAGGGGACCCCTCCCATCAGAAGATGGAGGTCTTGAGAGTTGCAGGCTCCTAGGTGTGTGTGCTTAGAAGGAGGGTTTCTGGCACTTGGTCCAGTTCAAGCATGGCCATTCAGACAACCTCCCTTTTCACCTTACCTAGCTGTCTATGTGATAGCCTTTCTTCAATAGCCGTCACAGCCACTATGACCTGTAGGTCTCCCTTTATCCCATCAGAGATGGGTGGTGACTCCCCATGCCCACCCTGTTTCTTCTGTAGCATGCCCCAGCATCTGTTCCTTGTCCGTCTAGTTATGTTCTTCTGCCCCAGAGGCCCCTGACAGGTTTAACCCTGCCTGTTGGGTCTTAAGCTGCCAGCAGGGCCCTGTGTCCCACCTTCTTCACTGGGGAGAATACATATAGGGATCTCAAGACTTTTCCCCCAGGTTCTTCATGACAGCCAGATTCCCCGTAATGGAAAAGGGCAGCAAGTTGGAGACAGAGCATTCCGCTGTGGCTACAAGGGCTGTGGGCGTCTCTACACCACCGCTCATCACTTAAAGGTAAGGTTGCTGGCAGACAGCCGTCAGCTCTGCAGTCTTCCCTCCCAGGCTGTAATTCTACCTTTCTGCTTTGATTGGAATTGGTCCCTGCCCTCACGTTGCTGGAGGGAAGAAATGAGGGTACACAGGAATGCCAGCACAGAGCGCTTGACACACATGAATGGTACAGGAGGGAAGAGAATCAGGGTCCTAAAGAAAACCAAAGAGCCCTGGTCATACCCTTGCTCCTCTGAATTATGTGATTGCTTGTCCTCACAGGTGCATGAACGAGCTCATACAGGTGACCGTCCATACAGATGTGACTTCCCCAGCTGTGGAAAGGCCTTTGCCACAGGTAACCTGCCTGGTGGGCTGCTTCCAGTTGAGGGTGGAGGGTTCTCGTTCTGTTTGGGACCTCTCTGAAGGGAACCCAACACCAGGCTGCTTTCCTGGAGAAACTACCGTCAGAGTACTCTGACTTGCAGGGTGCTCTCTCTGGAGGAAACCTTGTTACGGGAGTGCAAGGCAGCATGGTTCAGGCCAGCAGAAGGAGCCTGGAGGGTTGGTGGAGAGACCCAGCCTCTTGTGTCAGCTCTGATGCCAACCAGCTGTGGATTATTGGGTGGGCCATTGCATCTCTCTGGGCTTATTTTCCCCTCTGTGAAACTAGTACCTTTAGCCATGAGTTCTCTAAGTTTCTTTTCATGCTCATGTTCTGGTATGGCTCCAACTGCTCCTGGAGAGGGAAGCAGGGCAGAGTGGGCTTTTCCAGCCCCTGCCCAGGGCAGGGGTGGGATAGAGGCAGACATGGGCTTCTTGAGCCAAAGGAGGTGGAGAGCCTGTGCATGAGGTGGACGGTGGAGGATGAGACCCCACTGGGTGCTCATCTCACCCCCTGCCTGCCACATATGGACAGGCTATGGACTGAAGAGCCACGTTCGTACCCACACTGGTGAGAAACCATACAAGTGCCCAGAGGAGCTGTGCAGCAAGGCCTTCAAGACCTCAGGAGACCTGCAGAAGCATGTCCGTACCCACACTGGTATGCTGGGCCCTGCCCACTCCAACCCCATTCCCTGGGCAAAAGGAATTCAGCTTGCCTTTCAGACTTAGACCTGGAGCCCAGTGCCATCCCCAGCTTGCTCCAGCATGGCCCTCTTTCCCACACCCCTCCTCACATCCCACCATTTGCATAGGTGAACGCCCGTTCCAGTGCCCTTTTGAGGGCTGTGGCCGCTCCTTCACCACATCTAACATCCGCAAGGTACATGTGCGCACCCACACAGGCGAGAGGCCCTACACCTGCCCGGAGCCCCACTGTGGCCGCGGCTTCACCAGCGCCACCAACTATAAGAATCACGTGCGCATCCACACAGGTGGGCTAGCTGGCATGCGAGGACTACCCTCACTCAGGCCCCAACCCCTCTACTGTAGGCTTCCCATCTAAGACACATTCCCAACTCCCAGCCCAGAACCCTTCTGTGCCAGCCATTCCAGGCTGGTCTGGGGGTAGGGTATCCCCAGAACAACTCTGCTTGCAGTGAGTAATTCCTCAATTTCCAGTTAGGTCCAATCTGAAAGGTATTGCCAGTCCTCTCTGGGGTCCCTCAGCTCCCTACCACCCCTCTACACCCACCCTGAGTTCTCCAACTCTGACTGAACTCTTGAAAAGAGGCCAGGGTCAGGAATGATGGGGAAGAAGCAGAGTGAACTGTCACCTTCAACTCCTCACCTTATCCGCCGTCCATGACTCCTGTGTATCCTCACCCTCCCCAGTGTTATGCCCCTCATCCAGCTTTCTGTGTTGTGTCTCAGCATGTGTGTCCCCTCTTTCCCATCACAACTGATACTTCAGTCATCCTTGCCTCTTGCCTCTGCTGTTCACCATTCTCAACCTCCCACCCTCAACCTTATAAGCCCCAGTGCCCCCTACCAGCCCCTTCACTAGCCCCAGCCTTGCCCTGTCCCCCGTTTCCTTTCCGCCTTGTCTCTGGATTCAGTGGTTCAACACCTGTGTCCTCTCTGTGTTCCACTGGCCATCTTCCCCAACCCTGTCCATTCAGAGTCTCAGGTCTCAGTCCCTCTCCCTCCCTCTGGCTCTCCCTTCACCAACCCTGTCCCTCACCCCTGTCCCCTTAGTTTCCCCCTTGCCAGCCCCAGTTCCCACCCCCCTCACAGCCCAGTGTCCCCAGGGGAGAAGCCATACGTTTGCACGGTGCCAGGCTGCGGGAAACGCTTCACCGAGTACTCGAGCTTGTATAAGCACCACGTGGTGCACACACACTGCAAGCCCTACACCTGCAGCACCTGCGGCAAGACCTACCGGCAGACCTCCACCTTGGCCATGCACAAGCGCAGTGCCCACGGCGAGCTGGAGGCCACGGAGGAGAGCGAGCAGGCCCTCTATGAGCAGCAGCAACTTGAGGGTAAGGGGAGTGGGCAGAGGGTGAGAGTGGGGACAAGCCAGGCCTCCCCATGGCATCTGGTAGCAGATGTCAGCCTTGGCTCTCCTCTCCCAGCCGCCTCTGCAGCCGAGGAGAGTCCGCCACCCAAACGACCCCGGATAGCTTACCTTTCGGAGGTGAAGGAAGAGAGAGATGACATCCCAGCCCAGGTGGCGATGGTGACTGAAGAAGATGGGGCCCCCCAGGTGGCTCTGATCACTCAGGATGGTGCCCAGCAGGTACAGGCCCTGGAGGGCAGAGGTGCCATACTAGCTGGCACTCTCCACTCTCTCTGGGGACTCTGGGAGCCCTGAAGTTCTGACAGCCCCACTGCCACCCAGCTTCTTGTTTAAGTTTTATAGACTTCAGAGGCTGAGGCTGAGGAGACCACATCTTGCAGCACAGCCTCTCCTCCTCCTGTGCTTCCAGCTCAGTCTCTGGGGCTTCTAGAGCACAGTTAGTAGTTTCTCTCTTTACTTGGAGGCTGACAGGTCCTGTTCATCTGAACAGGATATGGGATGTCCTTCTCAAGAGAGGCATGTTCATATAGCAGCCAGAACATGGTATGGGGTCTGAAAGCCTGGGGTCTGGTCCTACTAGTGTACTAGCTAGCTATATAACCTGACCCTTGTCCGTACCCTTGCTAGAAAGTACATCTGTGCTTTCTAGAGTTGTTAGGACACAATCAGGTGGCGACCCTGAGCTGGATACAACAGGGCCCAGAGGCAAAGTGGTGATAAATAGAAGTAGTCAGTGGAATTCTTCTAGTGTGGCCTCTCTTTGCAACCTTGGACCCATTTTGTTTGCCTGTCACCCATCCCTTCCACCACTATGACATGAAACTAATAAGCTGACCTTGTCTGGGAGAGCAGGTATATCTTCCTTAGGGACTTTCAGACAACCCTCCACTGACACTGCCAGCTCATCTTCCCCTCCTGTTGGCAGGTCAGCCTGTCCCCGGAAGACCTGCAGGCCCTGGGGAGTGCCATCAGTATGGTCACCCAGCACGGCAGCACCACCCTCACCATCCCCAGTCCTGATGCCGACCTGGCCACATCTGGCACACATACAGTCACCATGGTCAGCGCCGATGGCACCCAGACGCAGCCCGTATGACCAGGCGGTTTGCTTGGGGTTTCTTATTTTGTCATTCCTTTCCATGGGGCGGGCATTAAAGTGCAGCCTAAACTAGTCAAGTCTTCTTACCAGGACAAAGATTCCCCACAAAAGAAGGGGTCTTCCCCACAGTTCCTGGGCCATGAGCAGCTCTTACCTTTAAAAGCAGTTGAATGGAGGTCAAGAGACACTTTCTAAATCTCAATTCAACCCTGATTTGTTGTGCAACCTTAGGCAAATCACTTTTCCATGGACTTCTGTCCATTTTCAAGTGAGGGGATTAAAATATCTCTGGAATTTTTTACAGCTCTGTCCTTCTGTGATTCAAAATCCCTAAATTAAATTGGGCTCTAAGTTGGGAGGAAACCCAGCCTTACTTAGCTCTGAGCCTCAGGCTAATTAATCTGACCCATACGGTTTTATCCATTCTCTTCTGGGTTGTTCCCAGCACCTTAATTGGAGGGATGTTTATTTGGATTGTGGGGAGGGAGAGTATACTGCAGGTGGAATGGAAGACCTCCTTTTGTCTTTCAGGTCACAATCATTACCTCTGGGGCTGTGGTGGCTGAGGACTCAAGTGTAGCATCTCTTCGTCATCAACAGGTGGCACTGTTGGCCACAGCCAACGGAACGCACATTGCAGTGCAGGTGAGTAGAGATCTGGGAGGAAAGGGGATCCCACGGCCAGAGAAGTCAACAAGGAATAAAGGGGAATTAGATGAGGATCTTGAAGAGAAGGGCATCTGACTCAAAAAGAGCCCATTTCAGAGGACAGATCCCTTTCCTCCTGCATCCATGCATCTGTCTCAGGCTCGCTCTTGGCTGAGGCAGAATGTTGAAGCCTCTTCTGGCCTTCAGGATAACTCCGATGGCAGTCCACCTGTGGTCCAAGCCCTTCATCATTTTGTGTCTCTGTTTCTTCATCTGGAAATGAAGGAGGCTGACGTAGATGATCACCACGGTTCTCTTCAGCCAGTCCTTCCTCCGTGAGCAAGTGGGTCTCTCTGACCCTGGCTATTCCAGGGCCCCCTGGCCATGCCTAGCCTAATAGGACTCTTCATCCGTGAACTTCATGTTTATTGGAGCCCTACTAAGTGCTCAGCGTGTGGCACTGGGTAGATGGGGGAGAGTCAAAAAAAAAAGTAGGCCACATATTACTAACACTGGAATCTAGCAGGGAGGGTCTCACTGTCTCCTTCCTTCTGCACCCCCTTCCCCACAGCTGGAGGAACAGCAGACCTTAGAGGAGGCCATCAATGTGGCCACTGCGGCCATGCAGCAAGGGGCTGTGACCCTGGAGACAACAGTGTCGGAGAGTGGCTGCTGAGTCCAAGAGGGCTGGGTCCCACACCATGCTGGAGGAAGTGCCATCTGCATGGCCACTCTTGCCCCCAAGGGCCCAGGCTGTGGCTGACACATAGAAGGTGGCCACATAGGTCTCTGGGGTGAGAAGACAGCAAGAAAACTGCCTAACTGAAGGGAATGGGGGCCCTGCTCAAGAAGGGGGCCAGGCAGCTGGAATCAGGGGAGTGCATCATCCTCGGGAGCTGACAACAGCCAGGCTACACCAGGGCACCCGCCTCTCAAAATCAGCTGGGCGCCCACTCTCCTCCTAAAGAACACCCTTCTGGCCCTCAGTCTGTTCCCCTTCTCAGGTAGAGATTGGGGCTGCTATGGGGACTGGCCCTGTAGGGTTGAGCCACAGACAGCTCTTCAGCCCAGTAGCAGTGGAGCAGGCCCTGTCCTGCCCTCCCAGCAATAACCACCTCCCTGGAGGCCAGCTGAGATGCCTGGCTACTTGGCACCAGGGACTTCCTGACACCACAGTCAATTAATTCCTCAGGGGCCTGTGGCTGAAGAAAAGGTGCCCAGCCCCCACCACTCCTCAGCTGCCCCCCAACCTCTCTATGGCAGAGAGGCAGGGAGTGGCCCTGTACATAGACTGCTGGGGATTGGGTTTGATTTGTTTTGTTTTTTTTAATTCCATTTTGATAATTTTTTTCCTGCTCTGGGTGGTGGTGGCACATGGATGAATGAGTATTTAATAAAAGTTCCAAATTTCCACCTGGGTCCCTCCATCCTTTCAGCTCTAGGCCCGGGTGGCAGGGTTGGTCAAATCAGGCTATCAGCCCTGTCTCCCTGGCACAAACCCCACTCAGCCTTGGTGCCAGAGTGGTGGGGCTGGCCTGCCAGGGACACAGGTGGGAAGGAAGCCCAGTATAAGATAAAGCCCTGAGGAGCTGCTGGTGGCTTCTTGCCCACAGCTGAGCAGGTGGGCTCCAGGGTAGCCAAACAGGACCAGGGTGACCGCTGCTTCCAGGCTCTGGCTGAATCTCAGGCCTCATGTGATTGAGCTGGGGGAACTCTTTTCCTGCCTTTTCTTGTGAAACGTAGTCAGAGCCCCTCCAACCCAGCCACCCCCAAATCACACAGTCAGCTTCTCCAAGAGGGCAAAGCCCCAGGTTAGAGTGAGGCTGGGGGACACCTTTGCCAAGGTTACTGAGATTCAAGGAGCAGAGTCTGATGCCTCTGGAGCTGAAGTCTTGGCTCTATTACCCAGCTCTGGGGGTGCCCACCTAGGTGCCTAGGACTGTGCTGTGGGATTTCAAAGCCACAATCAGACCCCACTGAAAAGTGAGTTGGTGAGACCAGATCAGCTCCAGGGGGAAGAAGGGATACAGGGGAAGGCACTTGATGGGAAGAAGCTCTGGGTTTGACTCTGCCTACACAGGAACATTGCAGGGATTGGTGGTGCCTCTTTTCCTCTCTCTGCTGTGATGGATATGCCCCAACCCCTTCCTGCCTCCTAGGATTGGAACCCCCTCCTCTGATCCAGGCATCCTCTCCCAGGATGCCTAGAAAGCTCCCATTTACTCTTGCCACCAGCTCCTTGGGAAGAGAGGGGCGGGGGCGTGCTTCCAGGCAGGAGGTATTCCCAGCACCTTACTTGGAGGGATTTTTATTTGGCTTAGGGGGTAGGGGGAGGTGTCTTAGAATTGGCCTGAGCAGATGTCTTCAACATCTGTGACCACCATTCCTGGTGTGGGCGTGTCCCAGTCCTTTTGGACACTGGATCTGAAGAAAGGAAGCACTGACATGGAGGGCCCTGAATCCCAAGCCTGCTGCTGCTGGGACCCTTAAAGTTGAGGTGCACCACAAGGCTCACCCCCATGTGTTTCAGGAAGTTTCCAGTGTCTTCAGGGCTACTGGGGCTAGAGTGGGCAGTGCTCTGAGTACCGTTTAGAGCCAGTGCTGAGGGGATAGGGAGCCAGCAAGTCAAGTGCCACATCCTGACCTGGAGAGGTGCCCTGGCCCATTTCCTTCTCCAGCTTTGTGATGTTGCCTTTGTTTCCTTCCACTTGGATGGAGTCCCACCACCATGGTAATGTTAAGTAGCACCAAAAGCTCTACCCAGAGCCTACTATGTGCTTTACGTCCATTCTCAGACATTCTTACAACACGGAGGCATTTTTCCTGCTTTACAAATGAGGAAACTGCTCAAGGAGGTTAAGTAACTTACCCAAGGCCTCCTATGTTGAACTAGGACTGGACCTTTACTCTGTCTGACCCCAATATCAGGATGAGCTTGCTTTTTCCCTCAGCAAGCTGCGTCTGGGAGCCCTGGAAGGCTCCAGAAGCCTCCGGGTCTGAGGAGGCTTCTAAAAGGGCCTCACATGCCCCGGGAGCCACGTGGATACAGAACGAGGGTTCCCGCTCTCGGAGAGTTGGTCCCCAGTTCCCATGCAGGGAGTGGAGCCTCTGAGCACTGCCAGAACAACAGGCAGGGTTCTCGACAGCACAGAGCCTCACGCAATGTGCAGGCAGGTGGTGCTCTCGCTCCACCACGGCACCTCTGCGGTCTCTGCAGCCGTTTGCATTTCCTGAAACCGGATCTTAGTGTCAGAGCCGCCCCCAGCCGGGCGGGCGCCTCAGCCATGGCCCTGCGCAAGGAACTGCTCAAGTCCATCTGGTACGCCTTTACCGCGCTGGACGTGGAGAAGAGTGGCAAAGTCTCCAAGTCCCAGCTCAAGGTGAGGGGCACCCGGGACCCGGGGGAGGACGGCAGATGCACCACACCAGCCCCTGCCGCCTGGGAGCCAGGTGTGGACACTGTGCCACTCCAGGGGCACCCAGCCATCCAGCGTCCCGGGCCTGGGGTCGGGGGGCTGGTCCTGGGTAACTGGGCCAACGTAGCCTGGTAGATGCCGCTGCCCACCCTCCAGAGACCTAGTGAAGTGTGTGCAGAAACCTTGCGCAGAACTGGGCCCCACAACTGGAGGCCAGGAGGTTCTGAGGGCCATTATGGGGTTCTGAGGGCCAGGAGCCAGGCCACATCCCAGACTCTGTGTGATGAGCACACACACCTCCACAGAGTCATGCTTGGGCACGCAGTGTGCTCTTTCTTGCTGCTTCCTCCTGACTTTCAAGAGAAACAGTTAGCCAGTGCTTGGCAGTCATTTCCTCTGGAGCTGAGAGAGGCATAAAGGGGCCGCCCCCAGTCCCAAACCTGTCTGGCCTGTCTAACCCTGCCCGCCAGGTGGGACAGAGCTGCGGAGTGGGTGAGGACTGAGGACCCTATTATACTGCTACGCAGCTCACCCCCCTATCCACCACACATATCAGGTTGGGAAACTTACCTTAGGCCTTGAGACCTCAGGTAGGGAAGGGGGAGAATCTAAGCCCAGGAAAATCCCAATCAATGATTGTCCTGAAGTCAATCATCTGGCCTAGACAATTTCTGGGAGGCCAAGGAGTTTTTCTCTCTCTTCCTCTAGTCCTCCAGTAGTGCTGCCTTCCCTACCCTAGTTAGTGGGGAGGAAGCAAGGCCCTCAGCCACTAGAATCAGCGAACACTGGGGGAAAGGAGCAAGGTAGGCCTCAGCTCTCTAGGACCTGCCATAGGGGTGCCTTCGTTCACTCTGCAAGTACTTGAGTGCCCCTCGTGAGGCTCTGTGCCTGGCATGTGGCTAGGCACTAAACTGGTGTCTCCCTGCCCCATCCTCCAAAGGAGACGTGTGGTCTCAAGGAAACCTCCATTCTTAATGACCGAGGTAGAGGGTGCTGGATACCTGAGAGATGAATGGGACAGAACAGTTATTGTGCCCCACCACCGTTCCAACCCCCTACTTTACTGAACTTGGATGTGAGGAACTTGAATATCCCAAACTGGTCCTATGTTAAATTCCTTACCTGGATTTGTGAGCATCTAATAGATGATTTCACTCCCCCAGGAAGGAGAGCCCACTACTATCTTTTGTCACCTAGGGAGAACCTCCTAACAGGCAGATTCTTCCTTACATCCTATTTAAATCTCTTGTATTGCAGATCATGTCATTTGGTTGGGTCCTCAGTATAAATGGAAAAAAGTCGATCATCCAAAATCCATTTCTGCAAACTCTGTGTCCCACCCCTACCTCCCACCCTGTCCCTTTAATATCTTGCCAGACAATACCAGCCCCCGTGGCTTTTTGCTTCCAGGGTAACATTTTCCACTTCTGTATTACCTGTGGCCACTGAGACCTCTCCAGGCTCTCTCTGCCCTTCACATGGAAAGTACAGCCTTTAAGTGGCTCCCCTTTTCCTGGTGCCATCAGCCAGTAAAGCCTCCTAGCTTGAGCCTCTGTCTTGCCCTCTAAAAGGGCCACTACCCACTCCCTCATCCCCACAGGTTGCGTATTTCTAGGGAAATACTCCATGGAGAGCTTGCATGCTTGAACTGTCCACTGTCTGTACCTCATCACAGCTCATATTGAACCTACTGCCAGCAACATCTCTGGTCACACAGGATCAATTATAGAGTTCCCTCCTACTTGACAGAAAACTTGTCAACTCTGGAAACCTGGGCTAACAGTGGGAGTCTCAGGGGCCAAGTGGGGGTGGGGCGGAAATGGCGGGGCTCCTTTCAAGCCCATAATAGTGAATATTGGAAGAGGAGGAAGTAGTGATAGTGTTGGGGGGCGGGGATTCCAGCAAAGCAAAGGAGTAATAGAGAAGTGGTCAAAAGGCAAAGGAGGAAGCAGACGAGAGAGTTATACAAGCAGGGCCCACCTCTCCCCAGAAAAGACTTGGGGATGAGGGAAAAGACCTTGGAGTCAATCTGGTTTTTTGTTGTTGTTTTAGAGATGAGATCTTGTTCTATCACTCATGCTGGAGTGCAGTGGTGCAGTCATAGCTCACGACAGCCTCAAACTCCTGGGTTCAAGCGATCTTCCTACTTCAGCCTCCTGAGTAGCTGGGACTACAGGCACATGCCACCACGCCTGGCTAATTTTTTTATTTTTTATTTTTTAGAGCCTGAGTCTCATTATGTTGCCCCGGCTGGTTTCAGACTTCTGGCCTCAAGTGATCCTCTGGCTTCTGCCTCCTGAGTAGCTGGAATTATAGTCTTGAGCCACCTCACTGGGCTGGTTACTAAAACCATCCCTAGCGTTAGGGTCCTGGGTTGGAACCTGGCAAGAGACCTGCACTAGCCCAGGGCAAGATGTGTCGGTGCGTGACATTTGCCACTTCTCCCCTAATGTGTTGGTAGACGGGCTCCCAGTGGCTGTCCTGGGCAAACCCACGATGAGGCCAGAGGGTAGGAGGAAGAACAGCACGTCCTCTGAGAAAAGCCCAAGGAGTAGGGTTGTTTCTCCTGGAAAAGAGAAGGCTTGAGGGAAAAACCAGATACTTCTTTCTCTCTTTGAATTCTTGTAGAAAGTACAATGGCTTCATCCAGTTGGGTTGAGAACAGAGAAAGTAAACCAATAGGAATGGCACTCCTGCCCAGGATGGATTTAGGTTGAACACAAAACTTCCCAGGAGTTGAGGGCTGTGAGTTCTTGCAAGGTTCCCAGAACCGCCTCTAAAAACCTTTGGAAGGTAGCCATCCTGACAGAGGGCTATAGAGAGGGGAGCCCTTGGGAATGATGTGTGTCCTACTGAACACACCCTCTTACCCAGGGGAGCAGTTTTGATTTTAGAACTAGTGGAGGATCAGCTGATAATTTGGCCTCCTTCCCCACTGACTATCAGGCAGTGGGGTGAAGGGGTATGTAGATGGAGCAGTGTGTCTCTGGTTTGATGAGGATCTTTGGGTGGCACCAGGCCTACCACTTCCTCCTTGACTGGCAGGAGCTGGGGGAAGGGAGGGAGGGTAGACAGGGGCCTTCCAGTCTCCTGCACCTCCAGCTGATATTCAGGGCAGTCCTGGAGCCCAGAGTGAGACTCTTGCCCACTGAGAATCAATGAGCTTCAGGTTTTGCCTCCTCTGGAGAGGGACAACCACCTTCTCCTTAGTGGAGGAAAAGTTAAGAACAGCTCCAGTCCAAAAACCTGCTGGCTGGCTAGGATCATTAGCTTTGTCCTGACCCCTGTGTGCTACTGGTCTCCCCAGGCTAGGATTTGTGGGTAGGGAGGGGAGGATGATTTAATGATGTGCAGAGCACTTGACTCAGAACCACGCAGGCTTGGATCCGTACTGCTCCCCATCTGGGTGACTTTAAGCAAGTCACTGTCCATCTTCAGTTTCTCATCTATAAACCAGGGGGTTGATCACCAAGCTGTCCTACAAAACTAAAGAATAAATTCTGTACCTCAAGTAGGTAAAATTGGTCTATGATGCAGCCTCTCCTTTCCCTTAACTGGGCCTCTGTCTCCTTTGATGCCCACACCCAACCCCTACAGCCCCTTCTTGCTCTCAGCAGGTGACACAGCTAATCCAAAGATTCCCACCTTTTAAAATTTCCAGTGTTCCTCCATGATAGTAGTTATGCTTTTCTAGTAACCCACTAGAATACATTTGGTAACTCTTAAAAGGAGCTGTGTCTTTTTTTTTTTTTTTTTAAGACAGAGTCTTGCTCTGTCACCCAGGTTGGAGTATAGTGGTGCAATCTCAGCTCACTGCAACCTCCACCTCCCAGGTTCAAGTGATTCTCCTGCCTCAGCCTCCCAAGTAGCTGGAATCACAGGTGCCCACCACCACGCCCAGCTAATTTTTGTATTTTTAGTAGAGCCGGGGTTTTGCCATGTTGGCCAGGCTGGTCTTGAACTCCTGACCTCAGGTGATCCACCTGCCTTGGCCTCCCAAAGTGCTGGGATTACAGGCGTGAGCTACTGCACCTGGCTGGATCTGTGTCTTTTAAAAGGATCACTTGGAACCTAGATTCATTTAAAGACCTTGCTGGGCAAGGTGGCTCACATCTGTAATCCCAGCACTTTGGGAGGCCATGGCAAGAGAATCACTTGAGTCCAGGAGTTTGAGACCAGCCCTGGCAGCATAGCAAGACCCCAACTCTACAAAAAATGAAAAAAATTAGGCATGATGGCTCCTGCCTATAGTTCCTGCTACTCTGGAGGCTGAGGTGGAAGGATCGCTTGAGCCCGAGAGGTCAAGGCTTCAGTGAGCCATGGTTATACCACTGCATTCCAGCCTGGGCAATAGAGTGAGATTCTTTCTTAAAAAAAAAAAGTCAATTTAGGAGAGAATTCTTTCTGAAATCATTGCTGGGTGCTTTTATGGATTCCCAAACCCTGGGGATCCTGAAGGCTGGAAACTACAGAATCAGTTCTTGCTGACTGTTGCCAACATGGACCTGACACCCACACTTGAGTTTTTAGGATCCCCAATCCCCACACTTGAGTTTTAGAGGATCCCCCAAGTCCTGAGAGGAGAACTACTCCCCTACATGCCTCCAGAGGAAAGAGTGAATAGATGAAGCATCTCAAAGGTCAGTGACTGCCAACTCAGAGGCCAGAGGCTCCCTGGGTTTGTGGAGACTGTGGGAGTCCTCTCTGAGGAAACCCAAATGGCAACTTGTGAAAAATACACCTGGACCCCACCCCTGGAAACTCTGAGTCAGTAGGTCTGGGCTGGGCGGGCATGTTTCAGTTTCACCAGTTCTCTGGGTGATTGTGGTGCTCAGCCAGGGCCAGTGCACTGTAGAGATCAAGAGCAGGGCTTTGGAGTCAGACCTTGGGCAAGACGCTTCCTCTCTCTGAGCCTTGATTTCCTCATCTCTAAAATGAGGATAATGAGAGTCCCCTGATCCAGGGCTGAGGACTGATGGAGATCTGCAAGTGAGCTCCTGCTCACAACTCCTCTGTCACTGCCATTTCCTTTGCAGCATGACCCCTCCCCTAGTCACACCCTCTCTCCACCCCCAACCCCTACCGCACCCAGGCACAGGAAGCTGACAGTCTGAGGTCGGCCCAGCTCTCTGGAGAGAGGCCCTGAGTGTCTGGGCATTTAATTCTTCCTTGTCCTACTATCTGACAGCACGCGGGGGTCAGAGTCTCTGCCCTGGGTTCTTCAGGATCCAATGGCAAAAGTGCAGGTGAGGTGCAGGTCTTAGGGACAGTACAGGGCGACAGAACTAAGCTCAAATAACTGTGCTGTTATGTGGCAGGTTCTGTCCTGGGTCGGGGAGGGCATTCATAGGTCCTCTCCTAAGACTCCCTTTTTAGAGAGATGAAAACTGAAGCCCAGTAAGGTTAATATGCTCACTGGGATTTAGTCAATCTCTGTCTGGCTTTTGTATTTTGTCTGCTTCTTCCCATGAAGTGTTTAAGTTCATTCAAGAGATACTTAATGAGCATCCATTAGGTGCCAGGCCCCGTGATACCACAGTGAAAAAAACGCAAATGTTTCTACCCTTGTGGTGCTGACATTCTAGTCAGAGGAGGCAGATAATAAACTAAATGAAATGTACAATATGATGAAAGATGATACATGACATGGAAGAAAATAAAGCAGAAATGGGTAGGGATCATGGAGGTCAGGCAGGATTGGGTTACAGGTTTAAATAAGGTGATCAGGCCGGGCAGGGTAGCTCACACCTGTAATCTCAGCACTTTGGGAGGCTGAGGCGGGTGGATCGCTTCAGCCCAGGAATTCAAGACCAACCTGGGCAACATAGTGAAAGCCCGTCCCTACAAAAGATAGAAAAATTAGGCCCAGCACGGTGGCTCTTGCCTGTAATCCCAGCACTTTGGGAGGCCGAGGCGGGTGGATCACCTAAGTCAGGGGTTCGAGACCAGCCTGGCCAACATGTTGAAACCCCATCTCTACTAAAAATACAAAAATTAGCTGGATGTTGGTGGCAGGCACCTGTAATCCCAGCTACTCAGGAGGCTGAGGCAGGAGAATTGCTTGAACCCGGGAGGCAGAGGTTACAGGGAACTGAGATCACACCATTGCACTCCAGCCTGGGCACAAGAGCAAAACTACATTGCAAAAAAAAGAAAACACACACACACATATACACACAAAAATTAGCCGGGTGTGATGGCGCACGCCTACAGTTCCAGCTACTCAGGAGGCTGATATGGGAAGATCACCTGAGCCAGGGCGGTCGAGGCTGCAGTGAGCTGTGATTGTGCCACTACACTTCAGCCTGGGCAACAGAGTGAGACCCAGTCTCAAAAGATAAGGTGATCAGAGGATATTCCACCTGGTCAGGGAATATATATTCCCTGAGAAGGTGTCATCTAAGTAAAAACAGGGAGGAGGAAAGGGTTTGAGCCATGCAGTGACCTGGAGAGAAATATTCCAGGCTGCAGGAACAGTAAGTGCAAAGGCCCTTGGGCAAGAATATGCCTGACCTGCTGGAGGAACATTAAGAAGGCAGAATGGCTGGAGGCAAGTAAACAAGAGGGATGAGGTCAGAGAAGGTGCAGCAGGCCAGGTCACATGGGGCCTGGAGGCCTGTGGAAGGACTCGAACTTTTACTCTGAAAATTATGGGAAACCATTGGAGCATTTGAGTTAGACTTTAGGAGTCAGTCAGAAACATTCAGTGAATGGGGGACATTATACTATCTTTGGAGTCAAGGTTGAGATTAGAGTCATTGCTGCCCTCAAGGAATGTAGAACACCCAGAAATGCTCACACAAACAGTGAACAGCAAAAGAATATTATTATAGAGCAACTTAATAGGGCAAATTAATAACTGGGTTAATGGCACCCTTTTTCATCCCTATTGTTTTAAATTTTATCCTAAAGACAATATATTCTCCTGGTTTAAAAAAAGAAAACACACAGAAGAATATAATGTTAATGAAGAAATTCGGGGCTGCGCTGTGGTAGCTCATACTTGTAATCCCAACACTTTAGGAGGCCGAGGCAGGAGGATCTCTTGAGCCCAGGAGGGCTCTTCCTGCCTCGGCCTCCTAAAGCATTGGGATTACAGGTATGAGCCACCATGGCCTGGGCAATATAATGGGAACTCATCTCTATGAAAAAAAAGAATTTTTTTTTTTTTTTTCCAGACAGGGTCTGGATCTGTCACTCAGGCTGGAGTTCAGTGGCACGATCTCAGCTCACTGCAGCCTTGACTTCCTGGGCTCAAGCAATTCTCCCACCTCAGCCTCCTGAGTAGCTGGGACTACAGGAGTGTGCCGCCACACCCGGCTAATTTTGGTATTACAAAAAAATTTTTTAACTTAGCTGAGCATGGTGACACATGCCTGTAGTCCCAATTACTCGGGAGGTTGAAGTGGGAGGATCGCTTGAGCCTGGGAGGCGGAAGCTGCAGTGAGCAGAAATCGTGACACTGCACCCCAGCTTAGGCAACAGAGTGAGACCCCGTCTCTAAATAAATAAACAAAAATAAAAATGAATTTATTATAAAATTAAAACATGTTAGTGGTAATTTTTTTTTTGTGGGGGTGTGTGTGTGTATGTGTGTGTGTGACAGAGTCTCACTCTGCCACCCAGGCTGGAGTGCAGTGGCACTATCCTTCCTGGCTCACCTCAACCGCCACCTCCCAGGTTCAAGCAATTCTCCTGCCTCAGCCTCCCTGTAACTGGGATTACAGCCGCCTGCCATCACACCCAGCTAATTTTTGTATTTTTAGTAGAGATGAGGTTTCGCCATGCTGGCCAGGCTGGTGTTGAACTCCTGACCTCAAGTGATCCGCCCACCTGGGCCTCCCAAAGTGCTGGGATTACAGGTGTGAACCACTGCGCCTGGCCAAATTTGTTTTTTTGTTTTTGTTTTTGTTTTAATTTTTAGATGGAGTTTCACTCTTGTTGCCCAGGCTGGGGTGCAATGGCACAATCTCGGCTCACTGCAACCTCTGCCTCCTGGGTTCAACTGATTCTCCTGCCTCAGCCTCCCAAGTAGCTGGGATTATAGGCGCCTGCCACAATGCCTGGCTAATTTTTAGTATTTTTAGTAGAGACAGGGTTTCAACATGTTGGTCAGGTGGGTCTCGAACTCCTGACCTCAGGTGATCCACCTGCCTCGGCCTCCCAAAGTGCTGGGATTACAGGCGTGAGCCCCTGCACCCGGCCCAAAAAAATTTTGAAGTAAAGAAGAATATAATGTTGGCCGGGCGCGGTGGCTCATGCCTGTAACCCCAGCACTTTGGGAGGCCGAGGCGGGCGGAACACCTGAGGTCAGGAGTTTGAGACCAGCCTGGTCAACATGGCAAAACCCCGTCTCTACTAAAAATACAAAAATTAGCCAGGCATGGTGGCGGGCGCCTGTAATCTCAGCTCTTCGGGAAGCCGAGGAAGGAGAAGCACCTGAACCCGAGAGGCAGAGGTTGCGGTGAGCCGAGATCACGCCATTGCACTCCAGCCTGGGCAACAAGAGTGAAATTCTGTCTTAAAAAAAAAAAAAAGATGAAAGTTTCTCCCCTCACTCTGGAGAGGTGATCACTGTTAACAGTTTGTGAGTCTTCTAGATTCTTTCTGTATACAAATAAACAGGTTGAACCATATGAAATTTCTGACACTTGATTGTTTTGACCTACTGAAATACTAGTTTCATATAATTCGACCTAATCTTTGCACATGTATTTGACAAACATTTCATTCTGTAGCTTGCTTTTTTTACATGCCAGTGTAGTATGCATATCTTTCAATGTCTGTTCATATAAACATAACAAAGATCACCCACAACTTTTATTAAGCAGTGCACTATGCACCAGGTACTCTTCACTCAAAACAGCCTTTGGAGCAGACCCTATCATTATCCTCACAGAGGAGGAGACTAAGGTGTTGGAGAATTAAACATTTGCCCATGAGCACACAAGTGGGAAAAGTGAAATCTTTCCAGCTACATACAGTGGTTCCTGACATGGTATACCTGTTTCCTACTGGAAGAGCCTCAGTTTGTCTCCATTTTTTCATATTATAAACAATGCTTAATGAGCATTCTTGTATCTCTCCCATGAGTGTCTGTAGGTTGGATGATTAGAAATGCTGGGGTGGCCGGGCGCAGTGGCTCACGCCCTGTAATCCCAGCATTTTGGGAGGCCGAGGCGGGCAGATCTCCTGAGGTCAGGAGTTTGAGACCAGCCTGGCCAACATAGCGAAATTCCATCTCTACTAAAAATACAAAAATTAGCCGAGCATAGTGGCACGCGTCAGCAATCCCAGCTACTCAGGAGGCTGAGGCAGGAGAATCACGTGAACCTGGGAGGCGGAGGTTGCAGTGAGCCAACACCGCGCCACTGCGCTCTAGCCTGGGCGGCAGATTTGGAACGCGTCTCAAAAAAAGATAAGGACACGGGTAGTTTGAAAAGAGGCCAAGAGACAGCAGATGAGAATATATAAAACTTGAACACTTGTCACTTCAGAAGTGGTCAGTGGATGTTGGCATTATTCTCTTGAGGTGGTCACCCTGGGTTTTAAGTGCTAGGCATTGAGCCAGTGGCACCCCTTAGAGTGGGGATTGGTATTCTATGACCACAGATGTGTTAGGCAAGACTTTCCTGGAATTAGTGATAAAACCAAACTCAAATGGCTTAAGGGAGAGGGGATTTATTGGCTCACATAACCAAAAACTCCAGGGATAACTGCCCAGAGGGAAATGAGGGAAAAAAAGGAAATACTCCCTTCCTGGGATCTCCCACTTCCCAGTTTGCCAAGGAAAACTGAGCCCCAGGAGGACACTGAGGCAAAGTCTCAATACTTTCTCCCCCTCCTCTCTGAAAAGAGAATAAAATGAAGGCTTGGCACACACACCATCTCCGAGACAGTGCTAGCTCCTGCCTCCTAGGAACTGATTCCAAGGTGAACTGCTGGTGGTGGAAGAAGCCCTTCAATATAGCATGTATTGATTGCACTTGATGTACAAAAGAGGACATAGATGCTGAGGGACATAAAGATGAACAGAGACCTTGTCTCCAGAGTTCACAATCCAACGGAGGAGGGAGACTTGACATCAGTATTCTAGTAGGAAGGCAACCTGTGAACCAGGCACATTTAGTTTCAACCTCAGCTCTGCCATTTACTCTTAAAATTTCCAAACCTCTGTGTCTTCACCTGAAAAACAGGCTTAATAATATTTGCGTATATAGGTGATTGTGAAGACTAGAAATGGGGTATAAAAAGCGCTTTGACTGGGTGTAGTGGCTCATGCCTGAAATCCCAGCACTTTGGAAGGTCCAGATGTGAGGATCACTTGAGGCCAGCAGTTCAAGGCCAGCCTGGGCAACATATGCAGACCTCTGTCTCTACCGAAAAAAAAAAAAAAAGTTTTGGCCGGGCATGGTGCCTCAGGCCTGTAATCCCAGCACTTTGGGAGGCCGAGGTGGGCGGATCGCCTGAGGACAGGAGTTCGAGGCCAGCCTGGCCAACATGGTGAAACCCTGTCTCTACTAAAAATACAAAAATTAGCTGAATGTGATGGTGGGTGCCTGTAATCCCAGCTACTTAGGATGCTGAGGCAGGGGAATCACTTGAACCCAGGAGGTGGAGGTTGTAGTGAGCTGAGATCATGCCACTGCACTCCAACCTGGGTGACAGAGTAAGACTCCGTCTCAAAATAAAATAAAATAAAATAAAATAAAATAAAATAAAATAAAATAAAATAAAATAAATAAAATAATAAAATAAAATAAAATAAAATAAAAAACAGTTTTAATTAAATAAACCACCTCCTACAGTGACCGGCATATGGTAAGTGTGCAATAGTAACTAGTGACTTTTTAATCATTTACACTGCTTGTGACAAATGCTATAATAGAATTACCCCAAGGAGATTTTATTTTCACCAGATTTCAGATTTCAACCCCTTTATTCTAATATCATGGATTTGTTCAACAAACCCACATTTCCCCTGCACACCATTATGACCACTATCCCTTCTAAGCCTTGCCCTCTCCATGTCATGGACCATTTTTCATGACCCTTCTTTGAGCCCTCTCCTCTCCCAGAGCAGACACGCTTAGGTGATAGGCACACTGCAGCCAGGACACTGAGTCTTTGATGGAAACCATGATAAATTGGCAGCTTCTGCCCTGGGGTGGCAGACTAAGTCCCTGCAAACCCTGCAAACTGTCTAGCATTGTGGGAAGCACTTGGGCTTTGGAATCTGATGGAGATGGATTTGAACTCCAAGCTCTTGTTCAGTGTGGGTCTTTTGGCAAGTTACTGAATCCCTTGAGCCTCAGTCTCCCTGTCTGTAGAAAGAGGACACCAATACCTAATGAAGTGGCTAAGAGTATAACTGCATGGGTTTGAATTCCAGTTCTGCCAGCTGTGACCTTGGGTGAGAAATATCTCAGGGCTGCAGGAGTTTTCATTTGTAAAATGGGTATATGAGTAGTTGTTATGGTGGTTAAGCAAATGATATGTAAAGTACTTTAGCTCAGTGCTTGGCACATAGTATATAAGTTTTAGTTATTACTGAACTGAACAGTGTGTGTAGAGAACTCAGCCAGGATGGGGTGAGGACAAGCAGAGAGGTGGGGAGCAGTCCTCTGGCCCAGTTTTGGTTGGGGTGCAGAAAGACACACTGCCACTCTACTCTATCCCAGGTGCTGTCCCACAACCTGTACACGGTCCTGCACATCCCCCATGACCCCGTGGCCCTGGAGGAACACTTCCGAGATGATGATGACGGCCCTGTGTCCAGCCAGGGATACATGCCCTACCTCAACAAGTACATCCTGGACAAGGTGGGGCCCAGCTTGTAGGGAGCATCTGTAACCTCTCCCCACTTTTCCAGCCTGGCCAGCAGCCTAATACCTTGCCACTCCAACTCTTCGCCCCTGCCATAAACTCCTACTTCTGCCTGCTCTGTCCGTGACTGCTGTCCCATCACGTCCCTCACATCCCAGCCACCTGCCCCCTTCCTGTCCCCCTCAATTCACCTTCAATGTCCCTCATCTCTAATGAGGTGGGCCCCACCCTACCCATAACCTTCCACCGAATCCCTGCCCGGCCCTCCTCCAGCTTCCAGGGTTCTCCACCCTTCCCAGACTGTCCCCCTGAACTCCCCCTCCAACTCCTCCAATCTGTCACTGTGTTTCCAGGTTCTTGGCTCTTAGCTTCCTGCTGGGTTTCTCCTTCTTTGTCCTCTGGGCTGAAAGACTAGAGTTAATCTGTTGTCAGGGGGCCTGGGTGGGTGTGGGTGTGTTGTGGAGGGTGGAGTGGTTGGAACCAGCTAGTTACCTGGTAATCAGCTCAGGGATCCCTTGAGTTAGGGCCCTGGACTTGGCCAGGTGGGGAGCAGGGGCATAGATGAACCCAAGAAACCCAGCTGGAGCCTAGTGTCGTGGTAGAGCTGAGATATGCAGTCAGCTGATTTGCAGCCCTGGTGGCAGGTGGAGGAGGGGGCTTTTGTTAAAGAGCACTTTGATGAGCTGTGCTGGACGCTGACGGCCAAGAAGAACTATCGGGCAGATAGCAACGGGAACAGTATGCTCTCCAATCAGGATGCCTTCCGCCTCTGGTGCCTCTTCAACTTCCTGTCTGAGGACAAGTACCCTCTGATCATGGTTCCTGATGAGGTGAGGGTGATGGCAGCCCCAGGGACTGAATCACTTGGGACCAGACCTAAGCAAAACCATGAATGAGACCAAACCACCTTTGGTGCCTTCCCATATCCCCTTTCTTTCTTTACCATCTTCCCATGCTGGTATCTGTCCTCACCCAGCTGTCTCCAGATGCCTAGAACTGCCTGTGTCAGAGTAATTTTGCCTTCTTCCAGGAAAACTGAAATTACACTTTCATGAGGGTTCTGCTGGTCCTCACTGTAGGAAAATGATCTGCAAATTCTGTTTACACAGAGGTCTAAATGCCAGATACATTACTGAGCATTACTGGCAATCTAGGAAGGGTGCTTTTTTTTCCTTTACCTTTTGCCACTTCTTCCAGGACAGGAAGGATGCTTTACAAGGCAAGGGGAGACCTTTCTGAGACAGGAGGTTACTCTGGTTCCAGATTTTCCCTTTCTGCCTTTCTTCTGGAAAGCCAGGACAAACTCAGCTAAGAGACCCAGGGATAGGGCATCCTGGGAGAAAAGGCTGGGAATCTGGTCCCTATCTCCTTACTCCTGGGTGAAGCCAGGGAAGGCATTTTCCCATCCACCTGTACCCTCCCTCTTATCCTCACTTCCCTCCCCTGCCCATTTGGCCTTGTGACCCTTTAGTCCTCTTGGTGGCTGTGGAGATGCCAGGGTGACTTTAGGTCTTTAGAGTGGGGTTTACAGGAGAGGGGGCTTCTGTACTTACAAGAAGCCCTAGCATGTCAAGCTCCACTCACATTTGTCCTGGCTTCTGTTTGTGGGAAGGGTGATGAAGGGAACCACCCGAGCCCTGAACCAGTGCCCTCTACTAAACACCCAAACAAGACCCAGGATCCCCCAGAAAGTCCTAAACAGAGTGTCCCAAAAAGCTGCTGGGGCAGGTGAGGGACATGTGTCCATCTGCACATACACTTGGCTGGCTGCCCTTGTTAGACCCCTGCCAGTCAGGGCAAGGTGGCCTCGGAGGCCAGGAGGTTGTTTGCTTCTGCGATCAACATACAGAGTTAACAACTGCAGCAGGATGTACCCCAGCCACCACTTCCGGTTCCTCTGTAACAGGTTTCCTGTCCCTGCCCAGCTTACCTCTACTCCCCACTCCCCAACGCCTACCCCTACCCCAAATCCCCTTCCTCTCCCACAAGGGAAAGATCCCCAGGGTTGGGGATTGGGGCTTGGAATAAGGACCTGAATGGGATTCAGGAGATCAGAATCGGGTTCTGGCTGCCCCCAGTTTGCTGTGTGACTTAGAGCCAGTCACTTCCCCCTTTGGGCTTTTTTTTGGTCATCTGCAAAATGAGTGATTGGATGAGAGGGCCTTTGCACTCCCTTGACACTTTCTGTGATTTATTGCCTCTTTCTGGACCCCAGATCTCAGGTCCCCTTCACCTTGCCCTTAAGACAGGAAGGAGTGGGACTGGAGGTTGTGGACGGGGAGAGAAAACCTGAGTTGGGGTTGGGGCTCCAGGATCCTCTCCCAGGTCTTTTCCCTGGCTCCATAACATTCGGTCCTCTGGCCCCCTCAACGCTCTGTCCCCTGTTTCCCTCTGCCCAGGCTCTGGGAGCCAGATAGAGCACTCCCTGGTGTTGGTGCTGGCAACACCACCTGCTGCAGCTACCAGGCCTTCCTTCTCCTGCTCCAGGTGGAATACCTGCTGAAAAAGGTACTCAGCAGCATGAGCTTGGAGGTGAGCTTGGGTGAGCTGGAGGAGCTTCTGGCCCAGGAGGCCCAGGTGGCCCAGACCACCGGGGGGCTCAGCGTCTGGCAGTTCCTGGAGCTCTTCAATTCGGGCCGCTGCCTGCGGGGCGTGGGCCGGGACACCCTCAGCATGGCCATCCACGAGGTCTACCAGGAGCTCATCCAAGATGTCCTGAAGCAGGTCAGGCAAGCTGGGAACTAGGGGAAGCACACAAGGTGCAGGGCGAAGGGGGGCCTGGGAAGCCTCTGACGTAACTCCGGCTGGCAGGGCTACCTGTGGAAGCGAGGGCACCTGAGAAGGAACTGGGCCGAACGCTGGTTCCAGCTGCAGCCCAGCTGCCTCTGCTACTTTGGGAGTGAAGAGTGCAAAGAGAAAAGGGGCATTATCCCGCTGGATGCACACTGCTGCGTGGAGGTGAGGGGCAGGATGGGGGTGGAGGACATCTCAGGGCCCAGAGTGTCCTCAGGGGCATGAGAAGACAAGGGGGTCAGGAGAGGGGCAAATGGAGAAAAGCCACAGTGACACAAATTCCTGCTTAGATTAGTGTGACCCAAATATATCCGGATGCCTCAAGGCCATTCTCATCCACGTCAGCACTTAAAACTAAAACTGCAACTCAAGCACCAAAGTAATTGGTGAATAATATGGAATTTGCTCAAGATTTCAGAGGAAGTGGCTTATATCTATACTACACAGCAAATCTTTCTAAAAATCCCTTTTAAAGGTTTTTCTTCTTCACCCATATTCCATTCCCTTTAGCAACTCTGTACTTCCCTATTCTCCTTCCATACCCCTCTCCTCTGTCTTCCCCTTCTGTTTCCTCCCTTGTGTTCATCACTATTTTAGAGGCTTAAAACACAAGCGTCTTTACTATTTTAAATAATATGTATATATGTGTGTGTAACATGAAACTTCCCATTTTAACTATTTTAAGCGTACAATTCAGTGGCATTAAATACATTCATGAAATTAAAAAATTCTTTTGATATATAACAGATGTACATATTTTCAGGGTACATGTGATAATTTAATACATTCATATATTTTATAAAAATCAAATCATGTCATTAGGTATCCTTTACCTCAAATATTTCTTTATGCTAGAAACATTCAAATTATTCTCTTCTATTTTGAAATATACAATAGATTATTGTAAACTGTAGCCACCCTACTGATCTATTGAATCCTAGGTCTTATTTTTCCTGTCAAACTGTATGTTTATACCCATTCATCAACCTCTCTTTGTCCTCCCCCCACACTTCCTGGCCTCTGGTACCACTAATATACTCTCTATCTTCATGTGATCCACTTTTTTAGCTCCCACATGTAAGTGAGAACATGCGATAGTTGTTTTTCTGTGTTTGGCTTATTCACTTAACAAAATGACCTATGGTGCCATCTATGTTGTTGCAAATGACAAGATTTCATTCTTTTTATGGCTGAATAATATTATATATATCACATTTTCTTAATCTATTTATCCACTTCTGGGCACTTAGGTTGATTTCATATTTTGGCCATTATGAATATCTCTGCAGTAAACATGGGAAGGCAGATATCTCTTCAATATATTGGTTTACTTTCTTTTAGATATATACCCAGCAGTGGAACTTCTAGATCATATGATAGTTCTATTTTTAGTTTTTTGAGGAACCTTCATACAGTTTTCCATAGTAGCTGTACTAATTTATATTCCCACTAACAGTTTATCAGGGTTCCCCTTTCTCCACGTCTTCTCCAGCATCTTTTTACAGAAAAGATATTCTTGGCCAGGCGCAGTGGCTCATGCCTGTAATCCCAGCACTTTGGGAGGCCGAGGCTGGTGGATCACCTGAGGTTGGGAGTTTGAGACCAGCCTGGCCAACATGGTGAGACCCCATCTCTACTAAAAATACAAAAATCAGCCGGGCATGGTGGTGGGCGCCTGTAATCCCAGCTACTCAGGAGGCTGAGGCAGGAGAATCGCTTGAACCTGGAGATGGAGGTTGCAGTGAGTCAAGATTGCACCATTGCACTTCAGCCTGGGTGACAGGAGTGAAACTCTATCTCAAAAAAAAAAAAAAAAAAAAGATGTTCTCTATTTTTTTTGTAAAAAGCCATTTTAACTGGGATGAAATGATATCTCATTTAATTTTGATTTGCTTTTCTCTGATGATTAGTGACATTGAGCATTTTTTCATATCTCTGTTGACCATTTGTATGTCTTCTTTTGAGAAATATCTATTCAGATCTTTTGCCCATTTTTAAACTGGATTATTTGGTTTTTTGTTACAGAGTTGTTTGAGCTCCTTATATATTCTGGTTATTAATCCCTCGTCAGATTGATACTTTGCAAATATTTTCTCCTATTCTGTGGGTTGTCTCTTCACTTTGTTGATTGTTTCCATGGCTGTCCTGAAGCTTTTTAGCTTGACATAATCCCATTTTTCTATTTTTGGTTTGGTTGCCTATGCTTTTGAGGTCTTCCACAAAAAATCTCTTTGCCCAGACCAATGTCCTGGAATATTTCTCCAATGTTTTCTTCTAGTAGTTTCATAGTTTCAGGTCTTACATTTAAATGTTTAATCCATTTTTATTTGATTTTTTTATATGGTGAGAGATAGGGGTCTAGTTTCATTCATCTGCATGTGGTTATTTAGTTTTCCCAGAACCATTTATTGAAAGGACTGTTCTTTCCCCATTGTGTGTTCCTGGAGCCTTTGTCAAAAATGAGTTCTCTGTAAATGCATGGATTTATATCTAGGTTATCTATTCTGTTCCATTGGTCTTTGTGTCTCTTTTTATGCCAGTACTATGCTGATTTGGTTACTATAGCTTTGTACTACATTTTGTTTTTTTGTTTTATTTTAGAGACAGGATTTTTCTCTGGTGTCCAGGCTGGAGTGCAGTGGTATGATCATAGGTCACTGCAGCCTCAGTCTCCTTGGGCTCATGGGATCCTCCTGCTTCAGCCTCCTGAATAGCTGGGGCTATAGGTGTGTACCACCGTGGCCAGTTCGTAGTGTATTTTGAAGTCAGGAAATGTGATGCCTCCAGCTTCGTTCTTTTTACTCAGGCTTACTTTGGCTATTTGAGGTCTTTTGTAGTTCCGTATAAATTTTAGGATTTTTTTTCTATATCTATGAAGAATGCCTTTGCTATTTTGACAGAGATTGCACCAAATCTATAAATTGCTTTGGGTAATATTGTTATTTTAACAATATTAATTTTTCCAATACATAGCATGGGATATCTCTCCATTTTTTTGCATCCTCTTCAATTTATTTCATCAGTTTTATAGTTTTTCTTGTATAGATCTTTCACTTTGGTTACATCGATTCTTAGGTATTTTACATTCTTTGTAGCTGTTGGAAATGGGATTGCACTCAACTTCTTTTTCAGATTGTTTGCTGTTAGCGTATACAAATGCTACTGGGTTTTGTATGTTGAATTATCCTGCAACTTTACTGAATTCATTCATCAACTCTAACGGTTTTTTGTTGGAGTCCCTTTTTTTTTTTTTTTTTTTTTTGAGGAGGAGGAGGAGTCTTGCTTTTATCGCCCAGGCTGGAGTGCAATGGCACGATCTCAGCTCACTGCAACCTCCGCCTCCCGAGTTCAAGTGATTCTCCTGCCTCAGCCTCCCAAGTTAGCTGGGATTACAGGCACCTGCCACCACACCTGGCTAATTTTTTTTTTTTTTGTATTTTTAGTAGAGACAGCATTTCACCGTGTTGGCCAGGCTGGTCTCAAACTCCTGACCTCAGATGATCTGCCCACCTCGGCCTCCCAAAGTGCTGGGATTACAGGTATAAGCCACTGTGCCCGGCCTTTTTTTTTTTTTTAAGAGAGAGACAGGATCTCACTGTATTGCCCAGGCTGGTGTCGAACTCCTGGCCTCAAGCAATCCAACCACCTCAGCTTCCCAAAGTGTTAGGATTACAAGTGTAAGCCACCACGCCCCATGGAGTCTTTAGATTTTTCTAAGTAGAAGACCATGCCATCTGCAAACAAGGCTAATCTGACTTCTTCATTTCCAGTTTGGATGCCCTTCATTTCCTTCTCTTGCCTAATTGCTCTGGCCAGAACTCCCAATACTACATGGAATAAAAGTGGTAAAAGTGGGCATCCTTGTCTTGTTCCAGATCTTAGAGGAAAGGCTTTCAATTTTTCTCCATTTATTACAATGTTAGCTGTGAGTTTGTCATAGATAGCGTTTATTATTTTAAGGTATGTTGCCTCTATACCCAATATTTTAGGGCTTTTATAACACGATGTTGAATTTTTTTAGAAAGCTTTTTCAGGGTCTATTGAAATGATCATATATGGTTTTTGCTCTTGGTTCTGTTACTATGATGTGTCATGCATATTGATTTGTGCATGTTGAACCATCCTTGCATCCCTGGGATGAATCCCATCTGATCATGGTGAAAGATCTATACTCACAATATTGTACAACCATCACCACTATCTATTTCCAAAACTTTTTCATCACACCAAACAGAAACTCTGTACCTACCAAGCAATAACTCCTCATACTCCCTGACCCCAGCTCCTAGTATCCTCTATTCTGCTTTCTGTCTCCATGAATTTGCCTTTTCTAGGTATCTTACATAAATAGAATCATAAAATATTTGTCCCTTTGTGTCTGGTTTCTTTTACTTAGAAATGTTTTCAGGCTTCATCTATGTTGTCAAATATATCAGAATTTCATTCCTTTTTAAGGCTGGATAATATCCCTAACAGTGTGTGAGGATCTCAGTTTCTCCATTTCCTTACCAACAGTTGTTTTTCCTTTTAAAAAATTATCATAGCCATCCTAGGATCTGTCTAATTTTGTCACATAAGGTGTTACTGTGGAAAGGAGCACGGATCTACGCAGAAGTCCAAGCCTCATCACTAACAGACTAACAGTGTGAGGTGGACAATCCTGGAGCTCTTAGTGCCTCAGTTTCTTTCTCTGTAAAGTGGAGCTAATAATGCCTGCCTGGCAAAGCTGTATAGGTGGAGTGAAGATAATGATGCATATAAAATACTAGTACAGACTCTAGAATGTGGTAGCTATTATTTTCCACAGAATGTAAACTTAATGGAGGCAGAGATTTGGTCTGTTAGGCACACCTTAGTATCCCAACCCCTGGAGCAGTGAGTGGCACTCAGTAGGCACTCCAAAAACATCTGCGGAATGAATGAATGAACTCTTAACAAGCAGGGCTATGTGGAAGTGAGTTGTCATGGATAGTGAGGACCCTGTTACTGGCAGTGTTCAAGCGTGATCTGCATAAACACTGAGTGGCGATTATGTACTGGGCCCCGTGGAATAATAGCAAGATGGAAACGCACCCACCTAGCCTTCAAAGAGCAAAGGCTACAGAGTTGTGGGGACTTAAGTCCCCCATAACTTATGATGCAAGCCATGCAGGCTCCTGGCAGAGTGGGGTCCCCAGGGAAGATAGCCAGGAGGGCTAGGGGCTTGAGCTGGAGCACCCTTGGGGCAGGTGGGGCCCTGACCCAGTGAGGCCAGCCTGGCTGCGGCCACCTACCCTGTGCCAGGTGCTGCCAGACCGCGACGGAAAGCGCTGCATGTTCTGTGTGAAGACAGCCAACCGCACGTATGAGATGAGCGCCTCAGACACGCGCCAGCGCCAGGAGTGGACAGCTGGTGAGTGCTCGCTAGGTGGCTTGGGTCTGGGTGGTCCTTAGGCGCCTCATCTGTGAAAAGGGGGTGATAATACTTTGTCCAGCGGGAGGTTGGAGAGTGGACTCGGGAAACTCCTAAGGCCCCTTTCGGGCCGTGTGCGAGGATCCTACTGACCCGCTCCCGCTCTTCGGCAGCCATCCAGATGGCGATCCGGCTGCAGGCCGAGGGGAAGACGTCCCTACACAAGGACCTGAAGCAGAAACGGCGCGAGCAGCGGGAGCAGCGGGAGCGGCGCCGGGCGGCCAAGGAAGAGGAGCTGCTGCGGCTGCAGCAGCTGCAGGAGGAGAAGGAGCGGAAGCTGCAGGAGCTGGAGCTGCTGCAGGAGGCGCAGCGGCAGGCCGAGCGGCTGCTGCAGGAGGAGGAGGAACGGCGCCGCAGCCAGCACCGCGAGCTGCAGCAGGCGCTCGAGGGCCAACTGCGCGAGGCGGAGCAGGTGGGGTTAGCTCCCGGCGCCGGGGACGGGACCGGTGGGCTGGGAGGCTGGCCAGGGGCGGAGCGCCGGGGGCGGGGCCTGGGCAGAGGGCGGAGCTCCTGGGTTGAGGGGCGTGCACTGGGGTGGAGCTTGAAATGAGGGATTGTTGGGACAGAGTCCGCGGGTTTGAAAAAGAGATTTGGGATGGGGCTTCCGCCAGGGACAGAACCTGGGGCTAGGAAAGGGGTGTGGGGCGAGGTCCGAGCCCGTGGATGGATGGGGCCTGGTTCGGAGACCTTGGCTGTGGGTTGGGGCTTGGGCAGAAGGAGCCGTTGAAGACCGTGTGATTGGGGATTAGACTGGACCAAGTTTGGACTAGACTTGAACTAAGTTTACAGTGAAACCAGTTTGAGAGGCAAGCGGGACGCGTATGGAGGCGGACTAGGTGTGCAGAGGCAATTAGATTTAGGATTTAAGAAACCTGGATCTGGAGTCAGAAACACGTAGATTCAATCCTAGCTCTGCTTCTTACGAGCCCCGTGATCCCAGGCAAGTTCATTTTACTGAGCCTTATCAGTAAAATGCTAATGCTAATAGAACTTTGCTCACAGAGGTACGGTGAGGATTAAATGAGGAAACACTTGTAGTGTCCAGTAACTTTTTGTTGTAATAATTGTAGTTATAGTCACATCCTTCCTAGCATCAGCCATGATTATAACATATTATTATATATTATAATAATTATTAAGTTAGTGCTAGGAAGGAGATGACCATATTTTTATATCTTATTTAATTATATAATGTTGTTTAATTACATGTTATATAATTATGATTAAGGTTGGTACTAGGAAGGAAATAACTTGAGCCCGTTTCCCCCACGTGGCATCTGTTCACCGACCATTATCTGTTCCAGTCAGGCTCTCAGAAAGGGGTCAGATCAGGAAACCCCAACATGAAGGAGTTCCCCAGACCCTCACCCCTAGGCAGCTTAGCAACATGCCCACCCCCTCCTCCTCCGCCCCCACGTGCCCCTTTTGACCTGGCTCTTGGTCCACCACCTCCCCCCTCCACAGGCCCGGGCCTCCATGCAGGCTGAGATGGAGCTGAAGGAGGAGGAGGCTGCCCGGCAGCGGCAGCGCATCAAGGAGCTGGAGGAGATGCAGCAGCGGTTGCAGGAGGCCCTGCAACTAGAGGTGAAAGCTCGGCGAGATGAAGAATCTGTGCGAATCGCTCAGACCAGGTAGGCCTGAGGAACCTCTTCTGGTTCTCTCACCACCCCTCCTGGAACACACCCCAGTTTTCCTGCTTGCTGTGCACCTGCAAGGTGCCTTGGCACTAGAGGCTACACAGTACACACTCACCCGGCAGACTGCTGGAAGAGGAGGAAGAGAAGCTGAAGCAGTTGATGCAGCTGAAGGAGGAGCAGGAGCGCTACATCGAACGGGCGCAGCAGGAGAAGGAAGAGCTGCAGCAGGAGATGGCACAGCAGAGCCGCTCCCTGCAGCAGGCCCAGCAGCAGCTGGAGGAGGTGCGGCAGAACCGGCAGAGGGCTGACGAGGATGTGGAGGTGAGGCCTGGGGTGGGATGGGGTGGAGGCTGGCAGGGTGAGCTCATTAGGGCACAGGCTCTGGAGCCAGGCTGCCTTCCCTCAAACCCTGGCCCTAGCAGCTGCTGGCTGTGTGACTTTGGACAAATGCCCAAACTTCTTGGAGTTAGTCTCTCACCTGGGAAACTGGTAATAGCGTTGTTATGAAGATTAAATGAGATGATACATGATACTTAGTACGTAGTAAGTGCTGAAGAAACATTTGCTGCTATCTTTGTTCACATCATTATTAATCTGGGGAAAAATTTTTCCTTCTACCCTTCCAAGCCCCTGTCTTGCTATCCTTGTACTTTGGCTCTACTCCTTGGAGCTTTAATCTCCATAAATTCAAACACAGAAATATGGAACATAGAAAGGGAAAATTCCTCCATGATCCCCCCCACCTCACAACCACTGCTAATGGCTCCGTGAAATGTTGAACAGAGGTTCTTGGATTAGGTGCTGGAAAGGTGGTGTAGTGCAGTGGCTTAGAGCTCAAGTGTATCCCTGGGCAAGTCACTTAACCTCTTTTGAACTTTTTTGTTGTTAACTTCTGCTCTGGAAGTTAAATAAGATAATAAATATGCTTAGCACATCTTAGCTGCTCAATAAACGGAAACTATTATTATGGTTACATTTTATCTTTTGGAAGTCCATGAGTCCCATGAAATTGGAGGCAAACTCTATTCATGTATGTATTAATAACTCTATGAGCATATATGGTTTTTCTCTGGGGAGATGATCAGTAGTCTTGGTCAGATTTTAAGCAGCCTGCGAACCTGAAAAGATCAAGACTCCATGCCATGGATGATGGTTCTGATCACTCCCCACTGGCCCTGTCCCCACAGGCTGCCCAGAGAAAACTGCGCCAGGCCAGCACCAACGTGAAACACTGGAATGTCCAGATGAACCGGCTGATGCATCCAATTGAGCCTGGAGGTGAGAAGGAATAGACTCTGGAGCTTTCCCTGGAGCTGGGAGGGAGAAAGGAGGGAGAAAGGTCTCCCTGGGAGACCTCCAGATCTCCCAGGGCCAGCAAAAGCAGGACTGGCAGTCAGGAGGCTCCCCTCTCCTCTGAGGGCTGAGGCAAGGCCCCTCGCCTCTCACCTTTGCATGCCTTTCTCCTTACTTGCCTGCCTTCTCTCTGCCAGATAAGCGTCCGGTCACCAGCAGCTCCTTCTCAGGCTTCCAGCCCCCTCTGCTTGCCCACCGTGACTCCTCCCTAAAGCGCCTGACCCGCTGGGGATCCCAGGGCAACAGGACCCCCTCGCCCAACAGCAATGAGCAGCAGAAGTCCCTCAATGGTGGGGATGAGGCTCCTGCCCCGGCTTCCACCCCTCAGGAAGATAAACTGGATCCAGCACCAGAAAATTAGCCTCTCTTAGCCCCTTGTTCTTCCCAATGTCATATCCACCAGGACCTGGCCACAGCTGGCCTGTGGGTGATCCCAGCTCTTACTAGGAGAGGGAGCTGAGGTCCTGGTGCCAGGGGCCCAGGCCCTCCAACCATAAACAGTCCAGGATGGAACCTGGTTCACCCTTCATACCAGCTCCAAGCCCCAGACCATGGGAGCTGTCTGGGATGTTGATCCTTGAGAACTTGGCCCTGTGCTTTAGACCCAAGGACCCGATTCTTGGGCTAGGAAAGAGAGAACAAGCAAGCCGGGGCTACCTGCCCCCAGGTGGCCACCAAGTTGTGGAAGCACATTTCTAAATAAAAACTGCTCTTAGAATGAATTATTGGCTCAGGTCTGTCCATCTCTCCTGCCATTTCCTCCCTTCCTCCCTCAAGCCCCGTTATAGGTTCCAAAGAGCAGTAAAAGTATAATAAAGTGGTTAAGAAAGACCCTGCAGCTAGACTGCCTGGGTTCTGAACCTGGCTTTGCTACTTACTAACTGATTGACTTTGGTCAATTTTCTTTATATCTCTGTGTTTCAGTTCCCACGTTGGTAAAATAGAGATAATGACTGTACTTACCATATAGGGTTATATGAGGATTAAGTGGCACACGAGCAAGCACCATTATTAGAATCAGCCAAAAGTGTTTATTGAGTGTCTACTGCAGTTTTCCAGGTTATTTAATTCTCATGACAACTCTTAGAGCTGGAAATCACCATTGGCATTTTACAAATGGATGAATTGAGGTTCAGAGAGATTTGGCAACTTTACCAAAGCCTTTCAGACTTGCTTTTCTTCCCATCATCTCTGACTCGCTGACCTTGTTAGCCAAGACAGAGATCTGGGTATTTAGGAAGATTCATGTCCTCTCTCTCAGCCCCCTCATCCAAACCCCATCATCAAATCCAATAGACTCTCTCCTTCCTACTCTCCTATCTGTCCCTCCTTTTCCATCCCCATGGCTACTGCCATGGCTGAGGCCTTTGTGTTTTCTACCTGGTTGTTAACCTTTAACTCCTCCTCCGTCTTGCCCATCTCACCAAGTCCAACTGATTGGACTTCCTTGGTTACTCTCAGATCCACACTTTTGAGGCCATGTCTGTCATGGCTACTGCCTTATTCTGGCTCTTGTCACTTCCCAACTAGATAAGAGCAGTAACCAGGTCTCCTTGTCAACCCCTCTCCCCATTGCCACCTGGATAGGATTTCTAAAATGCAGATTTGTCCTTCACTCTTCCTAATTTCCAGTCCCTTGGTGGTATCCTAGAGTTTTGATATTTAAATTCACATTCCCATATGTGGCAGATGAGGCCCATGGCGATCTGTCCCAGGAGGGCCTCCTATGCCTCTGCCTTATAGAGCTACTTGCAGCTCCCTCTAGGCCTCACACTGACTTCCTTTCCCCCATCCTTGTAACAGCCTTCATAACTAAATGCTTGAGCCCCTCAAGGGCAGGGACATATCTTCTTGAACTAAGAGCCACGGTGATTGGCTCTTAGAAGGCATGCAACAAATATTTGTCAAATACATATATGAATGAATAAATTCTGAAGTGAATAATTCAGGTGTCACAAAGCTAAAAAGTTATAGAGCAGCTGAAATTCAAGTTCATTCGTTTTCCAGGTCCCTACAAGAGACAGGGTCTCTACAAAACTCGGCTGGCCTCCAACTCCCGGGCTCAAGCAGTTTTCCCGCCTCAGCTTCCCAAAGTGCTGGGATTATAGGCAGGAGCCAATGCACTCTGCCCTCATTCAACAAATGTTTATTAAGCTCTTATTATATGCCAGCTTCTGGCTATATTGTACAGAACAAAAACAGAGTCCCTGCCTTCCTGGAGTTTATGTGCTATCTGATTTTTTGAAACCAAGTCTCCAGGCTGGAGACTGTGCCTGATCAGTCTCCAGGCTGGAGCACAGTGCCTGATCAGTCTCCAGGCTGGAGCACAGTGCCTGATCAGTCTCCAGGCTGGAGCACAGTGCCTGATCTTGGTTCACTGCAACCTCCACCTCCCAGGTTCAGACGACTCTCCTATCTCAACCTCTGGAGTAGCTGGGATTACAGGCGTGTGCCACCACACCTGGCATTTTTTTGTTGTTTTGTACTTTTAGTAGAGACATGGTTTCACTACGTTGGTCAGGCTAGTCTCGAAATCCTGGCCTCAAGTGATCTGCCCGCCTCAGCCTCCCAAATTGCTGGGATTACAGGTGTGAGCCACTGCACCTGATTTACTTTGCAAATACACTAAACCTGATTGCAAGGAACTTCATTACAGTCTATTTAAAGTGTCGTGAAACAAAGCTGCTAATATAATGAGGCAGATTTCAAGGATGAGCGGTGAAGCTCAAAGTGCTGTAGGAATTCAGAGAAAAGGAAGTTTTAGGTAGGAGCTGGGATTTGGGATGGCCTTTACTTTTTAATAAAGGCAGCTGGGTGCAGTGGCTCACACCTGTAATCCCAGCACTTTGGGAGGCCAAGGTGGGTGGATTGTTTGAGTTCAGGAGTTTGAGACCAGCCTGGGCAACATGGCGAAAACCCATCTCTACAAAAAATACAAAAAAAAGTTAGCCGGGTGTGGTAGCAGACACCTGTAGTCCCAGCTACTTAGGAGGCTCAGGTGGGAGGATCACCTGAGCCCAGGAGGTTGAAGCTGCAGTGAGCTGTGATCGTGCCACTGCACTCCAGACTGGGTGATAGAGTGAGACACTATCTCAAAAAAAAAAAAAAAAAAAAAAAGACAGAAATTGTATGCATCCTATCCTCTGTAACTATTGCTTTTTGTTTTTTTTTTATTTTTTTAATTTAATTTTATTTTAAATTTTAATCTATTTATTTATTTTGAGACTGGGTTATGAGACTGGCTAATTTTTGTATTTTTGTAGAGACAAGGTTTCACCATGTTGCCCAGGCTAATCTCAAACTCCTGGGCTTAAGTGATCCACCCACCTCGGCCTCCCAAAGTGTTGGGATTACAAGCATGAGCCACCGCATCTGGCTGGTAACTATTATGTTTTAAACTAATGATGAAAAATACTATATGTCATCTTAAAAATGTGCAAGGTGGCTGGATGCAGTGGCTCATGCCTGTAATCCCAGCATTTTGGGAGGCCAAGGTGGGAGGATCACTTGAGGCCAGGAGTTCAAAGCCAGCCTGGGCAAAATAGTGAGCCATGTCTCTACAAAAAGTAAAAAAAAATTAGGTGTGGAGACATGTGCCTAGAGTCCCAGCTACTGGGGAGGCCACGGTGGGAGGATCCCTTGAGGCCAGGAGTTGGAGACCAGCCTTGGCAACGTAGTGAGACCCCATCTCTACCAAAAATTTAAAAACAATTTTTTTTAATTACCTAGGTGTGGTGCATGCGAAGGTCAAGGCTGCAATGAGCTATGATCATGCCACTGCACTTCAGCCTAGGCTACAGAGTCAGAATCCATCTTAAAAAAAAAAAAAAGAAAAAAAATGTGCAAGAGGTCCAGGGCCCAGATCAAAATTGCCAATCCAGAAGAAGGTTCCTCTGTCAGGCAAGTTACTATCTATCACTAGTTCTGCTGCCAGTATTAGTCAGGCCTGGTATCTAATCAATGCCAGGCTTTTCTCTGAGAAGGGAATGGGGTATGGCTAGAGCAGTGTAGATTCCCTCATAACCCCTTTCTGCTGTTTTCTTATGATCTAACTGTGGAATTTTTGGGGTCAGTGATTCCAGGTTTTTTTTTGTTGTTGTTGTTTGTTTGTTTTTGAGACAGAGTTTCGCTCTTGTTGCCCAGGCTGGAGTGCAATGGTGCAATCTTGGCTCACTGCAACCTCCGCCTCCTAGGTTCAAGCAATTCTCCTGCCTCAGCCTCCCGAGTAGCTGGGATTACAGGTGTGCACCACCACATCCAGCTAACTTTTTGGATTATTAGTAGAGATGGGATTTCACCATGTTGCCAGGCTGGTCTTGAACTCCTGACCTCAGGTGATGTGCCCGCCTCAGCCTCCCAAAGTGCTAGGATTACAGGTGTTGAGCCACCACGCCCGGCCTGATTCCACGTTGTAAATAATTTGTAAGTATTCAGTTTCTACATCTTTATCATCTGCTAAGAATTTTAAAATAATATTCTCTGTTCAGCTGTCAATGTTGAAACCCATATTTAGTATTACAAGCTTTTCCCTGGTTTTAGCTTTGCTTGGAGTTTTTTGACCCATGAATGTTATTTCTGTTTGTCAATAAGAAATGTAAGACTGGAATGTTAATAAATTTCAGTTTAGTTCTATAATGTCAAGAATTTAAAAATTTAAAAAATTACTGCAGGAAAAAGATAGCTATAAAAAGAAAAAAAAAAAAAGGCCCAGGGCTGGGCACGGTGCCTCACGCCTATAATCCCAGCACTTTGGGAAGCCAAGGTGGGTGGATCATGAGGTCAGGAGTTCAAGACCAGCCTGGCCAACAGGATGAAACCCCGTCTCTACTAAAAATACAAAAATTAGCTGGGCATGGTGGCACGTGCCTGTAGTCCCAGCTACTCGGGAGGCTGAGGCAGAAGAATTGCTTGAACCCAGGAGACAGAGGTTGCAGTGAGCCGAAATCACGCCACTGCACTCCAGCCTGGGTGACAGAGCAAGACTCTGTCTCAAAAAAAAAAAAAAAAAAAAAATTAGGCTGGGTAGGGCCAGGCGCGGTGGCTCATACCTGTAATCCCAGCACTTTGGGAGGCCAAAATGGGTGGATCACAAGGTCAGGAGTTCGAGACTAGCCTGGCCAACATGGTGAAACCCCGTCTCTACTAAAAATACAAAAATTAGCCAGGCATGGTGGCGTGTGCCTGTAGTCCCAGCTACTCAGGAGGCTGAGGCAGGAGAATCGCTTGAACCCGGGAGGCAGAGGCTGCAGTGAGCTGAGATCACGCCACTGCACTCCAGCCTGGGCAACAGAGTGAGACTCCGTCTCAAAAAAAAAAAAATTAGACTGGGCGTGGTGGTGTGCACCTGTATTCCCAATTACTCCGGAGGCTGAGGTGGGAGGATTGCTTGAGTCCAGGAGGCAGAGGTTGTAGTGAGCCATGATAGTGCCACTTCACTCCAGCTTGAGTGACAGAGTGAGACTCTGTTTCCAAAAAATAAAAAAATTTAAAAAATTGATTGGCTAAAAAATGCTTCATCTTAGATAAAGCTTGGAATTACTATCTTAAAAAATATTCAAGGGGCGGCCAGGCGCGGTTGGCTCACGCCTGCAATCCTAGCACTTTGGGAGGCCGAGGCGGGCGGATCACAAGGTCAGGAGATCGAGACCATCCTGGCTAACACGGTGAAACCCCGTCTCTACTAAAAATACAAAAAAATTAGCCGGGTGTGGTGGTGGGCGCCTATAGTCCCAGCTACTCGGGAGGCTGAGGCAGGAGAATGGGGTGAACCCAGGAGGCAGAGCTTGCAGTGAGCCAAGATCGCACCACTGCACTCCAGCCTGGGTGACAGAGTGAGACTCCGTCTCAAGAAAATAAATAAATAAAATAAAATAAAAAATATGCAAGGGACTGTATGGTTCTTATATATTCTCACAGGATTGGAAGGGCAATTTTGCTATGGAGAACCCACGAGTAGAAAGGTGGAGTGAGACCTGGTTATAGAGATTCTTGGAAGCTACGCAGAGTTTAGATTTGAGGTGGCAAGCCAACCTCTGAGCCTCAGTTTCCTCACTTGTAAATGGGGTCCATTCCAGGCTTTTAAATATTCTATGGTGGGACATAGGGATGGATCGACAGTGGAGGCATGATATAGTGATATAATGAAAGGAAGATCACTCTGACACCTGAATGCGAGCCATGATGGGACTGGCATGAGAAGCCATCAACCTTGGGGGACATTTCTAGGTGGAAGGAGAATGTATTTTCTAGTCTTTTAATTCCAGGGTGAGAAAATAACTCCTGTGTCCTTTCCATCACCCTGGACAAAGAAAAGTGTGTCCTGTCTCTGATGCCTTCACAGATACACATAAACCCTAGGGGCCATATGGAATGCACAGCATTTGTGGTCCCACGTCTTCTCTTTTTCTGTGGCTTGTATGTGAGGATGGATGGGGAAGTGGGGCTGGAGTACAAGAGGCGTGTTAGCAACTATTGCCAGGAGTCCACCTGGCCCAAGGGGTGCCTACTGAGTCGCCTCTCTAGTTCCTGCAGCAGAGGGGAAGGAGAGGGCGATGCCTGGCAGGCTGATTTCAGAAGACTGAGGAGGCCCCCACCTGCTGGCTAGAGGCTGAAATGGCTATGGAGAATCAAATTCAGAGGCAATCCAGCCTTCCCACTCTGCACTGTAAGTTGTTCAGGTACACAATAATCAGGCATCAGAGCAGGTTTTGGTAGCTGAAATCCCTGTCTGGTCTGGAACGGGCTGTAGATGCTTGGCAGGAATCAACTTTTCCCACTCTGAGCTGTCCCCCAGGGCAAATCTAGTCAAAATGAAGATTCAAGGAAGCTATTTTAGTCTAGGTTTGTGATTCAAGTAACGGAAACTGACTGATTTAAGCTGACTTAACTGACTTTCCAGAAAAGAAATTTATTAGTAGAATATAAGGGAGTACCTTAAATAATTGGGAGGTCGAGTGAGCTGTCTTGGAGGCTGTGTAGTCAGAAACAGTACCCAAATCAAGCCACACAACAGTTCTTGTGAACACACTCCAGCTGCCACCTGTGGGTACAGAAGCTGCTGCTTCCTTGGCTAATCTTACCAAATGCTGGATGCTGCTCTTACAACTGCTGCCCTGGCTGTCTCTGGAAATTGGGTGGAACTGCTGCTGCCACTCACCTGAATCAATTATGTGTGCTTCCTGGTTCATCTTTCCACCTTCCAATACATCTGATTGGTGTGCCTTGGTCATGTGACTGTGTCCTAGCTGCACAGGAGGCTGGAAGAAAATGCCTGTAGTTCCAGCTACTCTGGAGGCTGAGGTGGGAAGATTGCTGCTTCAGCCCAGGAAGCAGAGATTGCCGAGATCACTCCACTGCACTCCAACCCAGGCAACAGAGCAAGACCCTGTCTCAAAAAAAAAGAAAGAGAGAGAGAGAGAGAGAAAGAGGGAGAAGAAAGAAAGGAGGGAGGGAGAGAGAGAGGAAGGAAGGAAGGAAGGGAGGAAGGAAGGAAGGAAGGAAAGAAAATATATAGGGGAATGAAGTCAAATGTCAAACATCAGAAAAGCTCTTACATAGAAAATAATTTTGACTTAGTTTACCTCCAATGGGTAGAACTAAGATTATTGGGTAAGAGCATCAGAGGATATATGTTTTTTCTTAATATAAAGAAGATTTTTGTTGTTCTTAGAAAATAGCCAGGCAAGGTGGCTCACACCTGTAATCCCAGCACTTTGGGAGGCCAAGGCGAGTAAATCACCTGAGGTCAGGAGTTCCAGACAAGCATGGCCAACATGTTGAAACCTGTCTCTACTAAAAATACAAAAATTAGCCAGTGTGGTGGAGGGTGCCTGTAATCCCAGCTACTCGGGAGGCTGAGGCATGAGAATCGCTTGAACCTGGGAGGTGGAGGTTGCATTGTGCCTAGATCACGCCACTGCACTCCAGTCTGGGCGACACAGCTAGACTCCATCTCAAAAAAAAAAAGAAGAAGAAGAAGAAAATAAACAATGTTTCTATTATGGAAAAAAAGCATGCTCAGAAAAAAAACATAGAAAAACAATAACTTGCAGAACCACAATCCAAAGACAGTTACTGGTAACATTTTTGTGTGTTTCCTTTCAGTTTTTTTGTTTGTTTGTTTTTGTTTATTTTGGAGAGAGAGTCTTGCTCTGTTGTCCAGGCTGGAGTGAAGTGGCACGATCTTGGCTCACTGCAGCCTCCACCTCCTGGGATCACGCGATTCTCCTGCCTGAGCCTCCTGAGTAGCTGGGACTACAGGCGCCTGCCACTACGCCCGGCTAATTTTTTTTGTATTTTTAGTAGAGACGGGTTTCACCATGTTGATCACGCTGGTCTCGAACTCCTGATGTTAAGTGATCCACCCTCCTCAGCCTCCCAAAGTGCTGGGATTATAGGTTGAGTCACTGTGCCCGGAATTTTTTTTTTTTTTTTGAGACAGGGTCTCACTCTGACGCCAGGCTGGAGTGCAGCAGAGCAATCTCAGCTCACTGCAACCTCCACCTCCCAGGTTCAAGCGATCCTTGTGCCTCAGCCTACTGAGTAGCTGGTACTATAGGCACACGCCACCATGCCCGGCTCCTTTCAGTTTTTTTCCATGCTAATTTTTAGTTTTCAAAACAGTGTGATTTCACTCCATACGTATCATCATATCCTTTTCCACTTAATATCAGATTATAACATTTTTCCACTTTATTATTGTCCAAAAGACCACCATGATGGTTAAATAGTAGATAGGAGAGCTTTACTAAGTGATACCAGTTTGCAAACCAGGAAGAGATAGTCTCAGACATGGACTGAAGGTGCTCTCTATTCTCTTCAAAGAGGGAAAGGGCAGGTTGGGTTTTAAGCCTCACAGGGTCTGTACTACACAATAGTCATACATATTTAGCGGTTTTGGGGGAAAAACTATACATATTTATGAGGGGAGCCAAGTACATGTGCAATGGGCAAACATATATGTAACATAAATCCCATGTTCACTTTGGGGCAGGTTTCAGCATTAAAATGAGGTGGAATTTGGCTCTTTACATCAAAGGTGAACTGTAGAACACAAAGACGGTTTGTGTGGAGCCTCTATAAACTGGCTGAAACTGGTTTAAGGTCTGCAACTGCTTATCAAAATAGAATGTTTGTAGGCCAGTGGCTCATGCCTGTAATCCCAGCACTTTGGGAGGCCAAGGTGGGTGGATTGCTTGTGCTCAGGAGTTCGAGACAAGCCTGGGCAACATGGGGAGCTCCCATCTCAATTATAAAAAATAAAAAATGTTAAAAAAATAAAGAAAAGGGCTGGGCGCGGTGGCTCACACCTGTAATCCCAGCACTTTGGGAGGCTGAGGCGGGCAGATCACCTGAGGTCAGGAGTTTGAGACCAGCCTGACCAACATGGAGAAACCCCATCTCTACTAAAAATACAAAATTAGCTGGGCGTGGTGGCAAATGCCTGTAATCCCAGCTACTCAGGAGGCTGAGGCAGGAGAATCGCTTGAACCCTGGAGGCAGAAGTTGTGGTGAGCTGAGATCGCGCCATTGCACTCTAGCCCGGGCAACAGGAGCGAAACTCGGTCTCAAAAAACAAAAGAAAGAAAGAAAAGAATGTAAGGCCAGTCCTCTGTCCAATCAGAGTTGTAGTGGTCTGGCTTGTAAATTAGCTAGGCGAGGTCTGATCATTTGCCTGATACCTCCTGTTGTTGAGACAGTTTATCCAGAATGTGGTTTTTCCTATAGCCACAGGAATTTAGGGAGTTGCCATGCCAGCTGCGTTGAACCGTATAATTAACCTTTGTTTCCTTAACCTTAGGTTCTATCTTAGTGATAAAGGGGTGTGTGTTTTGGTTTCTCAGACCATATTACCAGCTCTTTTTAAATATCATTTTTAATGGCTGCATAATATTCCATCAGAAGGATACAGCATGATTTACCTAAACATTTCTCTGTTGTTGGACAATTAGGTTATCTCCAGTTTTTTGTTGGTTTAAATAATACTGAATGAGCATTTTTGTGTACAAAGCCTTTTATGTATTTAGGATTATTTCCTCAAGCAGACTATCCAAGGTAGAATTATGCGTTCTAAATAATAAATATAGAGATAGGTATTTATTAGATATATTAAATTTCATATATTCTTAATATAAAAATGAAGTGAAAAATAGAATAACTTAACAGTGCTCCTTGAATTTCTTTTAGGAGAGGAATTGTCTTTTTGTTTTTTTGAGACAGTCTTGCTCTGTCACCCAGGCTGGAGTGCAATGGCACGATCTTGGTTCACTGCAAACTCCACCTTCCAGGTTCAAGTGATTCTCCTGCTTCAGCCTCCTGAGTAGCTGGGATTACAGGCATGTGCCACCACGTCTGGCTAATTTTTTGTACTTTTTAGTAGAGACAGGGTTTCACTGTGTTAGCCAGGGTGGTTGCAATCTCCTGACCTCGTGATCCAAACTGTCTCTATTAGGAATGTTAACTTAAAAATCACAAATTTGGGCCAGGCACGATGGCTCATGCCTATAATCCCAGCACTTTGGGAGGTCGAGGCGGGTGGATCATGAGGCCAGGAGATTGAGACCATCCTGGCTAACACAGTGAAACCCTGTCTCTACTAAAAATACAAAAAATTAGCCGGGCATGGTGGCGGGCTGTAGTCCCAGCTGCTTGGGAGGCTGAGGCAGGAGAATGGTGTGAACTCAGGAGGCAGAGCTTGCAGTGAGCTGAGATCACACCACTGCACTCCAGCCTGGGTGACAGAGCAAGACTCCATCTCAAAAAAAAATCACAAATTTGGCCAGGCGTGGTGGCTCACGCCTGTAATCCCAACATTTTGGGAGGCTGAGGCAGACAGATCACTTGAGGTCAGGAGTTCCAGACCAGCCTGGCCAACATGGCAAAATCCCGTCTCTACTAAAAATACAAAAATTAGCACACGGCTGAATAGGAACAGTTCCAGTCTGCAGCTCCCAGGGTGATCAACGCAGAAGATGGGTGATTTCTGCATTTCCAACTGAGGTACCTGGTTCATCTCACTGGGACTGGTTGGACAGTGGGTGCAGCCTACGGAGGGCAAGCCAAAGCAGGGCAGGACATCACTTCACACAGGAAGCAGAAGGGGTTGGGGGATTTCCCTTTCCTAGCCAAAGGAAGCCGAGACAGACTGTACCTGGAAAAACAGGACACTCCTGCCTAAATACTGTGCTTTTCCAATGGTCTTAGTAAACGGCACACCAGGAGATTATATGCCACGCATGGCTTGGAGGGTTCCACGCCCACAGAGCCTTGCTCACTGCTAGCACAGCAGTCTGAGATTGACATGCGAGGCAGCAGCCTGGCAGCAGCCTGGCAGTGGGAGGGGCATCTGCCATTGCTGAGGCTTGAGTAGGTAAACAAAGCAGCCAGGGAAGCTTGAACTGGGCGGAGTCCACTGCAGCTCAGCAAAGCCTGCTGCCTCTGTTGACTCTACCTCTAGGGGCAGGGCATAGCTGAACAAAAGTAGGCAGAAACTTCTGCAGACTTAAAAGTCCCTATCTGACAGCTCTTAAGAGCAGTGGTTCTCCCAGCATGGCATTTGAGCTCTGGGAACAGACAGACTGCCTCCTCAAGTGGGTCCCTGACCCCTGTGTAGCCTAACTGGGAGCACCTCCCAGTAGGGGTCGACTGACACCTCATACAGGCGGGTGCTCCTCTGGGATGAAGCTTCCAGAGGAAGGATCAGGCAGCAATATTTGCTGTTCTGCAATATTTGCTGTTCTGCAGCCTCTGCTGGTGATACCCAGGCAAACAGGGTCTGGAGTGGACCTCCAGCAAACTCCAACAGACCTGCAGCTGAGGGACCTGACTGTTAGAAGGACAACTAACAAACAGAAAGGAATAGCATCAACATTAACAAAAATGATATCCACACCAAAACCCCATCCATAGGTCACCAACATCAAAGACCAAAGGTAGATAAAACCACAAAGATGGGGAGAAAACAGAGCAGAAAAGCTGAAAATTCTAAAAACCAGAGTGCCTCTTCTCTTCCAAAGGATTGCAGCTCCTCACCAGCAATGGAAAAAAGCTGGACGAAGAATGACTTTAGTTGACAGAAGTAGGCTTCAGAAGGTTGGTAATGACAAACTTCTCTGAGCTAAAGGAGGATGTTCGAACCCATCGCAAGGAAGACAAAAACCTTGAAAAAAGATTAGACAAATGGCTAACTAGAATAAACAGTGTAGAGAAGACCTTAAATGACCTGATGGAGCTGAAAACCATGGCATGAGAACTACGTGACACATGCACAAGCTTCAGTAGCTGATTCGATCAAGTGGAAGAAAGGGTATCAGTGATTGAAGATCAAATTAATGAAATAAAGTGAGAAGAGAAGTTTAGAGAAAAAAGAGTAAAAAGAAATGAACAAAGCCTCCAAGAAATATGGGACTATGTGAAAAGACCAAATCTACATTTGATTGGTGTACTTGAAAGTGATGGGGAGAATGAAGCCAAGTTGGAAAACACTCTTCAGGATATTATCCAGGAGAACTTCCCCAACCTTGCAAGGCAGGCCAACATTCAAATTCAGGAAATACAGAGAACACTACAAAGATACTCCTCGAGAAGAGCAACCCCAAGACACATAATTGTCAGATTCACCAAGGTTGAAATGAAGGAAAAAATGTTAAGGGCAGCCAGAGAGAAAGGTCAGGTTGCCCACAAAGGGAAGCCCATCAGACTAACAGTGGATTTCTCAGCAGAAACTCTACAAGCCAGAAGAGAGTGGGGGCCAATATTCAACATTCTTCAAGAAAAGAATTTTCAACCCAGAATTTCATATCCAGCCAAACTAAGCTTCATAAGTGAAAGAGAAATAAAATCCTTTACAGACAAGCAAATGCTGAGATTTTGTCACCACCAGGCCTGCCTTACAAGAGCTCCTGGAGGAAGCACTAAACATGGAAAGGAACAACCGGTATCAGCCACCGCAAAAACATGCCAAATTGTAAAGACCACTGTTGCTAGGAAGAGACTGCATCAACTAATGGGCAAAATAACCAGCTAACATCATAATGACAGGATCAAATTCACACATAACAATATTAACCTTAAATGTAAATGGGGTAAATGCCCAATTAAAAGACACAGACTGGCAGATTGGATAAAGAGTAAGACCCATCAGTGTGCTGTATTCAGGAGACCCATCTCACGTGCACAGACACACATAGGCTCAAAATAAAGGGATGGAGGAAGATCTGCCAAGCAAATGGAAAGCAAAAAAAAGCAGGGGTTGCAATCCTAGTCTCTGATAAAACAGACTTTAAACCAACGAAGATGAAAAGAGACAAGGCCATTACATAATGGTAAAGGGATCAATTCAACAAGAGGAACTAACTATCCTAAATATTTGTGCACCCAATACTGGAGCACCCAGATTCATAAAGCAAGTCCTTAGAGACCTAAAAAGAGACTTAGACTCCCACACAATAGTAATGGGAGATTTTAACACCCCACTGTCAACATTAAACAGATCAACGAGACAGAAGGTTAACAAGGATATCCAGGATTTGAACTCAGCTCTGCACCAAGCCAACCTAATAGACATCTACAGAACTCTCCACCACAAATCAACAGAATATACATTCTTCTCAGCACCACATTGCACTTATTCCAAAATTGACCACATAGTTGGAAGTAAAGCACTCCTCAGCAAATGTAAAAGACCACAACAAACTGTCTCTCAGACCACAGTGAAATCAAATTAGAACTCAGGATTAAGAAACTCAGTGAAAACCACACAACTACATGGAAACTGAACAACCTGCTCCTGAATGACTACTGGGTAAATAACGAAATGAAGGCAGAAATAAAGATGTTCTTTGAAACCAATGAGAACAAAGACACAACATACCAGAATCTCTGGGACACATTTAAAGCAGTGTGTAGACGGAAATTTATAGCACTAAATGCCCACAAGAGAAAGCAGGAAAGATCTAAAATCGACACCCTAACATCACAATTAAAAGAACTAGAGAAGCAAGAGCAAACAAATTCAAAAGCTAGCAGAAGGCAAGAAATAACTAAGAGCAAAACAGAACCGAAGGAGATAGAGACACGAAAAACCCTTCAAAAAATCAATGAATCCAGGAGCTGGTGTTTTGAAAAGATCAACAAAATTGATAGACCGCTAGCAAGACTAATAAAGAAGAAAAGAGAGAAGAATCAAATAGACGCAATAAAAAATGATAAAGGGGATATCACCACCAATCCCACAGATATACAAACTACCATCAGAGAATACTATAAACACCTCTAAGCAAATAAACTAGAAAATCTAGAAGAAATGGATAAATTCCTGGACACATACACCCTCCCAAGAATAAACCAGGAAGATGGTGAATCTCTGAATAGACCAATAACAGGCTCTGAAATTGAGGCAATAATCAATAGCCTACCAACCAAAAAAAGTCCAGGACCAGATGGATTCACAGCCGAATTCTACGAGAGGTACAAAGAGGAGCTGGTACCCTTCCTTCTGAAACTATTCCAATCAAGAGAAAAAGAGGGAATCCTCCCTAACTCATTTTATGATGCCATCATCATCCTGATACCAAAGCCTGGCAGAGACACAACAACAAAAAAGAGAATTTTAGACCAATATGCCTGATGAACATTGATGCGAAAATCCTCAATAAAATACTGACAAACCGAATCCAGCAGCACATCAAAAAGCTTATCCACCATGATCAAGTCGGATTCATCCCTGGGATGCAAGGCTGGTTCAACATACACAAATCAAGAAACGTAATCCATCACATAAACAGAACCAACGACAAAAACCACATGATTATCTCAATAGATACAGAAAAGACCTTCAACAAAATTCAACAACCCTTCATGCTAAAAATTCTCAATAAACTAGGTATTGATGGGACGTATCTCAAAATAATAAGAGCTATTTATGACAAACCCACAGCCAATATCATACTGAATGGGCAAAAACTGGAAGCATTCCCTGTGAAAACTGGCACAAGACAGGGATGCCCTCTCTCACCACTCCTATTCAACATAGTGTTGGAAGTTCTGGCCAGGGCAGTCAGGCAAGAGAAAGAAGTAAAGGGTATTCAATTAGGAAAAGAGGAAGTCAAATTGTCCCTGTTTGCAGATGACATGATTGTATATTTAGAAAACCCCATCATCTCAGCCCAAAATCTCCTTAAGCTGATAAGCAAGTTCAGCAAAGTCTCAAGATACAAAATTAATGTGCAAAAATCACAAGCATTCCTATACACCAATAACAGACAAACAGAGAGCCAAATCATGAGTGAACTCCCATTCACAATTGCTACAAAGAGAATAAAATACCTAGGAATACAACTTACAAGGGATGTGAAGGACCTCTTCAAGGAGAACTACAAACCACTGCTCTTTTTTTTTTTTTCTGAGACAATCTCGCTCTGTCATCAAGGCTGGAGTGCAGTGGTGCAATCTCAGCTCACTGCAACCTCTGCCTCCCGGGTTCAAGCGACTCTCCTGCCTCAGCCTCCCAAGTGGCTGGGATTACAGGCGCTCACCACCACGCCCAGCTAATTTTTTTATATATATATACTTTAAGTTCTAGGGTATGTATGCACAATGTGCAGGTTTGTTACATAGGTATACATGTGCCAAGTTGGTTTGCTGCACCCATTAACTCATCATTTACGTAAGGTATTTCTCCTAATGCTATCCCTCCCCCAGCCCCCCACCCCATGACAGGCCCTGGTGTGTGATGTTCCCTGCCCTGTGTCCAAGTGTTCTCATTGTTCAATTCCCACCTATGAGTGACAATATGTGGTGTTTGGTTTTCTGTCTGTGTGATGGTTTGCTCAGAATAATGGTTTCCAGCTTCATCCATGTGCCTGCAAAGGACATGAACTCATCATTTTTTATGGCTGCACAGTATTCCATGGTGTATATGTGCCACATTTTCTTAGTCCAGTCTATCATTGATGGACATTTGGGTTGGTTCCAAGTCTTTGCTATTGTGAATAGTGCTGCAATAAACATACGTGTGCATGTGTCTTTACAGTAGCATGATTTATAATTCTTTAGGTATATACCCAGTAATGGGATCACTGGGTCAAATGGTATTTCTAGTTCTAGATCCTTGAGGAATCGCCACACTGTCTTCCACAATTGTTGAACTAGTTTACACTCCCACCAACAGTGTAAAAGCGTTCCTGTTTCTCCACATCCTCTCCAGCATCTGTTGTTTCCTGACCTTTTAATGATCGTCATTCTAACTCGTGTGAGATGGTATCTCATTGTGGTTTTGATTTGCATTTCTCTGATGACCAGTGATGATGAGCATTTTTTCATGTGTCTGTTGGCTGCATAAATGTCTTCTTTTGAGAAGTGTCTATTCATATCCTTTGCCCACTTTTTGATGGGGTTGTTTTTTTCTTGTAAATTTGTTTAAGTTCCTCGTAGATTCTGGATATTAACCCTTTGTCAGATGGATAGATTGCAAAAATTTTCTCCCATTCTGTAGGTTGCCTGTTCACTCTGATGGTAGTTTCTTTTGCTGTGCAGAAGCTCTTTTGGCTTTTGTTGCCATTGCTTTTGGTGTTTTAGTCATGAAGTCCTTGCCGATGCCTATGTCCTGAATGGTATTGCCTAGGCTTTCTTCTAGGGTTTTCATGGTTTTAGGTCTAACATTTAAGTCTTTAATCCATCTTGAATTAATTTTTGTGTAAGGTATAAAGAAGAAATCCAGTTTCAGCTTTCTACATATTGCTAGCCAGTTTTCCCAGCACCATTTATTAAATAAGGAATCCTTTCCCCATTTCTTGTTTTTGTCAGATTTGTCAAAGATCTGATGGTTGTAGATGTGTGGTATTATTTATGAGGCCTGTGTTCTGTTGCATTGGTCTATATCTCTGTTTTGGTACCAGTACCATGCTGTTTTGGTTACTGTAGCCTTGTAGTACAGTTTGAAGTCAGGTAGTGTGATGCCTCCAGCTTTGTTCTTTTGGCTTAGGATTGTCTTGGAAATGTGGGCTTTTTTGGCTCCATATGAACTTTAAAGTAGTTTTTTCCAATTCTGTGAAGAAAGTCATTGGTAGCTTGATGGGGATGGCACTGAATCTATAAATTACCTTGGGCAGTATGGCCATTTTCACGATATTGATTCTTCCTATCCATGAGCATGGAATGTTCTTCCATTTGTTTGTGTCCTCCTTTATTTCATTGAGCAGTGGTTTGTAGTTCTCCTTGAAGAGGTCCTTCACATCCCTTGTAAGTTGTATTCCTAGGTATTTTATTCTCTTTGTAGCAATTGTGAATGGGAGTTCACTCATGATTTGGCTCTCTGTTTGTCTGTTATTGGTGTATAGGAATGCTTGTGATTTTTGCACATTAATTTTGTATCTTGAGACTTTGCTGAACTTGCTTATCAGCTTGAGGAGATTTTGGGCTGAGATGATGGGGTTTTCTAAATATACAATCATGTCATCTGCAAACAGGGACAATTTGACTTCCTCTTTTCCTAATTGAATACCCTTTACTTCTTTCTCTTGCCTGACTGCCCTGGCCAGAACTTCCAACACTATGTTGAATAGGAGTGGTGAGAGAGGGCATCCCTGTCTTGTGCCAGTTTTCACAGGGAATGCTTCCAGTTTTTGCCCATTCAGTATGATATTGGCTGTGGGTTTGTCATAAATAGCTCTTATTATTTTGAGATACGTCCCATCAATACCTAGTTTATTGAGAGTTTTTAGCATGAAGGGTTGTTGAATTTTGTTGCAGGTACTTGAAAGGAAGAGGGGCTGGGACAGGAGCTTTATGCTGAACAGGTTGGCTAAACATACATATTCTGGCTAATTTTTTTGTGTATTTTTAGTAGAGATGGGGTTTCACCATGTTAGCCAGGATGGTCTCGATCTCCTGACCTCGTGATCTGCCTGCCTAGGCCTCCCAAAGTGCTGGGATTACAGGCGTGAGCCGCCGTTCTTTTTTTTTTTTTTTTTTTTTAAGAGACAGGGTCTCACTATGTTGTCCAGGCTGGTCTCGAACTCCTGCGCTCAAGCAGTCTGCCCCCCTCGGCCTCTGAAAGTGTTGGAATTACAGGCGTGAGCCACCGTGCCTGGCAGAAAATATAGTTTATTCTTTAGGTGTAGGCGTGTGTGACTTAACCCTTACCTGACACGGCCTTAGGTCCTGATTATAATTTGGTATCTTATTGCCATAAAGAGTGCATTCTGTTAGTCTATGATCTCTATTTTAACATTGATGCTGGTCAGATGTTGTGTCTGAACTGCAAAAGGGAGGGAGTATAACCAGGCATGTCTGACCCCCTGACCTGTCATGGCTGGAAACTCAGTTTTTAAGGTTTTTCTGGGGTCTCCTTGGCCAAGAGGGTCCATTCAATTAGTTAGGGGGCTTAGGATTTGTTTTTAGTTTACAGGGGAAATAAGCCTATTAGGGGTAGACAGATCTGCAAAGCATGAGTGTTGGCAGGAACTTAAGCAACAAAGAGATACGGTTAAAATGTCGCTTTCTCTTTCTCCGTAGAAAGCCAGAGGAATTTGTGTTTTCTCCAGAGAGGGTGGGACAGAGGAGAGAATGGTGGGGCAGGAGGGAGAGTTAGTGATTTTGGAGGAGGCTAGAGGGTGCAGGGCCAGTTAGAAAACCTCAGCTGGGGGTGTGGAAAGGACTTCTAAAAACTTCTGAGGGGCCCCCTCCCCCTCCCCCGCTCCCTCTCCCCACGGTCTCCCTCTCTTTCCACGGTCTCCCTCTCATGCGGAGCCGAAGCTGGACTGTACTGCTGCCATCTCGGCTCACTGCAACCTCCCTGCCTGATTCTCCTGCCTCAGCCTGCCGAGTGCCTGCGATTGCAGGCACGCGTCGCCACGCCTGACTGGTTTTGGTGGAGACGGGGTTTCGCTGTGTTGGCCGGGCCGGTCTCCAGCCCCTAACCGCGAGTGATCCGCCAGCCTCGGCCTCCCGAGGTGCCGGGATTGCAGACGGAGTCTCGTTCACTCAGTGCTCAATGGTGCCCAGGCTGGAGTGCAGTGGCGTGATCTCGGCTCACTACAACCTACACCTCCCAGCCGCCTGCCTTGGCCTCCCAAAGTGCCGAGATTGCAGCCTCTGCCTGGCCGCCACCCCGTATGGGAAGTGAGGAGTGTCTCTGCCTGGCCGCCCATCGTCTGGGATGTGAGGAGCCCCTCTGCCTGGCTGCCCAGTCTGGAAAGTGAGGAGCGTCTCCGCCCGGCCGCCATCCCATCTAGGAAGTGAGGAGCGCCTCTTCCCGGCCGCCATCACATCTAGGAAGTGAGGAGCGTCTCTGCCCGGCCGCCCATCGTCTGAGATGTGGGGAGCGCCTCTGCCCCGCCGCCCCATCTGGGATATGAGGAGCGCCTCTGCCCGGCAGCGACCCCGTCTGGGAGGTGAAGAGCGTCTCTGCCCGGCCGCCCCGTCTGAGAAGTGAGGAGACCCTCTGCCTGGCAACCACCCCGTCTGAGAAGTGAGGAGCCCCTCCGCCCGGCAGCTGCCCCGTCTGAGAAGTGAGGAGCCTCTCCGCCCGGCAGCCACCCCATCTGGGAAGTGAGGAGCGTCTCCGCCCGGCAGCCACCCCGTCCGGGAGGGAGGTGGGGGGTCAGCCCCCCGCCCGGCCAGCCGCCCCGTCCGGGAGGGAGGTAGGGGGGTCAGCCCCCCACCCGGCCAGCCGCCCCGTCTGGGAGGTGAGGGGCGCCTCTGCCCGGCCGCCCCTACTGGGAAGTGAGGAGCCCCTCTGCCCGGCCACCACCCCGTCTGGGAGGTGTGCCCAACAGCTCATTGAGAACGGGCCAGGATGACAATGGCGACTTTGTGGAATAGAAAGGCGGGAAAGGTGGGGAAAAGATTGAGAAATCGGATGGTTGCCGTGTCTGTGTAGAAAGAAGTAGACATGGGAGACTTCTCATTTTGTTCTGCACTAAGAAAAATTCTTCTGCCTTGGGAAAAAAAAAAAAAAAAAACTTCTGAGGGGTGAGTTTAAACTGTTTGCCATGTATCATATGACCTCCCCCAGGGCCCAGAGTACCCTAATGTCTTTGTACTCGTCAATGTTTTGTGTGGGAAGGGTGCGGGCAGTCCTTAGGGAGAGCTGAGTTTCCTCTCCAGACTTCTGAACTGTGGTACGCAACAGCCTGGCAAAAGCAGAAACCCAGAGGCAGAGATATTTAGGAGAATATAAATCCCCAGATATTTGCAAATATGTTAAGGGAGGGACTCTGACTTTCACCGTCCATTTTTACCTCAATCTCAAAGGGCAAGGAGGTTGACATCTAAGTTACAAATATAATGCACAAGCATTTCAAAAAGTAGGGGAAAAAAAAGAAAAAGAAAAAGAGAAGCAGAAAGAAGGGGGAAAAAATCACTCATCCCTGCCAGGCACGGTGGCTCACGCCTGTAATTCCAGCACTTTGGGAGGCTAAGGTGGGAGGATAACTTGAGTCCAGGAGTTCAAGACCAGCCTGGGCAACATGGCAAAACCCTGTCTCTACTAAAATTACAATAATTAGCTGGGCGTGTGGCGCATGCCTGTAATCCCAGCTACTTGGGAGGTTGAGGCAGGATAATCGCTTGAACCCGGGAGGCGGAGGTTGCAGCGGGCTGAGATTGCGCAACTGCACTCCAGCAGGGGCGACAGAGTGAAACTGTGTCTCAAAAAAAAAAAAAAAAAAAAAAATCACTCATCCAGATAGCTAGGTGTGGCCTAAGGAGCTTGCGGCCTACGGAAGGTGTGGCCGAAGGAGAGGGGAGGGGTCATCTTTAATGATGATGGAGGGGAGGCATTGGTCATATACCTGAGAGTCAAGCTTTGTTCATCGTCAGATGAAAGCCAACTTCTTCCACCAGATTGCCTCCCAGCTGCTAGGTAGTTTCCTGTGGTACATCTTAAGCGGTAGGTTGGGATAATAGGTCCCTTCCAGGTCTTAAAGATGTGGATTAATAAGAACAGAATTTTCTACAACAATAAGGAGGATGTCCCCTATTTTAGGTGAATAAGCGTATTGCATAAGCACATGGGAAGAAAGGTTAAGAACTCTAAGACCGTAAATTTCCAGTTGTAGAAGCCTCTTGAAGGCGGAAAGCCCTTTTTTGAAAATTATAGGCGATATGATCTCCTCCAGTGGACCTAGCACTGGGTTAAGAGTCTCTCCAGACTTGTCACTGCAAGTCACGTACCTTTTCTAGGACTAAGTTTCTTCACTGGAAGATGAGGAGGTTGCACTAGATGACCTAGAAATTCCCTTCCAGCTTTAAATTCCCTCTTGTGTCACTTGCTGGACTTGTTCTACTGGACCTGGCGCTCCCCTGCTCCTCCCTTAGCTGCTACGTCCGCATCCCGCACCAGAGGGCGCCACAGGCTGGCCCGGGGCAGCGTGCGGTGGGCGGAGAGGCAGAATTAGGGGAGTCTCCAGGAGGCGTGGTGATTGGCCGCCGCCGGGCGGAAGGGGGCGTGGGGAGGGAAAGGCCGAGCAGCGCGGTGACGTCTCGCTGGCGGGGGCGGGGCCGGGCCGCGGAGCGTGTGACGCTGCGGCCGCCGCGGACCTGGGGATTAATGGGAAAAGTTTTGGCAGGAGCGGGAGAATTCTGCGGAGCCTGCGGGACGGCGGCGGTGGCGCCGTAGGCAGCCGGGACAGGTCAGTCCGAGACGAGAGAAGCGGTCAGGCAAGTGGCGGAGGGAAGCGCCGGGCCTGGGCCGAGGCGGCCAGCGGGACTGGGGCGCAAGGCCCGGCGGCGGGGAACGGGGTGCGGGGAGCTGCCGGGGTCCGCGGACAGCGTCACGGCGGCTTCCTGATGCTCCGGCCCGCTCCGGTCAGCCGTCGTGCGTTGCCATGTAGGCGCCCCGCTGACCCTGCGCCCCCCCGCCCTTGGACCCCCATAGCTGCTTGAGTGAGTCCGAAATACGGGCCTCCTTCCACCCTACTCTTTGCCCCCTCTTGGGCCTGGTGGCTTCGTCTTCTCCCACTTGTGAGAACCCCGTCTCAGGCCCGGGGGCCTCTCCCATTCCCCTCCCCTGCCTCTGACCTCTTCCTTCACCCGTTTCTGGTGTTCCTGAATCCACTGCCCTATCTAGCGAGAGTCTTCTCTGGGATCTTTTCCTCTGTCCCCCTCGTTATCCTTGTCTCCTGCCTTCATCCTCCCATCCTTGCTCTCTCAGGCTTTACTCTCTCTCCCCATCCCTGTCCCCTTCTTATCTGTGGTCTGATCCCTCCTAGTATTATGGGTCCCCATCCTCTTCCCCAGGGTGTTCCTAGGCTTTTTCCAACTCCGTGCCTGCAGTCCCTGTCTCCCTAAGACTCTCACCTTGGTTCCCTGAGAGGCCCTGTTTTTGCTCCTTTTTCCGATTTCCTTCGTATCAATTCTGTCCCCTACATTCCTGTCGCCCACCTCCTTTTCTCTCCCTGTTCCTTTCCCCTGCTTCAGGGAGAAGCCTTAGCTCCACACTCTACTCTACTTTCACTTGACCTGCAGTTGACATAACCATGGGGTGGGGGTGGAGGTGTTCAGACCTTGATCGAATTAAGAGGCTGATTGACTAAAGGAAATAACAGATTGTGTGGGAGAATGTACGTGGGTGTTGCATCAGAGATGATGTCCAATTTGTAGGCCATTCTTCTTATCTCAGCTTTAATACTTCCCCTTTATGGGGCTGTTGACTTCCAGGAACCCTTGGGGGAGACGGCGCTGAGCTGGATGTGTGCCACGGGTAGCCGGAGGCTTTGTCCAATTCTTTTCCCCTTCCAGGAACCGGGGTTTTGTGTCTTTCCACTCTGGATGTGTGGAATACACTTATACCATGATACCCCAGCCTCTCTCTGCCCTCACTCCCACCCTCCACCCTGTGCTCCATCCGAAAGGACTAAGAGAATTCTCCAGAAGCTGTGCTCCAGAAAATACTTGTGGTCCTCAACCTTTTTTCTGTGTACTGGCTCCAGAACTTTTTTTTTTCCCGTTTGAGTTTTGAAATAGATTGCTGGCCTGATAGCCCTGGGGCTGGCGGGCATCTGTCCCCTTTTATTATTGGTGGCTTGAAACAGCTGCTGATTTTCTCTCATATCTCTTTGACAATCTTTGGCCAACTGAATGTGCCTCTGATGTTGGTCACTGAACATGTTCTCTTGGAGTCTCTTCTCCCTCTTTTTTCTTTGTTCTTTTCTGAATCTAGGGAATCCAAATTGTCCCTCTTTTTCCCTGGGAGCTTAATTTCCTCTGTATCCAGGAGGAACGGCAATCCCAGAGCTCTGTTCCCTTTGCCCAGGCATAGTATGAGGTATCAGATTGATAACTACCCTGGTGGGCTGTGGGGCTGCAGTAGTTAGACCTTGTCAGGAACTTGAGCAGACACATCTGCTTCCAGTCACATAGATCATCTTCTCTGGGGCTTGAGAGCCCACCACCTTCCATGTGTGTCTGGATGTTTAACCTTACCAAGCAGAAGATTCTCGTCATATCCTTCAGTTTGAGCTCCTTTATTTGGCGTTGGTTCTCTAAAGAAGTATTCAAGAAATAACATATCCTTTGTTTCTACCCAGTCTGATCTTGGAGGATTCTGAAAGCGTGACCCACTCTCATGTTTAGAAATGAAGGCTCATTGTTTCACCTGGCCCCAGGTTTCTAGGGGCTCCTCTTTTGATGATTGTGCTGTCTTTGAGCCAGATTGGACATGGGAGTTGGCAACCTTTAGGAGCTGCGGTGGAGAGCCAAAGGAACCAGCTTGACCAGACTTTAAAGTTTTGTAATCCTCTTGTACACTGTTTTCTGTGAAAGCAATAGGATTGTGGATGGCCTGTTGTTGAGCCAGTCCCTTCTCCACTGACCCCCAGACCCCCTTTGCAGCACTTGCAAAGATTTGGGTAGACTGGACCAGAGGGTTTTCCTTGTTCCTGTGAATAGCATCTCTCCAGGGTTTTAGTGGATCATTCTAAAGAGGTAGAGGTCAAGTGTTGGACAGATTTTTAGTCTAGTCTCTGGCTTTCAAGGACTCCTCCTTACTCTTTTGAGCAGTTTGTTACTTCTGGCCGTGCTTACCCCTTAGTAGTGCTCTCTGCTGTGGTGGCAGGTGAGAGATTTGAGAACAGGTCAAGGCCAGTCCTTGTGGAGCAGCTTGGGCACCAGCAGCCCTAGATGGATAGCTTCTTGCAGTTTGTCCACTCTCATTTTCTGAGAAGGTAGTCATGATTGTCAATTACCAAATTCCTTCCCCATTCAGTGATTTTTGCAGAGTCTGGGTCTGGATTTTCTTTCCTTCTTTCTTTTCTGACACAAGGTTTTGTTCTATTGCCCAGGCTGGAGTGCAGTGGTGCTATCATAGTGCACTGTAACCTCGAACTCCTGGGCTCAAGGGATCTTCCTGCTTCAGCCTCCAGAGTAGCGGGGACTACAGGTGCACACCACCACACTCAGCTAATTAAAAAACAATTTTTTTGTAAAGACAGGCTCTCACAATGTCTCGAACTCCTGGCCTCAAGCAGTCCTCCTCACCTTGGCCTCTCAGAGCACTGAGATTACACTGACTGCTCGTTCAGGTGCCTTTCTCCTTGCCTCTTCACCATGGCCTTCTTGTGTGATATATGCCTTAACCCATTCAGGAAGAATTGCTCCTACTCAGCCTTTCAACCCGACCTGTGGTCCCTTAGACGCCTTCCCTTAGGGCCTGGTAAGAGGATAGACAGTGTAGAGCACTAGCCTGGGAAGCCATTAGGCCTCTGCTTTGGGCCTACAGCTGTCCTGACTGTTGTGCAAGCTGTCTTCAGGGCCTGCAGATTCTGGCACATCCTGGGATAGTGCAGCTCCTCTCTCTCAGGAGTTGGACCTGTCACTTTTTTTTCGTTTTTTTTTTTTTTTTTTTTGAGATGGAGTCTCGCTCTGTCGCCCAGGCTGGAGTGCAGTGGTGCGATCTTGGCTCACTGCAAGCTCCATCTCCCAGGTTCACGCCATTCTTCTGCCTCAGCCTCCTGAGTAGCTGGGACTACAGGCGCCCGCCACCACGCCTGGCTCATTTTTTTTTGTAGTTTTAGTAGAGACAGGGTTTCACCGTGTTAGTCGAGATGGTCTCGATTTCCTGACCTCGTGATCTGCCCGCCTCAGCCTCCCAAAGTGCTGGGATTACAGGCGTGAGCCACCACAACCAGCCTGGACCTGTCACTTCTAAGGGCTTCAGCTATATCCTGTCCCTGAGGCCCACCTCCCTGAGTGCTCTCTGCAGGCTGGGAAGCTGAACAGTGGTGCCTTGCTCCAGTGCCTCTGAAGGGCTTGGAAATTGCAGGACACAGCTTTACTGCTCAGCATTGCCCACACTGGAAACATTCTCTTCCTCCCTACCCAGGTCTCTGTGGGCTTTGTCCGTTCTGCCAGGCCCTTGCTTATATGATGTCAGAAGCCCTGTGCCCGGTGCCATTGTCAATGCCATGTCCCAGATTACCTAATGGCTGCTTCTTGGAGATGGTTTGGTGTCCATGCACATTTTTCTCTGCCGTTGGAGCCAGGGTGAGGAGCTGCTTGCAACAGCTGGATTCCAGGGTGTCAGAGGAGCCCTTGGAGCTTGCCTTGAGCCTGGCAGGGAGAACATGGCCCCTTGCATCAGGTTTCAGACATATGGGTCTTCTTCCTTGGCAGATGGCTCCTAGCCTTCATAACTCAGCAGGCTGGTGATTGGCATGTGACTCCAGTTCATTCTGCAGGGGCTTTGGTGAAGGCATCAACTATGACTCAGGACATCTTCATTTATGAGCTTCTACCCAGCTCCCTTCTTACCTTGCCTGCGCCTTCTGCGCCGACCTGATAAAATCAGCAAAGCCAGTGTCTGCTTACTTGGGAGTGAGCAGACTCCTTCCAGGATTGGGGAAATATTTGCTGACTCAGGCTCAGAATCACATCTCAGGGTGGTGTGTAAGGGACCGACGAGGAGCCAGATTACCTTAGGAACACTCTTTGAGTTACGGTGGGTATAACTTATTAGAGTTGCTTTGAGGGCCCCTGGCACCTGTCAGCTAAAGCTGTTGGGGTTTTTTCTATCCTGCAGTGTTGTACAGTGTTTTGGGCATGCACGTGATACTCACACAGTGGCTTCTGCTCACCAACAGATGAAGACAGATGCACCAACGAGGTAATCCCATTTTCTTTACTCAGGGGTCTCTGACCACCACTGACACAGGATCCAGATTTAAGATCCTGACCTTGAAGATGAAATAATTTCACTAGGGCTTATTCCCAGATTCCAGGTTCCTGTCACAGCATCTGGTACCAGTTGCTTATGCATAGTATAGGCATTTATTAAGTAATTATTGAAAGTCTATGGCTTACATAGTTTTTTCAGGAGCATGGAGATTCCCACCTTTGCGCCCATTAAAAGATAAACTCCACAGGGCAGGGAGTTGTTTTGCTGCCTGTTGTGTCTAGGATAGTGCCTGGCACAGAGGAGATAATGAATAAATTTTTGTTGAATGAGTAAATGAACGAACTTTCGTCTTTGCCTATATGGGTACCTAGGGTGCCAGGCCACAAAGATGGTGTCCATCATTCTCTCTTATTAGGGGGCAAATATATATATATATATATATTTTGTTTGTTTGTTTGTTTTTGAGACGAAGTCTTGCTCTTGTCCCCCAGACTGGAGTGCAATGGCGTGATCTTGGCTCACTGCCACCTCCTTCTCCTGGGTTCAAGTGCTTCTCCTGTCTCAGCCTCCCAAGTAGCTGGGATTATAGGCACCTGCCACCACGCCCGGCTAATTTTTGTATTTTTAGTAGAGATGGGGTTTCACCATGTTGGCCAGGCTGGTCTGGAACTCCTGACCTCAGGTGATCCGCCCGCCTCAGCCTCCCAAAGTGCTGGGATTACAGGCGTGAGCCACCGCACCTGGCCTTTTTTTTTTTTTTTTGAGATGGAGTTTCGCTCTTGTTGTCCAGGCTGGAGTGCAATGCCGTGATCTCGGCTCACTGCAACCTCCGCCTCTTAGGTTCAAGCGATTCTCCTACCTCAGCCTCCTGAGTAGCTGAGATTACAGGCATGCGCCACCACATCTGGCTAAATTTTGTATTTTTAGTAGAGACGGGGTTTCACCATGTTAGCCAGACTGGTCTCAAACTCCTGATGTCAGATGATCTACCCGCCTCAGCCTCCCAGAGTGCTGGGATTACAGATGTGAGCCACTGTGCCCAGCCGGGAACAAATATTTTTAAGTGCCAACTATGTGCCAGGCACTTGGGAAATGATAATAGTAAAAAACAGATCCAATCTCTGCCTCATGGGTCTGTGGTTTGCTGGTATATATGAGAGCTGGCCATAACACACAGAATTGTTTCTTCCATCTCTGCAGGGGTAGGAGGTTCTCACCAAGAGTCTGAACAATGCTCTGGGTTCCCATTGCTGTTTCCATGTTCTCAGGATGCCTGGCAGGTTTTATAAACTCTCAGAAGTGGAGCTCCAGGGAATACAATGTTCATTGTCCTATTTGGAAGGCTGGGTTGTTGTGGGTCCCTGCTGGGGGCCGGGGAAACGTGGGCCTCCTGCCTGATTTGTTTTAATCTCTGAAGTTCAGTGGTTCCAGTAGCTGTTTGTGGGCTTCACTTCCCCTTCTCTGCCTTTAACACCCTGCAGGTTTTCCTGTTGTCAGACAGGGTGGTGAGTCCCTGTGTCTCTCTGTCTGTGGGGGTCAGGTTGTTTGTAGATCTTTCAGGAAGGTCCTGGGTGGGGGGCCCTCCTGCTTTCAAACCCATACCAAGTGCTTTCCTCTGAAGGGAATGTGAGGGAGGAAGAAGGGGGGAGTTTCAGAGACTTCTGAGGTTCCCCAAGAGGGAAGAGGTCAAAGTACCTCCTGAGCGGGGAGAGCTACTGAGTTGAACTGATTTGCTTTGCCATTTGCTTTAGCAGCAGCCAGGCCCAGTGGCAGCAATTGTACGTGCATTTCCAGGGGTCAGTTGTCCAGTTCATCCCTGAGCCTTGAGCTCCCAGTCGCAGGTAGGAACTTCTCTTCTCCTTTCTTTTTTTTTTTTTTTTTGAGACGGAGTCTCGCTCTGTCACCCAGGCTGGAGTGCAGTGGCGCGATCTAGGCTCACTGCAAGCTCTGCCTCCTGGGTTCACACCATTCTCCTGCCTAAGCCTCCTGAGTAGCTGGGACTACAGGCGCCCGCCACCACGCCCGGCTAATTTTTTGTATTTTTAGTAGAGACGGGGTTTCACCGTGTTAGCCAAGATGGTCTCGATCTCCTGACCTCGTGATCCACCGGCCTCGGCCTCCCAAAGTGCTGGGATTACAGGCGTGAGCCACCGCGCCCGGCCTCTTCTTTCTTTCTTGATTGGGTACTGCTATATCACCTAGGACCAGGGGTGTGTCCAATCTTTTGGCATCCCTGGGCCACATTGGAAGAAGAATTATTATCTTGGGCTATACATAAAATACACTAACACTAACAATAGTGATGAGCTAAAAATAAAAATGGCAAAAGAATCTCATGTTTTAATAAAGTTTACGTATTTGCGTTGGGATGCATTCAGAGCTCTCCTGGGCTGCATGCAGTCATGGGCCATGGGTTGGATAAGCTTGGCCTCCCTAGGCAGTCCTCTCACCACAGCCTCCCAAGTAGCTGGGACTACAGGTGCACACCACTGTGCCTGGCTAAGTTTTTTTTTTGTTTGTTTTTGTTTTTTTTTAATTTAATGGGTACATAGTAGTAGGTGTATATTTCTTTTTTTCTTTTCTTTTTTGTTTTTTTGAGATGGAATCTTGCTCTTGTCACCCAGGCTGGAGAGCAATGGCACAATCTTGGCTCCCTGTAACCTCCACCTCCTGGGTTCAAGCGATTCTCCTGCCTCAGCCTCCCAAGTAGCTCAGATTACAGGCGCCCGCCACCACGCCCAGCTAATTTTTGTATTTTTAGTAGAGATGGGGTTTTGTCATGTTGGCCAGGCTGGTCTCGAACTCCTGACCTCAAGTGATCTGCCTGCCTCAGCCTCCCAAAATGTTGGGATTACAGGCATGAGCTACCACACCCGGCCTTGTATGTCTTCTTTTGAGAAATGTCTATTAAAATCTTTTGCCCATCCTTTTATTAGATTATTCGTTTTTTTCCTATAGAGTTGTTTGAGCTCGTTATATATTCTTGTTATTAACCCCTTGTGAAATGGGTAGTTTGCAAATATTTTCTCTCATTCTGTGGGTTGTCTCTTCACTTTGTTGATTGTTTCCTTTGCTGTGCAGAAACTGTTTAATGTGATGTGATCCCATTTGACCATTTTTGCTTTGGTTGCCTGTGCTTGCGGGGTATTGCTCAAGAAATTTTTGCCCAGACCAGTGTCCTGGAGATTTTCTCCTGTTTTCTTGTAGTACTTTCATGGTTTGAAGTCTCAGATTTAAGTCTTTATTTTGATTTGGTTTTTGTGGATGGCAAGAGGTAGGGGTCTAGTTTCATTCATCTCCATATGAATATCCAGTTTTCCAAGCACCATTTATTGAAGAGACTGTCTTTTCCTCAGTGTATGTTCTTGGCACCTTTGTCAAAAGTGAGTTCACTGTAGATGTGTGGATTTGTTTCTGGGTTCTCTATTCTGTTCCATTGGTCTATGTGTCTTTTTTTTTTTTTTTTTTTTTTCTCTGAGACAGAGTTTTGCTCTGTTGCCCAGGATGGAGTGCAGTGGCGTGGCGTGATGTTGGCTCACTGCAGCCTCTGCCTCCCGTGTTCGAGCAGTTCTCCTGCCTCAGTCTCCCAAGTAGCTGGGATTACAGGCATGTGTCACCATGCCTGGCTAATTTTTTGTGTTTTTAGTAGAGATGGGGTTTCACCATGTTGGTCAGGCTGGTCTTGAACTCCTGACCTCAGGTGATCTGCCCACCTCGGTCTCCCAAAGTGCTGGGATTACAGGCATGAGCCACCGCGCCTGGGCGAAAGATGGCTTATTTTGAAGTCAACTTTAGAATATTATAAAACAGCATTCTCAAACTTTTTGGCCTCAAGATCCCTTTAGATTCTTTTTTTGTTTGTTTGTTTGTTTTTGTTTTTTGAGACGGAGTCTCTCTCTGTCACCCAGGCTGGAGTGCAGTGGCACAATCTCGGCTTACTGCAAGCCCCGCCTCCCGGGTTCATGCCATTCTCCTGCCTCAGCCTCCCGAGTAGCTGGGACTACAGGTGCCCGCCACCACGCCCAGCTAATTTTTTGTGTTTTTAGTAGAGACGGGGTTTCACCATGTTAGCCAGGATGGTCTCAATCTCCTGACCTCGTGATTCACCCGCGTCGGCCTCCCAAAGTGCTGGGATTACAGATGTGAGCCACTGCGCCAGTCCCTTTAGATTCTTAAAAATTATTGAAGACCCCAAGGGCTTATGTTTACCATGTTAGAAGTTATAATAGGCCGGGCGGGTGACATTCGTTAATATCACCACTGATCTCATTTTTAAAAAGTCTTTAAGTATTGGGAAGCTGTCGGGCTCACAGTGGTCAATACACGTTTTCTAAATTTGAGTTTTCTCTTGAAAGTTTGATTTTTATCATTGGTAACATACTGTTGGTTCTTTTGTTTGATTTTGTCTGAGATAGCATCTCCCTCAGTCACCCAGGCTGGAGTGCAGTGGTGCAGTCATAGCTCACTTGCAGCCTCCAACTTCTGGGCTCAAGTAATCCTCCTGCCTCAGCGTCCAGAGTAGCTAGGACTACAGGTATGTGCTACCATGCCCAGCTCATTTTAAAATTTTTTGTAAAGATGGTGTCTTGTGATCTTGCTACATCGACCAGGCTGGTCTTGAATTCCTGGCCTCAAGTGATCCATCTGCCTCAGCCTCCCAAATTACTGGGATTATAGGCATGAGCCACCACACCCAGCCTTTTTTTTTTTTTTTTTTTTTTTTGATATGGGGTCTCACTCTTGCCCAGGCTTGAGTGCGGTGGCACAGTCTTGGCTCACTGTATCTAGCCTTGACTTCCAGGCTCAAGTGATCCTTTCATCTCAGCCTCCCAAGTAGCTAAGACTACATGCATGCACCATCATGCCCACCTCATTTTTTAACTTGTTGTAGAGATCAGGTCTCCCTGTGTTGTCCAGGCTGGTCTCAAACTCCTGAGCTCGAGCCATTCATTCCTGCCTTGGCCTCCCAAAGTGCTGGGATTAAAGGCATGAGCCACTGTGCCCAGCCAGTTCTTTTTTGTTTTGTTTTGTTTTGTTTTGAGATGAAGTCTCACTCTGTCACCCAGGCTAGAGTGCAGTGGTGTGATCTCGGCTCACTGCAACCTCCGCCTCGTGGGTTCAAGTGATTCTTCTGCCTCAGCCTCCCAAGTAGCTGGGACCACAGGCGCGCACCCCAATGCCCGGCTAATTTTTGTATTTTTTTAGTAGAGATGGGGTTTCACCATATTGGTCAGGCCGGTCTCGAACTCCTGACCTCATGATCTGCCCACCTCAGCCTCCCAGAGTGCTGGGATTACAGGCGTGAGCCACCGCGCCCGGCCACAAAGAATATTTAAAAGACAGATATCAAAGGTGGAGATTTTAATAAAGTTAGTTTTTATTTATTCATCTAGGACATTCTTAAATTGGCATTTTATTGTCTTTCATGGTTCTGTGGATTAACTGGGCCCAGCTGGGTGGTTCTTGCTTGGGATATGTCATGTTGCTATAGTCAAATGAAGACGGGGCAGGTGTCATCTGAAGGCTCAGCTGGGCTGGGTGTCCACGCTGGCTTAGGCACATGGGTGGCACTTGATGCTGTTGAATGGAGTGCGTATACATGACCTCTCTATGTGCCTTGGGCTTCTCATAGCATGAGAGCTGGGTTCTGAGCAGAAGCATTCCCAAAATGAATGTATTGAGAGATTCAGAAAGAAATGTCAATGTTTCTCATGTCCTAGCCTTGGAAGTTACACAGTGCCACTTCCTCTATTCCCTTGGTCTCAGGACCAGTTCAGATTCAAGGAGAGGACTACACAAGGGTGTGAATACTAAGAGGCGTGATTCACTGAGGAGAGAAACAGGCCTCCTTGGAGACCAGCTACTACTTTTCAGCATCCTTATGTGAGGTAATGTGGTCTTGATACTTCCAAGAGAAAAGCACATCTTCTCATGATTTTCATTCCTGGAAGCTACTGTTAGTTAGGAAATTCCTAATAGGTTGATGGAGGACATTGAATGCTAGGTGAAGGAATTTGTACTCTGTTCTTTGGGCAATGGGGGAGCCATCAGTGGTTTTGGAGCAAGGAGTGGTGGTGTTAATATTGCAAAAAGGTAGATTAGGAATGGAGATAGAGAGGATAGGTAGGGGACTGCAGTGGTCTAAATGTAAGGAAATTCTTCTTCACATTAAATCTGAGTTCCTCTGGTTGCAATTTAAGTGTATTGATTTTGATATTTCAGCCACACAGATTAAGCACCCAGAGCCAGGGTGGAATAACCCATCCCTACCCCATATCCATTTAGGGCTGTTGATGCACAGGAGAGATTAAGAGTTCACAAACTTTAGAAGGCAACTAAATTTAGGTTTTATTGTCAAAGCACATAAAAAGTTAAGCATAAATTATTCAAAAATAAAAAGCAAGAAAGGTGAAACTTCATTTAACACCACTAACCATGTTTCAAATACGCTTCAGTTTCAGTATTATAGAAGCAAGGAGTGGAGCCAGAGGAAGGAATGGGGAGGACAAATTAGAGAATGGTAGGAAGAGGGACAAAAGTAGGGGAAGAAAGGAGTCAGGAGGGGCACACAGCAGAAAGAATTTGAAGGAGGTCAGATTGGAGCAACTACTTGAAGCTGAGAGAAGGCTCCGTATGGGGCTAACATGTTAGCAAAGAGCTGGTGCCTTCTGTGTTTCCCTGAGGCACTGGCTTCTGGGTTTTAGCATCTGGTATCCTCACCCTTTCTTTAATACAGACAGTCCCCAACTTATGATGGTTCAACTTTACAGTGATGTAAAAGCCATACACGGCTGGGCGCATGGCTCACGCCTGTAATCTCAGCACTTTGGGAGGCCGAGGTGGGAGGATCACGAGGTCAGGAGATTGAGACCATCCTGGCTAACACAGTGAAACCCTGTCTCTACTAAAAATACAAAAAATTAGCTGGGCGTGGTGGTGGGCGCCTGTAGTCCCAGCTACTTGGGAGGCTGAGGCAGGAGAATGGCATGAACCCGGGAGGCGGAGCTTGCAGTGAGCCGAGTGCATGCCACTGCATTCCAGCCTGGGCGACAGAGCGAGACTCCGTCTCAAAAAAAAAAAAAAAAAAAAAAGCGATACACATTCAACAGAAGCCCCATCCTTTAGTACTCATACAACCATTCTTTTTTTTTTTTTTTTGAGATGGCGTCTCACTCTTGCCCAGGCTGCAGTGCAGTGGTGTGATCTCGGCTCACAGCAACCTCTGCCTCCCGGGTTAAAGTGATTCTCCTGCCTCAGCCTCCTGAGTAGCTGGGATTATAGGCGACTGCCACCAGGCCTGGCTAATTTTTGAATTTTTAGTAGAGATAGGATTTCACAATGTTGGCCAGGCTGGTTTCTAACTCCTGACCAGGTGACCTGCCCACCTCGGCCTCCCAAAGTGCTGGAATTACAGGCATGAGCCACCGTGCCCCGGTTCTCATACGACCATTCTGTTTTTTCACTTTCAGTACAGTATTCAATTACATGAGATATTCAAAATTGTAACATAAGCTCTGTGTTAGATGATGTTGCCCGTAGGCTCATGGAAATGTTCTGGCACATTTGCAGTAGGCTATGCTAAGTAAGTTATGGTGTTCGGCAGGTTACATATATTACATGCGTTTTTGACTTGTGACGTTTTCAACATATGATGGGTTTGTCCTTATAAGTTGAGGAACATTTGTAGCCATTTCATCGTCTGTGAAGAGGCCTGAGTGGATTTTGTGCTGGAGACCGGTGTGACTCAGCTCCAGTGTTGACTGACCTTCTAACCATGGGCTTGTGACTGAATGTCCTGAGCCTTCATTTTCTTCCCTGTGAGGATTAAAATGAACCTCAGGAAATGCTGGCTTGTCCTCTTTCTGTCAAGCTGGGTTCTGAGGGGGTGAGCCCAGGTAGGAGTGACTTCTGAACCAGCCCAGATTTACAGGCTTGGGCATAGGGAGCCCAGCCTCAGCCTGGGAGCCTCATCTTCCATTAAATAGCTCCTGGCATTCAGGGGAGTGCGTTGCAGCACCCCATTTTTTTTTCATTGAAGTCCTGTCTTCCAGCCAGGCACAGTGAATCACTTGAGGCCACGAGTTTGAGACCAGCCTAGCCATCATGGGGAAACCCCATCTATACTAAAAATACAAAAATTATCTGGGCACGGTGGCGCACACCTGTAGTCCCAGCACACCAGAGTTCAAGACCAGCCTGGGCAACATGGCGAAACCCCGTCTCTACAAAAAATACAAAAATTATCCAGGCGTGGTGGTACATGCCTGTAGTTCCTACTCCTTGGGGGGCTGAGGTAGGAGAATCACTCAAGCCGAGGAGGTTGAGGCTGCAGTGAGCCATATTTGTACCACTGTACTCCAGCCTGGGTGACAGAGTAAGGCCCTGTCTGTAAAAAAAAAAAAAAAAAAAAAAAAAAGTGCTTTCTTCTTCTTCTTCTTTTTTTTTTTTTTTTTTTTTTTTTTTTTTTGAGACGGAGTCTCGCTTTGTTGCCCAGGCTGGAGTGCAGTGGCGTGATCTCGGCTCACTGCAAGCTCCGCCTCCCAGGTTCGCGCCGTTCTCCTGCCTCAGCCTCCCGAGTAGCTGGGACTACAGGCGCCCGCCACCACTCCTGGCTAATTTTTTGTATTTTTGGTAGAGACAGGGTTTCACGGTGTTAGCCAGGATGGTCTCGATCTCCTGACCTTGTGATCCGCCCGTCTCAGCCTCCCAAAGTGCTGGGATTACAGTCATGAGCCACGATGCCCGACCTCTTTCTTATATAATTTTTTTTTTTAATCGGGCAGCCCTCAGAATCACAGCAGATTCAGAAAGACTCCCCAGAAAAGTTCTTTCACTCCTAACTTCTACCCAGCCTCATGGTCACCTCAGCAGCTCTCCTGAGACCGTTACTAAGTTCTCCACAGCTAATGGTAACTCAGCTTGGAAAGAGTTCTCTTGTAGGAGGATGCTGAAGGGAGGTTGCCAAGTGGTGTGGGAAACTGCTTCATGCTTAAGTTCACTTCCATATCATGATACTAAAAGGTATCTAACAGCTGATTTTCATTGCTTTCATTTGTGATCTGCTAGGACCACTTGATCCTTATCACTGCTTTTGGCACACTCCTCATCCAAGAGTTGATCGCAGAGGCAGAGTTCCTTGCCACCAGTCCAGTGGAAGTACAAGCCAACTTTGCTCTCCAAATGGCAGCAGTAGCTGAGCAGGCCGCCCTGCATTCTCTCCTCATAAACATGCTGTTCTCAAGTTTGTCAGAATCCAGAGCTCTCTACTCATTACCCCCTTTTCCAAACAAGCAAGCAAAGCATGCTCTTCCTTTGTTTCCCTTAATTGCCTAAAACATCTCCATGCTCATAGCTGTTGACTCTCTTTGCCTCCTAGTTCCTGTTCCTCTGGTGTAGGATTTCTCAGCCCTAGCACTGTAAACATGTTGGGCTGGATAATCATCTCTTGTATGGGCTGTTTGTGCATTGTAGGATGTTGAGCAGCATCCCTGGCTTCTACACACTAAGTGCCAGTGACACTCTTCTCCCCTCCCCAGCTGTAAAACCCAAATGTCTGCGGACATTGCCAAATGTCTCCTAGGGGGCAAAATCACCCCTGGTTGAGAGTCACTGCTCTATCATTTATTCACTAAATACTGCTGGTCAGCTGGGTCCACTGGCGAACCTCACATCAATAAACCTGGTAATAGAAGCATATTGTTCTTACATTAGAAGTTTACTCTCTTCAGTTATCTCACTGGGCCCTTGAGGGCTTTGGGGAGGAGTGATGGGAAATGGTTTACAATTAACAGCATATTCCAATGAAGAAAGAAAGCATATGATGTCTGCACAACAGAGGAGAGTGTCCACAATGTACAGCTCTTCCCTGGAGCAGTTATGTTTCTCAGGGTGTGCTTTTCCAAGTCATTTTGTGTCTGGTTAGAAGCCACCTTCCCTTAGCATCCAGAGGTGCCATGTAGACTAGGGTTGGTCACAGTGTGTAGATTGCCATTGACCTGCCCATTCCTAGTGTTTGACCTGGTGGTCATGGCACTCTGACCACATCAGTTTTCCTCTCCAAGCCCAGATGGGTTCTCAGAACCCTCCACCCCAAGCTGCACTCATGAGAGGCGGCACTTCTGCCATCCTGATCTAGAGCTTGTTCATGTGGTCCAGACCATTTCTTTGCAGCCCCCTCTCCTGTGTAAAAGCCTTTAGGAAAGTGCAGAGATCCTGATGGATTCCCCTTGACCCTCAGCACGCACATCCTGGTATGTAGTGCTCAGCACTCCGTTGGGGGCTTCAGACTGGAGAAGAGAAAACTGCCCTTCCCTTTCAAGGACATCCTCCAAGGGCCAGAATGCTCAGTTCCGTAAAATTAACTCTCCACTGCCTACTTTTTTTTTTTTTTTTTTAAGACAGTCTCACTCTGTGCCCCAGGCTGGAGCGCAGTGGTGTGATCTTGGCTCACTGCAACCTCCGCCTCCCGGGTTCAAGCAATTCTCCTACCTCAGCCTTCCAAGTAGCTGGGATTACAGGCATGCGCCACCTCACCCAGCTAATTTTTGTATTTTTAGTAGAGACGGGATTTCACTATCTTGGCCAGGCTGGTCTCAAACTCCTGACCTCTAGTGATCCACTTGCCTCGGCCTCCCAAAGTGCTAGTATTACAGTCATGAGCCACCATGCCTGGCCTGCTGCCTATTTAAATAGCAAGCAGTTACAGTTAAAGAAAGACCCTGGCCTGGGGACGCTGCCAAGGCTCCTAATCTGACACTTCTTTCATGTGGACCAGGGATCTGAACTGTGTTTCTTCCAAACTTTTGGAGCTTGCTTCCTTGGTGGTAAGCTAAATAGTGGCCCCCAAAATATACCCCTTTATAACCCCTGTAACCTGTGAATATTATATGACATAATGGACTTTGCACATGTAATTAAATTAAGGATCTTGAGATGAGGGGATTATCCTAGATTATCTGGGTGGACCCCTAAATGCAATCCCAAGTGTCCTTATGAGTGGGGGCCAGAGAGAGAGATTGGACACAGGAGAAGGAGGCAATGTGACTACTGCAGCAAGATGCTACACTGCTGGCTTTGGAGGTGGAAGAGAAGGCCAAAAATGCAACGAACGTAGCTTTGGAAGCTGGAAAAGGCAAGGAAACTGTTTTCCCTTAGAACCTCTGGAGGAAGTGTGGCCCTGCCAACACACTGATTTTAGCCCAGTGAAACTAATTTTGAATTTCTGACCTCTAGAACTGTAAGAGAATAAATGTGTTTTGTTTTAAGTCGCTAAGTTTGTGGTAATGTGGTAATTTGTTACAGTGCAGTAGGAAACTAATACAGGGCTCATCTGCCTCCAGGTACAAGTGGTGGCTTGGCTGATCCCTGTTCTTATTTTAAGGCGTCCCTCTCATGGCACAAGGAGAGCATAGGCCCAGCATTTTCCTGAACCAGTATTTGAAACAATCTGCACTTTGGGGGAACCTGTTGGGGAGTTCTTGGAAGCAAGAGAGAAAGCCTCATATGGTACCCGATCCTTGCTTTGGAACTCTCCCAGCACCTTCAGTGATATCATGAACAAAGAGTTCTTTCAGACCAGTGAGGATGTAGGATTATTAAAATCTGATTCTAATTCCATCTTCCCCTCTCCTCTTCCATTTATTCAATAAATGTTTATTGTGTACCTCCTATGTGCTAGGCACTGGGGATGAAGGGATAAACAAAGCAGATAAAAAATCTCCTGCTCTCGTGGTAACTGAGGTGGGGGAAGTGGAGGGAGCCAGAGTTAAGTCAACAGCATGTGAGATGGCTTCAGATGCTCTCTAGAAAACTAAGCAGAAAGGAGGGTAGTGGCAGTTCCACATAGAGGGCCGGGGAAGGTCTCACCACGAAGGTGACATTTAAGTGGAAAGAGGAGAGTGAACTATTGTGGGAAGAATCTCGCAGGCAGAGGGAAAGCAAGTTCCAAGGCCCTGCACTGGGACACAGCTGAGGTGTTCAACGCATAGCGAGGAGGCCAGCGTGGCTGGACAGAGGGAGGGAGGAGACCAGGAGATGAAGTTAGAGACGAGATTGGTGGCCCTGAAGTGCCATAACAGCTTTTACTTTGCTTGGCATTTTGCCCCTTCTTTCTCCTCTCCTCCCCCTCACACCACCTCACGAGTTTTAGGCCCATGTTCCTCAGTTCCTTTCCATGGGATATTTATCCCATCATACTTAGGGACTACCAGCAGGCAAACATAGTCACTTAAAAATATTAGAAGAGGGGGAAAAAGCAGCCTCCTCTTTCTGAATGATGAAAGCAGTTCCATGGCAGTGTTGGCATGGCACTGTGTATCTAGCAGTGCAGGCTGGCCATTCACCGCGTAGTTCTGGGTGGTTTCTGAGAGGTTCCCCTCCATGGCCTTCTTCAGCCCATGAGGAAGTCCAACCCCCCTGGCCCGCTGTTTCTTTCCATTTCACCCCTCTTGGTCTCCCCAGTGGGACTCCCACAGCTGACTTCTATCCCCACCTGTGTCTAATCCCCTTTCCATGGCTGAGCCGGTAGATAACCTAGTAACGATCTGAGTAGAATATGGCTCCCACATGTTGAATGCATTGTGCTGATCACTACATATATCACTTTGATTCACACAACAACCCTGAGAGGTAGGAACCATTGTACCCCTTTTAGAGATGAGGATACTGAGGCTCAGACTGGTTAGGAAAATTGCCTAAAGTTGCACAGCTAATGAATGGCAGAGCTGGGATTTGAACCCAAGTGATTAAAGCCCATGTCTTTGATCACTACATAGCAGGGCCTTCTAGGAAGGATGGCTGGCTGGATCTAGTTGTTCCAGTTTGGAAAGTACCTGCTTGACTGGCCAGACTGCTGTTGGCTTCAGAAAATAGCAGTCTCTTGTTGGTCACTGAGAAGAGGCAAAATTTTGGCAGGCCTTGGGGCCTCCTGCAGAGTCTCATTCCAGGTCAGTGGACAGAGGAGGCCCTGAGAATAGTCGTGCATACTGGCTCCCTGGATCTGCTCCAAGACAGTGAGCAGCCCCTAGAACCACAAGAGACTGGCCAGCCAAGCTGTGGGCCCGGCCTGTAGGGTGGAAGGAACTCTTAAGAGAAAAAAAAAATCTCTGCTGTGATTAATCAACAGCTTCAGTCTGGTGAAGTGAAAAGAGAAAAGTTGGCCCAGATGTGCACATAGGGAGAGAAATAAGGGAGGGAAATTGCCTTTATTCATGTTCTCCCTTAGGCCAGTCGTTACCCCACGGATGAGATCACCTTCCTTTTACACCAGCCTGCAAGAGGTGTGTAGTGGTAGTCTCATTTTACAGACAAGGTGTAGGATCAGAGAGGTTAACTCGCCCAAGTCAAACAGCTAACAAGTGGTGGAATTGGAATTTGAGCCCTGTTCTTCTCAGTTCAGTAGCCCTGCTGTTCTTGCTGATGTCACCTCAGCATGGGCTCTCCAGGTATGTGCAAATAGTTATGCAAGTGTTGCATCCACAGGCTTGTGAGCAGAGGCTGAAAGGGAGCCAGGGCTCTTGGTACTTGCCCTCTCAACATGGGCCCTGCCTAAGCTAGCAGGACTCACTATACCCAAACCAGCAGTGGCATTATATTTTTCTCTTTTCTTGCACCTTGCCATCCCCGATTTATTTTTAGAGAGCCTTTTCTATTTCTGTTCCCATTTCTTGGCTTGGATGCAGGGGCTGGGGTGCAGGGATGGCGCTAGAAATCAGAAGAGGCAGGCATAGATGGCATCTCACTGGTGGCCTTGGCTGGTCTCTGGGAACTGTGCCCATCTGCCTGCCCTGCTGGCTCCTCCTCAGGCCAGCTGTAGGCCCCAGGGATCATAGAGCTCGGGTAGCTAGAGGCTGGGAGGGCAGGCGAGACAGAGAAACAGCCACACTTCTCATTTCTTTGGCTTCTCAGAGGGGGATGAGCTTCCTCCTGGAACAGAGAAGGGAGTAGCTCACTGCCTGTTTCTCAGGGTTAGGTTACGGACTTCTAGGGAATATGGGGTAGTGCTTAAGAGCCAGACTCTGTGTGGCATGGGGGTGATAACTGTAGACCCTCCACCTCTGGGGATTAAATGAGCTCATACATGTAAAGGCACAGAGGAGGCACTCACTGAATGATGATTGTTTCATTAGTGTCTTTAGACCCTCAGCACCCAGCACCATAGGTGGATGCCAGTCATTATTGGTTAGACCAAACAGAACTTCAAGGCAGCTGGGCATGGTGGCTCACACCTGTAATACCAGCACTTTGGGAGGCCAAGGTGGGAGGGTCACCTGAGGTCAGGCATTTGAGATCAACCTGGGCAACGTAGTGAGACCCAGTGTCTATTTATTTAAAAAAATAAAATAATAATAAAAAAAGAAAAATAACTTTAATGTTATTTTTGTCGTCCTCTTCATCTGAACATTGGCCTGCGTAGGTATTAACCTGAGTCCAGTGATTGTTTGTGGAGCCCCACAGGGTACTTCCCAGTGACAGCAGCCTGGAGTGTGCTCCTGCCAGCCCCTGCCTGGGCCCTGGAAAAGGCAGGGCAGTGCAGCGAGGAATCTTCTGGCCTAAGGATGCCTGTAACCACCAAACCTTATGTTTAGTTTTACACCTTGCTGAGGGTCTGGCTTTTGGATATGAGCTCTGGAGTGGTAGGGGTCTGTGTCCCATGGGGACAGGTGGTTCTGGGTGTTGGGCACGAGGTGATGGAGGAAGGGCCTGCCACTTGCAAGCTGTTTATCTGACTAGTAATAAACAGTGGATGACACCTTTAGGAAACTGTATTTGGGAGCTTTGAAATTAATCAGATGCCACCAATGGCATTTTTAATTTAGTTAAAAATGTTTTAGTTATATAAATAATGCTCATTCGTTATAGATGATTAGAAAATACAGATAAGCACTGAGGAGAAAAAAGTAATATATTATCACACATAAGTGGCTGCTTTGATATATGATTTTTTTTTCTTACCTAGGTTCTTTTCAAATTGTGTATACCTAGTTATTTTTTCTGTCTTTCGAAATGGGATGCTGTTTAACATTTAGTTTTGTGACTTGCCTTTCCCATTTTTCAGGTGGTTTTGTGGTGTCTGCTTGTCCTCCGACCTCCTCTCCCATTTGTGGGAAAGGCATTTGGCCTGGAGGGAGGCACTTGGGAAGAACTGTCTGGTTGTTCCTTGATGTTATTGCCAGACTTGCAGAGGGTAGAGAGGTGCATGAAGTCTTACTCTGCCTCTCCCCATCTGTGTCTCTCCCTGTCCCTGTCCAGCGCCCCATCTGCTCTGCCTACTCACCACTCCTGCCTTTTTTTTTTTTCCTTCCATACAAATCCAGAAAAGGATACCACCTCCAGTCTGAAGGTTTCTTTCTATGGCTTTTAGGGATGAATCTCTCAGGAGTTTAGAAAAAAAGATGCACAGACAGTATATAGGAAGGGTAATGCCAGGGCTGGGGGTGGGGGTCTTGGGAAGAGCAACTGAGAGGAGGGCCTGGGTCCCTGGTGCTGTCTTGAGTCAGTGAGAAGAAGCTGCGTGGGTGATGGGTTGGGGCGGGGTAGGCAGCAGGTGACTGCAGGGACCTCTCTGAAACAGCAAGCAAGCTGGCCAGGAAGACGCCTGGAGAATAAGGGGCCCAGATAGGGGCCAGACATAGGGGAGAAGAAAATGTGTCTCAGTGGCACCTGCTCCTCCACCCTGGCCCCACTCTTTCCATGATCTTTCCAGAGATTCTCTCTTTTTCTGCCTGATCTGCTTCCCTCACCTGGCAGTGCCCAGCCCCAGTAGTTTGACACATCTGGTATATCTGGCTACTGTGCTCTACTGACACCTGTGTGGCAGCAGCTGCACAGCTTCTTGGCATCTCCCTGGGCAGTAGGCAGGGATCCGAGCATAGAGGAAGATGTTCCATGCATCAGTAACTCAGATTCCGTTCCAGAAACGCATCTCAAAGCAAGGGAGAAAATTGAAGATGGGGTATTTTGTGGGGAACAAGCTATGCCTTCCTGTCACTTCTTACAGAATAAAATGGGGTCTCTGGCAGTAGGCAAGGAGAAGGCCTTTCTGAGCACTGAGGGTCAGTGGCTTCTCAGGTCTTTTCTGGGCCACTTTGGCCTGCACACAGGTTGGGCTAGGAATTCATGCTTAAAAGCAGGCTGATTTCCATAGGCTGTGCGTTCCTGTGGGCCTGCCTGGATCATATCTGTTCTGCTGTGATCCCAGGCCTGGTGAGACCCACTGGCTTCCTGTACGTCCCCTCAAAGCCTGCGCCACCGCCTCTCCCTTCACCACTCCCAAGCTATAATTAAGTTCCCATGTGAAACTGTATCCCTCAGCTGACACACGCTTGTAACTACAGCCCTGGCCATTGGACGGCTCATCTGGGGTGACTTCTGGGGCTGGTGCCTCAGCCTCCAGACGCTCTCCAGTAGGTCTGAGTAGGTGGTGTGGACCCACCAGGAAAGGGTGGATCCAGTGAGGCGGGGGCCAGGCCTTGCCCAAGAGTCAGAAAGTGGGAAGTCACGGGGGAGATGAAGGGCGAGTGAGCAGCTAGAAAGTGCCAGGGGACACAAAAATGGGGGAGACAGGCAGCCTTTTGGGGCTGGAGGGCATGGACAGGGTGACTGATGCCTGAGCCACAGGCAGAATGTGAGCAGTTTATTTTATTTTATATTCTACATATTTTTATAGCATAAAATTAAGATATAGTTCACATAACCAAATTCACCACTTTAAAGTGTGTACTTTGATGGTTTTTGTATATTAACTGTGTTTTATATATTATATTAAATTAATATATTTATATATTATATTAACGGTTTTATATATTATTTTAGCTGTGTTGTTTATATATTATATTAACTGTGTTCTATTAACCACTAATTCCAGGACACTTCTATCACCTAAAAAACCCTTTACCTGTCAGCAGTTACTCCATCCCTTGGCTGCTAATCTACTTCCCTTCTCTATGGCTTTCCCTATCCTGGACATTTCATATGAATGGAATTATATAATATGTAGCCTTTTGTGTCTGAACAATTTCACTTAGCATGTTTTCGAGGTTCATCCATGTTGTAGCATATAATAGTACTGTATTCCTTTTTGTGGCTGAGTATTCCATTGTGTGTATATATTCCATTTTATTTATTGGTAAATTGGTGGACATTTGGGTTGTTTCCATTTTTTGACTGCTGTGAACATTCATGTACAAGCTTTTGTGTGGACATATGCTTTAGGTTCTCTTGGGAATATACTTAGTGAAATTGCTGGGTCATATAGTATTCCATGTTTAACTTTTTTTTTTTTTTTTTTTTGAGACGGCATCTTGCTCTGTTGCCCAGGCTGGAGTGCAGTGGCACGATCTTGGCTCACTGCAACCTGAACCTCCCTGGTTCAAGCAATTTCCCTGCCTCAGCCACCTGAGTAGCTGGGATTACAGGTGCATGCCACCACGCCTGGCTAATTTTTTTTTTGTATTTTTAGTAGAGACGAGGTTTCACCGTGTTGGCCAGACTGGTCTCAAACTCCTGACCTCAGGCAATCTCCCCGCCTTGGCCTCCCAAGTGTTACTCTTTGTTTTTTGTTTGTTTTTTTTTTTGAGACGGGGTCTCACTCTGTCTGGAGTGCAGTGGCGCGATTTCGCCTCACTGCAACCTCCACCTCCTGGGTTCAAGTGATTCTTCTGCCTCAGCCTCCCGAGTAGCTGGGACTACAGGCGCATGCCACCATGCCCAGCTAATTTTTTGTATTTTTAGTAGAGACGGGGTTTCACTGTGTTAGCCAGGATGGTCTCGATCTCCTGACCTTGTGATCCACCCGCCTCGGCCTCCCAAAGTGGTGGGATTACAGGCGTGAGCCACCGCGCCCGGCCCCAAGTGTTACTCGTTAGGCAGATACCTGATACCTGTCTGCTATACTCACTGGTCTGCACCTTGCTTCACTTATTATATCTTGGCCATCTTTGCATACCAGACATGTAGAGCTTCCTTATTCTTTTTTTTTTTTTTTTTTTTGAGATGGAGTCTCGCTCTGTCACCCAGGCTGGAGTGCAGTGGCGCGATCTCAGCTCACTGCAAGCTCCACCTCCTGGTTCACACCATTCTCCTGCCTCAGCCTCCCGAGTAGCTGGGAATACAGGTGCTTGCCACCACACCCAGCTAATTTTTGTGTGTGTGTGTATTTTTAGTAGAGACAGGGTTTCACCGTGTTAGCCAGGAAGGTCTCGATCTCCTGACCTCATGATCCGCCCGCCTCGGCCTCCCAAAGTCCTGGGATTACAGGTGTGAGCCACCACGCCCAGCCCCTCATTCTTTTTTTTTTAACAGTTGGCTCATCCATTGTATGGATGTGCCAGTCTCTTCTTTTTTTTTTTTAGACAGATTTTTGCTCTGTCACCCAGGCTGGAGTGCAGTGGCATGATCTCGGCTTACTGCAACCTCTGCCTCCTGGGTCAAGCGATTCTCCCGCCTCAGCCTCCTGAGTAGCTGGGATTACAGGCATGTGCCATCATGCCCAGCTGATTTTTGTATTTTTAGTAGAGACAGGGTTTCACTTTGTTGGCCAGGCTGGTCCTGAACTCCTGATCTCAAATGATTTGCTCATCTCGGCCTCCCAAAGTGCTAGGATTACAGGCGTGAGTCACCATGCACGGCCTGGATGTGCCATTCTCTTATTCATTGATGAATGTGCAGGTGACTTCTAGTCTTTTTTGGCAATGAATAACCTTGTCATTTTACACACAGATAAACAGATTGACAATGCTTCTGTGTGATAGGTGCAGTAATGGAGATAGACACTGGGGAACTAGGGAAGGCTTCCAGAGGATAGTTAAGAAAGGCTCAGGGTGAGTGAGCGCTGGTATCTGAGTGGGCCTTGCAGGCCTGGCAGAATTTCAGCAGGCTGAGATGTTGTAGGAAGGGCAAATATGACTGAAGAAAAGAACAACAGCTCAGGTGTGACAGGGGAAATGAAGAGTATTAGTTATCTATTCCTGCATAACAAATTACCCCAAAACTTAGTAGCTTAAAACACTATCTCGCAGTTTCTATGGGTTAGGAGAGATTTACACAAATATGTGAATACCAGAAGGTGAGGATTGTTGCCAGCCATTTTAGAAGGCTGACTCTAATAGCAAGTTGCAGTAAGGATAGGATTGGCCAAGGCAACAGATGGAGCCATGATTGTGGACAATCTTACATACTTAGCTGAGAGGTTGTCAGAGATTGATCTGAGAACAGTGTGAGCCATGGAAGGTCTTTGAGCAGGAGAATAATGTGATAGTTGCTATACAGGACAATTAATCTGATAGCATTTATGCTAGAGGGGTCAAAATGGAGAGAGATACACAGGCAGAGGCCTAGATTAGGAGATGGCTATAGTAGTACAGGTGAGAAATTCCTGGCCTGTAGTACTAAATACTTTTTTTTTTTTTTAAGACAATCTCACTCTGTCACCCAGGCTGGAGTGCAGTGGCATGATCTCGGCTCACTGCAACCTCTGCCTCCCGGGTTCAAGCAATTCTAGTGCCTCAGCCTCCTTAGTGGCTGTGACTACAGGCGTGTACCACCATGCCTGGCTAATTTTTCTATTTTTAGTAGAAATGGGGTTTCACGGTGTTGGCCAGGCTGGTCTTGAACTCCTGGCCTCAAGTAATCCACCCACTTTGGCCTCCCAAAGTGCTGGGATTATGGGCGTGAGCCGCTGCATCCGGCCTCTGTATTAAATACTTTAGCTGCATATTCTTTCTTCGAAATGACCACAAAAAGAAGGTATTACTGATTAATATGCATATGGTCTTGCGTATGGCCAGACTTATGACTTGCGTATGGTCATAAAGGTAGTAAGTTGCAGAGCAGCACTCAGACCTGCCTGGCTTTGATGACCGTGCCTTGATGGCACTGGAAGTGGAAAGGTGGGGGTGACTGGGGAGGTGAGGTTTTGTCCGTTCCCTGGATGCTAAAAGGAAATGGAGGAGTGTAAGAGGTTGATTCTTTGAACCTGGATGGCTGGGGCAAAGATAACACTGTAACAGGAAGAAGAGAGGCCGGAGGGAACACTGATGTGATGGGAGAAGGTGAGTGATTTGGGAACATGGGGCATTTGTTGGCAGGGTCCTTCCCAATTATAGGGCGAGTATAAATAGTTCCTGTGCTTTGTGTATGAAGAGGTACCCTTGGCCCAAAAAGACTCTAAATGTGGAAAAAGGATATGGTGGTGTGGTGGTGGTTTGAACATTGGGTTTGCGCAGATAGTGATGGTAACTGGCACTGGCCTGCGCTTCAGACTTTCACAGCCCGTTCACTTCTGTTGAAACTCACACAACCCTATTCAGGTTATCATCATTCCCTATCTGATTGATGAGGAAACTAAGGCTCAGAAAAATCCATTTGCTCAAGGAGAAACAGTGTTTCAGTTACCTACTGCTGTGTAACAAATCACCTGTGAAACTCAGTAGTTTAAAACAACCACCATTTATCCTTTCTCTTGATTGTGTGAATTGGGTCCAGATGCTTGGTTCTGCCCCACATGATGTCGGCCAAGCTTGCCCATTTGTCTGTGTTTAGCTGCACTGTAATGTCCAAGGCAGCTTCTCTTTGCATGGCCTCTAATCCTTCAAGAGTCTATCCTGAACTTCTTGCAGCATGGCATCTGGGGGCCAAGACAGTGGAAGCCAGTCGTGTTGAGGCCTGGGCTCACGTCCCAGAACATCACCTCAATCATGTTCTATTGGTCAGAGCTGTCACTGGGCCAGCCCAGATTCCAGGTTGGGAACTAGACGCCACCTCTTGATGGAAAGAGTGGCAAAAGGTTTGTAGCCATATTTAATCCACAGACAGCCGGTAGTGGATACCTGGATTTGAACCCAGATCTGTGTGACTCAGACTCACAGTCTGTCATGCCATACTGCATCCCTTTCTGCTTCTGGTTCCTTGGGAGTTGCAAAGCTTGCTGGCTCTTTTGTGTGGTTGGAGAGGGCTGATTTTTCTTGTGGTCTCCCACAGTGGAAGTTGTACTAGTCATCCCCCTTTTCACAGATGAGCATCCAAGATCACTGTGTCTTAGGGAACCTTCCAAAATAGGTTTGCTCTAGGGATTTGCTAGCTTCCCCCAAGCTTCAGCAGTGATAGCCAGACATGCATGGAATTTCCCTGTGGAGTTTCCCTTTCTGCGCTTAGTGGCCTTTTGATGCACAGTGCTCACTGGGTGGGATTCCTGCTGCATTGTAGCCAGATGTGGAGGCTAGCCCTATTTTGAGTTATCCCAGATGGTATCCAGCCCAGTGAGTCCCATACTTGACTCAACTGGCATATTCACCAGGGAGTTTTGGGGAAAATGTAGATTCCTGGGCCTTCCTCATGCCTATTGAATTAGAATTCCCAGGGATGGCGTCCAGGAACCTGCCTTTAAAGCTCCCCATTGATTTGGGAGTACAGCCTGGTTGGGAAACCAATGACTTCCAGAGGCTGGCACCCTCCCTCAGCCCAGTCATTTCAGAAAGATGCCTTTGAAGTCACTGATCAGAGGAGGCCACATGGGAGAGAATGATTTGTCCAGAGGGCCTCACACTTCACAACCAGGAAGTGACTCCTGAAAGTGTCCAGGAAGTTTCTATTTGAATCTGCTCAAATCTTTGATGTTGTTTTGCATGCTTTGATAGTATCTGAGCTTTATGGTGGCCTCTGGGTGTTTTTCTTTGAAAGTGTTTGCAGAGAGTAGCAAGCTCTTCCAGCAGTCAGCAGACACTCCCTAACCAGGAGCTACTTGGTCTGATTTATTTGAAATATGAAATTCCTTTGCTTGGCTGTCTGGTTGGTATCTTTGGTGTGAAGAATATGACAACCCTAGAGATACCTAGGTTAGCACAGCAGTTGGACCTTTCTAGTCTTGTGCCTTGGACATACTTAAGGTACACTTGGAAAAGTAGATTTTAAAACCCTGGATAATTTGGTTTGCCAGTTAAATAAACTTCTATATTTTAGAATATTTGGAAAATAAAGATAAATATAAGGAAGACCATAAAATTACCTAGAACTTTCCTCTCAGAGAATTTCCACGGTTAATGTTTTGAATGGCTATTCATCCTTCCCCTCATGACCCTTCACACCCCCTCTTTTTGAAAACCATATTGAAGTCATATTGAATGTTACTTTTTAGCAGTTTTGTTGAGATGTAAGTCATAAAGTCCACCTGTTGACAGTGTGCAATTTGATGGTTTTTAGTATTTACAGAGTTGTACAACCATCACCACAATCTAGTTTTAGAACATTTTCTTAGTCCCAAAAAGACATCTTATAATCCATTAGCGTGCATTCCCGCCTCGATGCCCCATCCCGCCCTTACTCCAGCCCAAGACTACCACTCATCTGCTTTCTCTACGTACAGATTTACCTGTTCTGGACATTTCATATAAATGGGATCATACAATATGTGATCTTTTGTGATTGGCTTCTGTCACTGGACATAATCATGGTACTGTTTTGAAACCTGCTTTAAACATTTATATCCTAGCAATTTGAATATAGTTTTCAAGAATGCACTTTTAATAGCAGAGCGGTATTCATTCTTATGAGAATATCTAATCTTATTTAATCAGTCCTGCCAACAGACGTTTAGGTTATTTCTCATCTTTTGCTCTTATAGCCAGTGCTCTCTGCACTCAGAAATTATTTTGTTGATTTATTGGTTAATTGTCCGAATCTGTGACTAGAACAAAAGCTCTTTGAGAACAGTCACCTTCTCTGTCTCCCCTACTACTTGGCATAGTTCCTGGCACTTGGTAGGTATTCAGTTTTTAAAGGATGTGTATGTGTGTATATGTGCAAATTTTGAATGAATCAAAATGTAAGGATATTAATAAATGTTGCCATATTGCCAAATTCTAGAAAGTTGTACTAATTTACCCTCTCACTGCAGTATAAGGGTACCTGACTCCCTGTTCCTTTGAATCTGGGTTAATTTGTACAGGAAGTCCTGTGATCTTTTGAATGATGATATTCTCTGACCTGTCAACCAGTTAGTTTGGGAATTGATGCTGTCTGTGTCCTGACCCTGTCTGTGGGCCAGGAAGGGTCTGGCTGTTGGGAAAGATGGTGGTGTGTGGGAGCTCTAGCTGCCCGGGTCCTCATTGTGGCTCCGTGGTATTGTATCGTTTCCTGTTGCCCTTAGAAAGGCTGCATCGTGTTGTCTGGCCACTTCCTCTATTGTGTGCAGGCATGTTGGGGAGTGAGTAGAGTTGGGTGGATAAAGTATGTGTAAGAAGATACTGGTTATGGCTGCTGATTGGAGTGCCTTTTGAAGTCGTCAGGAGAGATGTCACTCTGGAAGTTCAGTGTCTTCAAAAATAGAAATGAAGAAATGCTTCCAGGAAGTCTGATGCAACTGGCCCAGTCTGCCCCCATCTGAGGGTGGTGGGCACCCACATGGCTGGTAAACGCTTCATGAGTCACCCACTGGCCACAGTCCCTGCTCCTCTCCACACACTTCCTGTCTGGAAAAGCCTGCTACCCGCCCATGGTGAAGAGTCACCCCAGAGAACTTGCCAGGGATGCAGGGCAGGTCTTCCCAGGTCACAGCAGCAGCCTCTCGCTCATGGGTTTCACAGCAGTTCTTCTCCCCAAGATGAGTTGTGGTAACTGCTTTTTAGATAAATATGTGGAATGGATGGTTGGGATTGGAAAAAAAAAGAGCGGCTAGATGGCAAGGCAGCTCTTGTGTGTAGCAGGGAGCTCACACGAGCCCCATGGTGGGGCAGTTAAGGCCCCAGAATTCACCTTCTCCAGCAGCTGGCTGCTCATTCTTTTCTTCTTCTCGTGGTTTTCCCATCACATTTCCCTTGGGGTTTCTTCCAGGCCTTCCCCTACTCACCCCACACCCTCTCAGAAGATGCTGCCTCATGTAACTTGGCCAAGCTCTCAAGCATTACAGATGCCTTTACCTTCTTTTCTTTGCATCTTAGAAATCACTCACATGTTGGTCTCTCTCACATAATTGCTTTTTATTATTACTTCAGCGGTTGCCAAGTGCCTACTCTATGCCTAGTACCTTGTTAGACTCGGGAATGATGCAGAAGAAAGAGACTGGACCCTGCCCCCTAGGAGGGTAAATGTCTGTTCTCCCATGGCCTCTGTTTCCCTTCCTCTCTGACTGCGCCTTTGCTGCCCTGGTTCCTCTTCCTCTTTCCGCTGCCTGAGTGTCAACATTCTTCAGGCTTCTGCCCTCTCTCCTCTCCCTCCACGCGCTTGTCCCTTCCTGTGGCTGTGACCATCTGCTCTTATAGCTACCAAATACTAAAGTTCTTTTCTCCTGAAAACCAGGTCCCTGTGTCCACCTGCCTGCTGGAGTGTGCAGCCTTAAAAGCAGAGTCCATCTTTGTCTCTGCTCTTTGCATATCCCCTTTCTGTTAATAATCCGTCATTCTCTCAGTTTCCCGGAGCCTTACTGACAGCTTTAAACCTCATTCCTCTGCCATGCACAGGTCGTTCCTCCCGTTCTTTTGAGTGTTTCTCCCCACTGATTTTCCTGCCTGTAGTGAGTTGGATGGTTGCCCCTCCAAAAGATATGTCCAAGTCCTAACCCCTAGAACCTGTGAACATGACCACCTTGTTTGGAAAAAAACTCATTGCAGAGATTCTTTCCTATGCTGCAGACGTACATGAACCTGTGCTCATTGACCTCCTCTCTGGGCCTGGCCTTGTTGGTCTCTGGCTTGAAATAGTGACTGTACTTCTAGTCCACACAGTGATTACATATTTATTACTCTGTTTGAGCTCCCCTAGTCCAAAGGCAAAGTTCACTGCCTGCCCTTTCCACTAACTCCTAGGTCAGACTTGCTAGGTTGTGTGCACAGCAGCTACAAGTGTGGTTTCTAAGGTGGGTCTGGGTTTGAATCCTGGTTCTGTCATTTATTAGCCAAGGGCCTTTGACAGATTGTAACCTTTCTGGGCTTCAGTTTCCTCTTCTGGAAAATGGAGCTAATGGATTGTTGTGAGAATTAGATTGCATAGTGTCTAGCACTGTGCCTGACACTCTGAGCTTTATTTTTATTTATTTTTATTTTTTGAGACGGAGTCTCGCTCTGTTGCCTAGGCTGGAGTGGAGTGGCATGATCTCGGTTCACTGCAACCTCCACCTCCCAGGTTCAAGCCATTCTCCTGCTTCAGCCTCCCGAGTAGCTGGGTTTACAGGCTCCCGCCACCATGCCCGGCAAGTTTTTGTATTTTTTAGTAGAGACGGGGTTTCACCATGTTGGCCAGGTTAGTCTTGAACTCCTGACCTCAGGTGATCTGCCCACCTTGGCTTCCCAAAGTGCTGGGATTACAGGTGTGAGCCACCACGTCCAGCCCACTCTGAGCTTTATAACCAGAGAGATGCTGTGGCTAGCCAAATCGCTCAACCTATACTTGGAGGATCCCAAGCTTGGATGAGTGTAAGAGCTGTGACTTAAATCCAGCCTACTTGTATGTCATTCTGCCACAGTTGTCTTTGTCTCTCCACAGTTTGTCCTGGAGCTGGGCATGGTGAGGGCTAAGACAATGGATTACAGAGCTACAGGTCTAGGAGGGCATGTGGAATTATGCCTATATGAGATAGATGACAAAGTGGGTAAGAGCATGTGCTCTGGAGTTAGACCTGGGTTCAGATTCAGGCTCTATGACCCTATCTCAGTGACCTTGGGAAACTTTTCTTTGCATCTCTGGGTCTCAGTTTTCTCATCTGTAAATTGGGAATAACAATGGTTCATACCTGTCTTAGTCTGTGCTGCTATAACAAAATTCCTGAGATGGGTAATTTATAAACAAAAGAAACTGATTTCTCACAGTTCTGGAGGCTGGGAAGTTCAAGATCAAGGCATTGGCAGACTTGATGTCTGGTGAAGGCTGCTGTCCACTTCCAAGATGGCACCTTGTTGCTGTGTCCTCCAGAGGGGATGAATGCTGTGTCCTTACATGGCAGAAGGGTGAAAGTGGCCCAGCTAGTTCCCTGGAGCCCTTTTATAAGAGCACTAATCCGTTCCTGAGGGCAGAGCCTTCATGACCTAAACACCTCCAAAGGCCACACCTCTTAATACCGTTGTATTGGGGATTAAGTTTCAACATGAATTTTGGAGGGTTCACAACATTCAAACCATAGCAATGTCTTATAGAGTAATCGGGATGATTAAATGAAAGAATGCCCATAAAACATTGAACACATGCCTGACTCTTTGTAAACAATAATTATTAGGTATCGCTATTATAGAGACCAGCTTCTGCTGTGGAGAGTGTTAAGTGCCTTGATGCCACAAGCCACTGGACACGCAGCTGCATGGATCAATGTACCCCTGTAATTATGTAACAAGGGGACATGGAGAAAAAAACATTTCCAATGTTGCCTCCTCTGTAACATGATTGTACCCCTAAACTGCACAGAGGAGCTTTCTGTTCTTTGAACTCCATAGCTGTTGGTACGTCTCTTGTGGGGTTTGCCATAGTCTGTCTTATACTATGACTGTTCTTCACTCTACGGTACATTTCTTTCTTTCTTTGTTTCTTTCTTTCTTTTTTTTTTTTGAGACAAAGTCTCCTTGTGTCATCCAGGCTGGAGTGCAGTGGTGCAATCTCAGCTCACAGCAGCCCTGACCTCCCCAACTCAAGCAATCCTCACACCTCAGCTTCCCAAGATGCTGGGACTGCTGGCATGTGCCACCACACCTGGCTAATTTTTTTTGTATTTTTTGTAGAAATGGGATTTCACCATGTTGCTCAGGCTGGTCTTGAACTTCTGGGCTCAAGCAGTCCACCCATCTCAGCCTACCAAAGTACTGGGATTGCAGTGTGAGCCACCACGCCTGGCCTACTGTATGTTTCTTGAGGTCAAGATTGGGCACTGGGTAACTGATTACTTGAATTGAACCTTGGGATTCAGCCAGTGAAAGTGGTCCACCTGGCAGTAGTGAACCTCTGGCTCCTGACCTCTGCTGCTGGTGAATCTGTTTCTCCTATGGCTGCACAGACACAGGGTTTCCTGCCTCCAAAGAGCTTTTCCACTCTGTACATGGGACCTGAACCGGCTCCAGAAACCTTGGAGCCTGGCACCACTTTTCACATCACCCAGCAGGAGCAGAACTTAGATGGACCAGGCATAGATGGGAAACATGGGTTTATTGCTAAGGTCATGGTTAGTTCTCGGCGGTGGGGCGGGGGGGTTTAGTGGGCAATTGCTTTTTGGATTTTTGTTTTGTTTTAGAAGTAAAAAATATGGGCCAGGCGCGGTGGCTCATGCCTGTAATCCCAGCACTTTGGGAGGCCGAGGCGGGCGGATCACAAGGTCAGGAGATTGAGACCATCCTGGCTAACACGGTGAAACCCCATCTCTACTAAAAAATATAAAAAATTAGCCGGGCATGGTGGCAGGCACCTGTAGTCCCAGCTACTCGGGAGGCTGAGGCAGGAGAATGGCGTGAACCCGGGACACAGAGCTTGCAGTGAGCTGAGATCGCGCCCCTGCACTCCAGCCTGGGCGACAGAGCGAGACTCTGTCTCAAAAAAAAAAAAAAAGAAAAGGAAAAATATGTACATTTTTAATAGTGGTAGTAAGAATTTTCTGTAACTACTTACGGGACATCTTCACTGAGGGGTCTCCAGAGCTCCTAAAACTCAGCACTCCCCCAGTGATTCTTACATTTTCCTGCCAGACTTGCTCTTCTTCCCACAATCCCCACCTTAATGGAATCATCCACATCCCCCTGGTCACCTGACAGTTGCCCTCTATTTCTTTATTCTCCTCAGCCTCTTTTAATCAGCCACCAAGTCTTGTTTGTCCTTCCTCCCTAATGTCACTCCTGTTTTTTGCCGTGAGGTCTGATGGCACTAGTGCTGCCTGGGGTTGCTACTGCCTCATCTCTTCAACCTTTTTGTGTCACGATGTTTAGGAGTTTCTTTCATAAACAGAATGTGGCTGGATTTAAATCAAATCTGACAATCTGTCTTAAGTAATTTATGTACATTTTTGGGATTTAACTTAACGTATTACTGTATTATATTTTTTAGTACTTTCCATGTATTTCCATTTTTGCCTATTTTTCTCCTTCCGAGTTTTTTTTTTTTTTTTTTTTTTTTTGGAGATGGAGTCTTGCTCTGTCACCCAGGCTGGAGTGCAGTGGTGTAATCTCAGCTCAGCGCAACCTCTGCCTCCCAGGTTCAAGTGATTCTCCTGCCTCAGCCTCCCAAGTAGCTGGGACTACAGGCACGTGCCACCACACGCGGCTAATTTGTATTTTTAGTAGAGACAGGGTTTCGCCATGTTGGCCAGGCTGGTCTTGAACTCCTGACCTCAGGTGATCCACCCACCTCGGCCTCCCAAAGTGCTGGGATTACAGGCATGAGCCACTGCTCCCGGCCCGGAATTTTCTTTATTTCTATACATTTTACTTCCGTTGTTTTTTTCTTTTTTGAGACAGGGTCTAGCTCTTTTGCCTAGGCTGAAGTGCAGTGGTGTGATCACAGCTCACTGTAGCTTTGACCTCCTGGGCTCAAGCAATCCTCCCACCTCAGCCTCCTAAGTAGCTGAGATTATAGGTGCACACCACCATGCTCAGATAATTTAAAAAAAAATGTTTTCTAGAGATGGGATGTTACTGTGTTGCCCAGGCTCGTCTTGAACTCCTCACTCAAGCCCTCCTCCCACCTTGGCCTCCAAAAGTGCTGGGATTACAGGTGTGAGCCACCTTACCTGGCCTTTATTTCTGTTCTTACTCCAACATTTTCTCATCTTTTCTCCCATCCTTTTACTTAGAAAAATGTTAAAATTAGAGGAAATAGTACAATGAACATGAGTATTCTCTTTAATCTTATTCAATTAATATATTTCTCTGTATATGTATATATGCTTTTGTTTGGAATCATTTGAAATTAAGTGTGGATTTGTTCTCCATCTTCTTGCTCAGGATTTGGTGTGCTGCTTTTATCTGAGGACTCATTTATAAAAGAAAAAACAAAGAAAAAGCCTTTTTACTTTAAAATGATTGTAGATAAACTTAGCTTTACACAGAGTTTCTGTATTCCTTCACCCAGCTTCCCCTAATGTTAATCTCTTACATTTAATTCTTTCTTAAGTTCTGGAAAATTTCAGCCATTGCCTCTTTGGCTTTCTCGTTTTCTCTACAGTGGCCTCTGGAATGCCTCTTAGACATATTGTTGAGCATTTTACCACCAAAGTCTCTATATTTGTTCTTTCTGTGTTCCTTTATCTGTTTAATCATCCAAGTTTTCTTGTGTAGTTTCTTTGAGACTGTCTTATTTCTGATTCTTGGGATGCTACTTCTCTTTTTGTGTCTGAGGCTTGCCCCTCTTGGTGGTTTATTTCCTTGTGTGGTTTGTAACTTTGGGTGTGAGTTCATCTCCAGGAGGGATTCTCTTTTCTGGCTGAGACTTGGGTCCTGAATTATGAAAGTATACCTCAGAGCAGCTTGTTTGCCTCTGGCGGGGCCATGAGTGTTTCAGTGGTCCTGGCTCAGTTTTTGTTCACTGCTTAGTGCGGCACCCCTTTACTACCCTAGTAGTGTAAGTTCAGTTTTATATCCATGGGCAGGACTAGCTTGGTGGCTTAAGAAAGGGTGACCTCCCGCCGGGCATGGTGGCTCACACCTGTAATCCCAGCACTTTGGGAGGCCGAGGCAGGGGGATCATGAGGTCAGGAGATTGAGACCATCCTGGCTAACGCGGTGAAACCCCGTCTCTACTAAAAATACAAAAAATTAGCCGGGTGAGGTGGTGGGTGCCTGTAGTCCCAGCTGCTGGGAAGGCTGAGGCAGGAGAATGGCATGAACCCGGGAGGCAGAGCTTGCAGTGAGCTGAGATCACGCCACTGCACTGCAGCCCGGGCGACAGAGTGAGACTCTGTCTCAAAAAAAAAAAAAGAAAGGGTGACCTCCCACCCATACCTGACCCACAGAGCCTTGGAGAAGTGTTCAGCTTCTTGTTGCTTTCCTTTACTGGGCAGCCCTTTGAGGCTCTCTTCTTGATACTGGGGCTCAAAGCCACAGGCAGGCTTTAAACCGCTTCATTTGTGGGTGCGAAAGTCCACAGGCCATTGTGGTGTCAGTTCCACTCACTGTTTATGTTTCAATTCTTCTCGCACATAGGCATTTCTCTTTCCAATTTGGCTGCATGTCTACGGACGTCATTTGTTTTATTTTATCTGGTATTTTTCTGTGATAGTGGTGGAAAGGGGAAGCTCTTTCACGTTAATTTAGTCCCGTATCCTACTGAAAGTTTGTTCAAATGCTTAGCGTGTCATATGAAGCTTTTCATGATGCAGCCCATTCTACCTCTCCTGCATAAACTTAGCTCTTAAATTTTACACTTCAGCAAATTGAACTATTTGCATACCATGTACTGTAATGTTTAAAAGCACAGGTTTTAGGGTCCAGCTGTTTGGCTTGGAACCTGTCTTTTCATAAGGTATGATTTTGGACAAGTTACTTATCCCTTCCATAACTCAGCTTTCTCATCTGTAAAATGGCAGCGTCCGGCATGCAGTAACCCTGATCCCTGTTGGCTGCCTCTGTGGTTGCTGCCCCCAGCAGTTGAGGCTGCCAGGCCTCTGCGCAATTGCACTGTTTATTCCTTTGCTGGAATTGCCTGTCTCCCCTCCTCTCCTTGATCCCTCCCAGGAGAGCAGCCTTTACTCCTTCAGAGCTTGGGGTCTCTGTCTGTAGTAACTATCACTCTGTGGGTCGCTGCTTGTTTACGTATCTTTTTTTTTTTGAGACAGAGTGTTGCTCTGTCGCCAGGCTGGAGTGCAGTGGTGCGATCTTGGCTCACGGCAACCTCTGCCTTCTGGGTTCAGGCCATTCTCTTGCCTCAGCCTCCCACGTAGCTGGGACTACAGGCGTGCACCACCATGCCCAGCTAATTTTTGTATTTTTAGTAGAGACGGGGTTTCACCCTGTTGGCCAGGATGGTCTCCATCTCTTGACTTTGTGATCCGCCCGCCTCGGCCTCCCAAAGTGCTGGGATTACAGGCATGAGCTACTGCGCCTGGCCACGTATCTCCTTTTTTCAGCCGACTCTGACCCCCTTGAGAGCAGGGTCTTGTTTTTCTTGGTACTTGAAACTCCTTACATTCTACCTGTCATTTGGTGGGCATTCAGTGTTGGTAGTTTAATTGCATTGAATTTCTCTGGCTGAGTAGAGGCAAGTGCTGGGAGTGGTATGGGACGCAGAGGCAGGGAATGACAGCAGGAAAGCTTGTTTTTTGGCACATTTTGTGCCAAGTTGATGGAAATGTGAATCAGTATGGCTGGGACACAAGGTAACAATTCTTAGTCTAGCTGAGGATGCCAGAGACTTAAAACAAGCCAGTGGCCAGAAAAAGCCACTAAATCTTGCAAATTAAAGTGGTTTCCAGACTTAAGAATGCATGCCCCACATTCCCTTCCCAAACTCAGCGTCTCTGAGTGCCAGGTGGAGGAATACAAACTAATTATAATCCTAGTGGGCCCTGAGAATCTTTAATTTTAGAATAAGGCTGCACTTCTGAAAGGCGCAGTTGCTTTAGGAGTAGGTGACTCTGTATGCCCGGGGCCTCCGAGGAGACCAGGATGTGAAAACTCAGTACCTGGCATTTAGAGCTGTGTCACCCATCACTTCTGACCTCGTTAAGATTTCTACCCTACTGCGACTTAACAACTAAAAAGGGCAGATGAGATAGGTCCGGGGCAGAGCTTAATGGCCTGTGTCATTCTCCTCAGCTTTGCCTGAATTCTCTGGACTCTTGAGACTCTATCATAGGAATATTCTCAGAAGAGAAGGCAATCGAACCTTTAAAGATCCCCAGATTATCCATCAGATAACAGTCTCATGAGAGTGATGAACAATGACAGCACCAACTCTCAATTCCCTTGGCTGGAATTTCAGGAATCAGCTTGAACTCAGAGGTGGGCACAGGGTTAGGGCTTGGAGTAGGCGTCTTTTCTTTCTTTTTTTTTTTTTTTTTCTTTTTTGAGATAGCGTCTCACTCTTGTTGCCCAGGCTGGAGTGCAATGGCTCAATCTCTGCTCACTGCAACCTACGCCTCCTGGTTTCAAGCGATTCTCCTGCCTCAGCCTCCCGAGTAGCTGGGGTTACAGGCATCCGCCACCACGCTCGGCTAATTTTTGTATTTTTAGTAGAGATGGGGTTTTACCATGTTGCCCAGGCTAGTCTCGAACTCCTGACCTTGTGGTCTGCCCACCTTAGCCTCCCAAAGTGCTGGTATTACAGGCATGAGCCACCGCGCCTGGCTTGCAGTAGGCATCTTTGCCCAACCCACGTGAATCCCATTAGTTCTTTCTTGACAGCTCTCAGTCTGTGGTCATATATTAAGCAACTATGTGTTCAGTACTGTGCTGGGTGCTATTGCTGAAGATACGGAAATAGTAATGCCACAAGTCCCTCTTCTTAGAGAGGAGAGCTTGCACTCTAGTTGGAGAGAATTCCTAGCACACAGAAAGCTGCAACCAGTGGTGCCCAACAGTAATGCTGTCTGATGCCACTGCATGCAAGTGTGTCCCTTTGACAACTTGGTGCTTTTGCCCAAAAGGAGCTGTTCTCTTTCTGAGGCTTGGACTATTCGTTTGTTTTTTCTCAGATGACTTGCTGGCACTGTTACAGACTGGTCTGAATTAACTAGGACTACCTTTTATCTGTTTCTGAGGAATAGCCCCAAATGTGCTCTCTCTTGGTCTTTATGAACTTTTCCTTTCTTCCATTTCTCCAAATTATGATAGATTAACTTTGCAGTGTCATCTGCTAATCTCCAAGGTCTTCTAGGGGCACGTCATCAGCAGTTGCTGCTTTTGAGGTATCAAGGTTTGTCCTGTGGAGTCTCAGATAGTTTCTTTACCTGTTCAATGAATCTGATTTTCCATTTTTCTAGGAGAGTGTATCTCAAAGTGATTGCTGAATCAGAATGTCTGGGAGTGTGACTTGGAATCTATTACTGAAGATTAGAGGAAAATGTAGCAAATTGTGATCTGAAGCATTTATGGATGGATTGATGGATTGATGGATAGGGATTCTGACTGAGTTAGGTAGTCTATAGTCTCAGACAGTTGTGGAAGCTCCATTAGGTCATGAGCAACCCAGACTCCTTCCAATTCTGTGCCCTGCCATTCTTAGGGTGTGGCTGCTGTCCTCATGGTCCAAAATGGTTGCCGTGGTTCCACATCTCACAGTGAGATAGAAGAAGACAGAAGAATGATGTCTCACCTCCCTTCTAAGGAGACTTCAGCAAAGCCTGCCTCTACCACTTTCTGTGACTGAGGGAAAGTTAATTCATACTCAGAGCCAATTAACCTCGTGTTTTTTTTTTTTGTTTGTTTTTTTTTTTTTTTTTTTTTTTTTTTTTTGAGACAAGGTCTTACTTTGTCGCCCAGGCTGTAGTGCAGTAGCACAATCTCGGCTCACTGCAGCCTCGACCTTTCGGGCTCAAGCAGGGCTCCTCCCTGCTCAGCCTCCCGAGTAGCTGGAACTACAGGCACATGCACCACACCCGGCTAATTTTTAAATTTTTTCGTAGAGATTGGGGGTCTTGTTATGTTGCCCAGGTTGGTCTGGAACTCCTGGGCTCAAGTGATCCTCCTGCCCTGGCCTCCCAAAGTGCTGGGATTACAGGAGTGAGCCACTGCACCCAACCAGTTACCTCATTTGTAAAACAGGCATGGTAACACTTAGTGCAGGAGCAAGAGGATCAGGGAGCACACATACATACAAAGTGCTTGGTGCTGATGCCCAGCCTGCAGCACCTGTTCTCTAAATCATAGCAGCAATTGCTGCTGCAGCACACTTCTCTTTCTCCTCTCTCCACCGCTCCATCTCTCCAGGGTCTCTACCTTGCCTGTCAGGCTCCACTTTCCTTTGCTCCTGCCTTTTGCATCTGTTCCTCTCTGCATTCTCCCCTCATCTCCTCTCTTCCGTGCACCTCATTTTCCTGCTCCCCTCCTGCCTCTGTCCCTCATCTTCTTTTCAGAGACTTAAAACCAGCCAGTGGCCACTGGCTTTTCAGTGTCTCCTCCTCCTCCTTGAACTACCTCTTCCTTCTAGTGCTTCTGTCCTTCCCTCCTCCTGACCTCCAGTGAACAATAATTATTTGTAACGTAATGACAAATTATCGTTACGTTACAAAGACCAGAGGTTAGAGGTGGTGATTGGCCTTGTAAACTGTAGGTCAGCGATGAGTAATTTAAGAAAACTAAATTTAATTGGTTTACTCATGAGTCAGTTAGGAATTCTATTTGGCAGCTAGAACAGAAATAGCAGTGGCTTAAACCAGTAGAAATTTTTTCTATTGTGAAAAGAAATCTAGGGGGACAGTCTAGGGCTTGTCTCTCCGCTCTGCCATCCTTAGTGCAGGGCGTCCAACCCCAAGGTTGTATCATGGTCTAAGATGGCTGCGGGAGCCCCAACCATCATGTCAGGTTCTAGGAAGAAAGCAGGAAGAAGAGAGGAAAGGCAAAAAGAACACATGCTCCATCTTAAGGAGCTTTCCTGCAAGTCCCACCAAATAGCTTCAGCTTCTCCTCCTTGCCTCCATTAGTTGCAAGGGAGGCTGAGACATCATTTAGCTGAGCACATTGCTACCTGAGGTAGAATTGGGATTCTGTCACCAAGAAAGAAGGGGAGAATGGATATTGTGTAAACAATTAGCAAGGTCTGCCGCCATTCATTCAACATTAATTTAGCACCTACAATCTACTAGTTATGAAGAACAGTCAAGGTGCCCCATTCCAGAGGGAAGACATAGATAAGTAAACAAGTACAGTACACAGGATGGGTGAGGAAGAGGGGGAGAGTGGAGAAAGGCATGAAGTGGGTATCTTACATACCCTCCAAGGGCGCATTCTAGAGTTCGTCATGCAGACATTCTTGCCTGTGGTTTGTTTCCTCTTCTGCTCTCTCCTTTTTGTCATTGTCGCCATTGTTGTTGTTGGGGTTTGTTTTTGCCCCTCCATTCTGACGTCAGCAGTAGCCCCTAGAACCTTAGGAAACAGAAACAGTTGGCCTAGTGGGAAGCTCTGGGATGGGAGCCATGTGTTTGAAGAGCCAAGTCCCAGGGCCATTAGGCAATTAGAGGCCTGTGGCAGGAGAGCATTCGTTCCTGGACATGCCGTGGCACTGCCAGGAGACTTTACTCCAGGAATGGGGTCGTTGTCAGGAGGCATGTTCTAACCAGGCACCTGGCATCACCTATACTGTGCTTGCCATAAAATGAAATTTTGGAGCAGTAAAATTCTCCAGGTCCCGTGAAATGGGTATAATTGTTTCACCCACATTAATTTAACCAGAGGTCTTGGTATGCTATAGTGTTAATTATGTGTAAAAATACTTCTACTTACTATAAAATGTATTGACAGTTAGACATTGATATTCCTTCTTAGAACTCAAAAATTCTAGGAATAACTTGGGAGACCCACATTATCTTTCATTTTGATCCCAAGAACATCTATTGCTGTTTCCTTTGGGAAGTTAGAGAGGCAATGGGAAGCCTGCTGCAGAGATTTTCTAAACAGGCATATCCCAGCCCCTAAGGAGTTTGAAAGTGTCAGAGAAGGCTAAAGGATTAAAAGATCGTTTGTTCTGGCACAGTGCAATCCTTATGAGGTTGTACTGTGACCCTGGGCAAGTTACCATCCTATCCTCAGTTTCTTCATCTGTCAAATTTTGATCCTGTGGACCCTCCCCAACAGGGCTGTGATGGAAATGAAGAGACACATGGGAAGCATTCAGTATGTGTTGTTGTTATTATCATCATTATTGTTATTTTTATTATTATTAGTGCTACTGGTAGTGCTAGCCCACTAGCCCACTGGGCAGCGACTGCACCCGTATCAGAGTGTGGAAAGCCTTGGATGCCACATTAAGGAGTTGGATTTTGTGGGCAAGGGTGTGACAGGTCATGGCTGGGCTTAGAAATGTCACTGACAGGAGTGGAGAGGCAGATCTAGGTGAGGAGTGGGCAGGGCTTGAACCTGGCCAGTCAAGGAAAGGGGAGAATGGATACCTGAGTGGTGAGGGAGGACCCACTGGTGCTGGAGTTCAGCCTGTGTGCCCAAGGGATGGTGTCCCATTGACTTGGGTGGGAAGCACTAGAGGTGGAGCAGTTGGGGTGGCAGGAGGGGAAAGAAGCATATGGTGATCAGCTCAGCAAACAAATGGGTAACTTGCGCACTCAGTGCTCGGTGGTGCCCAGGCTGGAGTGCAGTGGCGTGGTCCCGGCTCGCTACAACCTCCACCTCCCAGCCGCCTGCCTTGGCCTCCCAAAGTGCTGAGATTGCAGCCTCTGCCCGGCCGCCACCCCGTCTGGGAAGTGAGGAGCGTCTCTGCTTGGCCACCCATCGTCTGGGATGTGGGGAGCCCCTCTGCCTGGCTGCCCAGTCTGGGAGGTGAGGAGCGTCTCCGACCGGCCGCCATCCCATCTAGGAGGTGAGGAGCGCCTCTTTCCGGCCGCCATCACATCTAGGAAGGAGGAGCGTCTCTGCCCGGCCGCCCATCGTCTGAGATGTGGGGAGCGCCTCTGCCCCGCCGCCCCGTCTGGGATGTGAGGAGCACCTCTGCCCGGCCACGACCCCGTCTGGGAGGTGAGGAGCATCTCTGCCCCGCCGCCCCGTCTGAGAAGTGAGGAGACCCTCTGCCCGGCAACCACCCCGTCTGAGAAGTGAGGAGACCCTCCACCCGGCAGCTGCCCCGTCTGAGAAATGAGGAGCCTCTCCGCCCGGCAGCCACCCCGTCTGGGAAGTGAGGAGCGTCTCCGCCCGGCAGCCACCCCGTCCGGGAGGGAGGTGGGGGGGGTCAGCCCCCCCGCCAGGCCAGCAGCCCCATCCGGGAGGGAGGTGGGGGGGTCAGCCCCACGCCCCGCCAGCCGCCCCGTCAGGGAGGGAGGTGGGGGGGTCAGCCCCCCGCCAGGCCAGCCGCCCCGTCCGGGAGGGAGGTCGGGGCGTCAGCCTCCCGCCCGGCCAGCCGCCCCGTCCGGGAGGTGAGGGGCGCCTCTGCCTGGCCACCCCTACTGGGAAGTGAGGAGCCCCTCTGCCCGGCCAGCGGCCCCGTCCGGGAGGGAGGTGGGGGGGTCAGCCCCCCGCCCGGCCAGCCGCCCCGTCAGGGAGGGAGGTAGGTTCAGCCCCCCGCCAGGCCAGCCGCCCCGTCCGGGAGGGAGGTCGGGGCGTCAGCCTCCCGCCCGGCCAGCCGCCCCGTCTGGGAGGTGAGGGGCGCCTCTGCCTGGCTGCCCCTACTGGGAAGTGAGGAGCCCCTCTGCCAGGCCAGCCGCCCCGTCCGGGAGGGAGGTGGCGGGGTCAGCCCCCCGCCCGGCCAGCCGCCCCGTCCGGGAGGGAGGTGGGGGGGTCAGCCCCCCGCCCGGCCAGCCGCCCCGTCCGGGAGGTGAGGGGCGCCTCTGCCCGGCCGCCCCTACTGGGAAGTGAGGAGCCCCTCTGCCCGGCCAGCCGCCCCATCCGGGAGGGAGGTGGGGGGGTCAGGCCCCGCCCGGCCAGCCGCCCCGTCCGGGAGGGAGGTGGGGGGGTCAGCCCCCCGCCTGGCCAGCCGCCCCGTCTGGGAGGTGAGGGGCGCCTCTGCCCGGCCGCCCCTACTGGGAAGTGAGGAGCCCCTCTGCCCGGCCAGCCGCCCCATCCGGGAGGGAGGTGGGGGGGTCAGGCCCCGCCCGGCCAGCCGCCCCGTCCGGGAGGGAGGTGGGGGGGTCAGCCCCCCGCCTGGCCAGCCGCCCCGTCTGGGAGGTGAGGGGCGCCTCTGCCTGGCCGCCCCTACTGGGAAGTGAGGAGCCCCTCTGCCAGGCCAGCCGCCCCATCCGGGAGGGAGGTGGGGGGGTCAGCCCCCCGCCGGGCCAGCCGCCCCGTCCGGGAGGGAGGTGGGAGGGGTCAGCCCCCCACCCGGCCAGCCGCCCCGTCCGGGAGGTGACGGGCGCCTCTGCCCGGCCGCCCCTACTGGGAAGTGAGGAGCCCCTCTGCCCGGCCACCACCCCGTCTGGGAGGTGTGCCCAACAGCTCATTGAGAACGGGCCAGGATGACAATGGCGGCTTTGTGGAATAGAAAGGCGGGAAAGGTGGGGAAAAGATTGAGAAATCGGATGGTTGCCGTGTCTGTGTAGAAAGAAGTAGACATGGGAGACTTTTCATTTTGTTCTGTACTAAGAAAACTTCTGCCTTGGGATCCTGTTGATCTGTGACCTTACCCCCAACCCTGTGCTCTCTGAAACATGTGCTGTGTCCACTCAGGGTTAAACGGATTAAGGGCGGTGCAAGATGTGCTTTGTTAAACAGATGCTTGAAGGCAGCATGCTCGTTAAGAGTCATCACCACTCCCTAATCTCAAGTACCCAGGGACACAAACACTGCGGAAGGCCGCAGGGTCCTCTGCCTAGGAAAACCAGAGACCTTTGTTCACTTGTTTATCTGCTGACCTTCCCTCCACTATTGTCCTATGACCCTGCCAAATCCCCCTCTGTGAGAAACACCCAAGAATTATCAATAAAAAATAAATAAATTTAAAAAAAAAAAAAAAAAAAAACAAATGGGTAACTTGCTGCCTGCCAGGGACTCCTGTGGCCTGGCATGAAGATAATTGACTGTGTTTTGAACGCATTATAAGGCCCCTGCGAGGCCTCCGTGTGGTATTTAGACAGTCAGCAGGAGAGAGGCCCCGGACAGTGGTGTGGGATGCAGTCCCGGTGTGTGAAATTGCCAGTGGTTGGATTGTGCAGCGGATGGATTGAGCAGGGAAGCCAGCCAAGAACAGAATGGGGTGGGGAGGGCGTTGGGGGTAGGAAAGGAGGATCATCATTTCAAGGGCGGGTGAGGGAAGAACAAGCAGCAGAGTGCAAAGCCCCCAGAGGGAAGGGCGATCCTTATGAGGTTGGACTGTGACCCTGGGCAAGTTACCCTCCTGTCCTCGGGAGGAAGTGGTTGACAGAATCATTGCAGCAGTGAGATGGAAGCAGGACCAGGGCAGCAGCCAAGGGCCTCTTAGATGGCGGGGCGAGAGGAGGTCATCCAGGACCTCCAAGAGAACTGTTTCAAAATGGGAGGAGAAAGCAGTGTTCCTCTGGTGGTGGTTCTAATGCTTTGTATTTGTAGTTCTTAGTCGTTTTCAAGGCCCTTTGCATTCTTTGCATCGTGCTCTCTTACCACGATGCATAGTGAGACCCCACCTCTACAATTTTTTTTTTTTTTTTTTTTTTTCAGTGAGCCAGGTGTGGCAGTACACACCTGTAGTCCCAGCTACTTGGGAGGCTGAGGTGGAAGGATTGCTTGAGCCCAGGAGGTTGAGGCTGCAGTGAGCTGTGGTCATGCCACTGCATTCCAACCTGGGTGACAGAGCGAGACCCCATCTTAAAAACAAACAAACAAACAAATACTTGGTTCATTTGGTACTTGGCTTTTTGGATCTTGGGGAATATTGGAGATGACGGAATAACTTCAAGGAGACTAACTTCAAGGTCAAGACTCCTGCCAAGACTCCACCAGACATAAAATAGGAAAATGATGATAGAATCTACCTCACTGTTGGCCTGGCAGTGGGAGTTTGTTGATAACCCTGAAGATGAACTCCTCAAGGTGAAGAGCAAGGCTTCAGAATGGGCTGCTCTATAGATGTGAGAGACAGAGACAGACCTAGCCTTGCAAAAAGGTTGCTGTAGTCTTTCTCCTACCATTTCCAGCACAGGATGGTTTCTGGTCCCAGGAGGCCCTGTCTTGTGCTGTGTGGGACCCTTAGTGCTGTGAAGACTAGCAGCACCCTGGAGGTCTTTGTTCCTTCTGCCCTTTCCCTTAGATTGCATCTCCTAACCTTGGTTTATATATTTGTCAGGAGGTGGGGGAAACCTGCTTTCCCCCACCTCCTGACAAATATATAAACTGGAAATTGATCCAGTCCTGGATCAGTTTGGGTCACACAACAGGGTCGGCAGTGTTGGCCCACAGAGGGCCCTGGGCCCCTTATTTCCCCTTTGGCCCTAGGCTCTGAGCTCTCAGGTTTTGGCTACCAAGCAAAAGGTGGAGTTGCATCAGTTGTTGCTCTTTACCAGGCCCCCAGGGGTTGCTGTCGGTGAGCTCACAGGATGTTTTCTTCTCTCTGCTTTGACTTGTGCTGAATTTCTGACTGACCCCATGCAGCATCTGCGTGGCTTCTGGGGCCCGAGCCCAGGTTTCAGCAAGCTGCCCATGGTTTACCCTCAGGATGAACTCTAGGAAGCTGGGGAGCACTGTGGTGGTGGTATAAGTTCAGCCCCTCATTTTAGTTTATTTTTATGTTAAAATGTTTATTAATACAAAATAACACATAGATCAGAATGTTGTATGACAGAAAGGGACTGACTGGACTCAGGATCTCCCACCCCAGCCCCAGGGGTGAAGGTGAAGGTGATTGGTTTCCTGGGTATCGTTCCTTCCACGGTTTTTCCATGCACGCTCTCATGTGCGTGTGTTTTTATCCTCATCCTGCTCTTCACCGTGGCAGTGGGGAGCACACTAAATTGCTCTGACACCTAGTTGGTTTTTTTTTTGATTGAGTGTATCTTGGGAATCTTTCCATATCAGCATATACAGATACACTGCATTCTTTTTTTTTTTTTTTTTTTTTTTGAGATGGAGTCTTGTGCTGTCTCCCAGGCTAGAGTGGAATGGCACGATCTCTGCTCACTGCAACCTCCACCTCTCAGGCTCAAGCGATTCTCCTGCCTCAGCCTCCCAAGTAGCTGGGATTACAGGCACCCACCACCACGCCTGGCTCATTTTTGTATTTTGGGTAGAGATGGGGTTTCACCATGTTGGCCAGGCTGGTTTCAAACTCCTGACCTCAAATGATCTGCCCACCTCGGCCTCCCAAAGTGCTGAGATTACAGGTGCGAGCCACCACACCTGGCCATTCTTTTTTTTTTTTTTTTAAAGCTTTTTTGTTGTACATATGATGTATGTTAGGTGGACTGTGGCTTATAAAACCTCTTCATAGCTGTTTTCCAGTGCGATCCTTCTAGCCCTGTGAGGAAGACAGACCAGAAGAAATTTTTTGCAGCTTAGGATACTCTGCAAACAAGGAGGAAGTGAGAGGAGTTGGGGCTCATTTAATGCAGACTAAAACAGGATCTTTCCTTTGAGAGACTGAGACAGGATGAGGAGCAGGCTGTAGATGTGCACACATATCCACTCAGAGAGAACATGAGAGGCAGCATCTGCAGAGGAGCCTGGTGGGCAGCACGTGCCGCGGGGGCAGGAAGGGGAGAGCTTCCGGGAAGGGGATGGAACTTGAGCCAAACCTTTTTCTCAAAAAGAGGGGAGGCCGGGTGTAGTGGCTCACACCTGTACCCAGCACTTTGGGAGGCTGAGGTGTGCAGATCACTTGAGGTCAGGAGTTTGAGACCAGCCTGGGCAACATAGCAAAACCCCATGTCTATTAAAATTACAAAAAGTAGCCGGGCGTGGTGGCGCACACGTGTAATCCCAACTACTCAGGAGGCTGAGGTGGGACGATCACTTGAACCTGGGATGCGGAGGTTGCAGTGAGCCGAGATCGCGCCACTGCACTCCAGCCTGGGTGACAGAGTGAGACTCTGTCTCAAACAAAAGAGGGGAAGGTAGGAATGAGACAAAGGAAAAGGGGAGGCGGGCATTTCAGGCAGGAGAGCAGCATAGGCAGAAGGTGCAAACATGTGGCAGAGGGTCGGTGTCCATGGACACGCTTCCACCACCTGGTCTAATCATTGACTTATCAGACATCTAAATGCCTGCTGCGTGCCCAGCACTGTAGAGGGCCACAAGGCAGCAGGAACCTCTCAGTGCCTGCCCTCTGTGGGCTCTGACTCCAACCAGGAGAAACTGGACGCACAACAGCAGGCAAAACTAGCTGATGGTGATAGAGGTCAGAAGAGTGGTTTACAGCCAGGCACAGTGACTCACACCTGTAATCCCAGTACTTTGGGAGGCTGAGGTGGGAGGATAGCTTGAGCCTAGGAGGCTGAGGCTGCAGTGAGCTGTGATCAGGCCACCACTGCATTCCAGCTTGGCCTGGACAACAGAGCAAGACCCTGTCTCAAAAAAAGCGGAGTAGTTACTTATTGTGGAGATTAGCTGTTCAGGGGCACAAAGAACCTTGTAGGGTGCTGGAAATGTTTACTGTCTTGACCTGGGTGATGGGTTTTTTTGGTTTGTTTTTTGTTTGTTTATTTTGTTTTTTTGAGATGGAGTCTTGCTCTTGTGCCCCAGGCTGGAGTGCAATAGCACTATCTCGGCTCACTGCAACCTCCACCTCCTGGCTTCAGGCAATTCTCCTGCCTCAGCCTCTCGAGTAGCTGGGACTACAGGCGCCTGCCACCATGCCCGGCTAATTTTTGTATTTTTAGTAGAGACAGGGGTTTCACCATGTTGGCCAGGCTGATCTTGAACTCCTGACCCCAGGTGATCCGCCCGCCTCGGCCTTCCAAAGTGCTAGGATTACAGGCGTGAGCCACCGCGCCCAGCCTGGGTGATGGTTTTATGGTGGTATATAAATGTAGGAATTCATGGGGCTTATTATGTTTAAGATTAATGCAGATTGCATACTCTAACCATGAGTATGTTATACCCCAATTATAAATCAAGCAGGCAAATAAATAGCATATTCCCCAAAATAAAGAAGTAAAATGCAATAGCAAGAAAGTGTGCAAAGAGCTATGCCTGGGAAAATACAGGAACTGTATCATTTTGAAAGGGTGAGAGATGAGATTTCAGACCCTCACCCTCTCTCACTGTGTCATTTCTGAAGGGCCCTGGTGACTTTCTTTGCCCCTCTCCACTCTTACAGTCATTGGAACCAGAGGGCAGAACCCCGGGCCTCAAAATTAAGTCTATACACCTTAGAAACTAGGAATTCAAGGCTAGCCAGGTCCTGGCCCTTTATCTGTCCTTCAGAGAGTGGGGTGCCCCAGCCAAAGCGGACAGCTCGCCATTCCCAGATGTGCCCTGTGTTCTCGGCTGCGTTGCCTGACTCACCTTGGCCTTCCCTGGGAGTGCCTTTTCTAGTTTTCTGGCCCAGCTAGAAGAAAGGGCCATTACACCTACTCCAGAATCATCCCTGCTGCTCCCAAGTTGGAATATTTCTTCCTCCACAGTGGCCACCTCTTATGTGCCCTCCATCACACAGTTTGTATACTTACCTCTTCAAGGGCAGGCTGTGTTTTACTCCTTTTGTCATCTCTCCCCATAGGGGTCTAGGTCAGTGCTTTTGTACATGGTGCCTGAAACAGTCCCATAAATGATATTTTATTTGAGTGGGGCTCTCTGGCTGGAGCTACTAGGTGGAATGTTGCCATGTGGGAGCAGGGGTCATAACGAAGGCTGGCCATCAAGATGCTGGTACTTCCAAATTCCCAACAGTTATTAACTTTCAGGATTGAGGAACAAGTAATAGAAATTCCCTGGAATGCCCAAAATCATAACTTTTTCTATATCTTTCCTAACACTTTATGAGTTTTTAAATAAGGAGTGGTCATAATAATAAATGGAATTATTTTTTCTGTGATAAAATTTCAGAGGTGTTTCTGTAAAAAAAAAAGAAAGAAAAGAAAAAGAGAAAAAAAGATGTAACATTAAATGCGTGGTTTGGTGGTTTGGTTGGGCACAGTGGCTCACACCTGTAATCCCAGCACTTTGAGAGGCCAAGGCAGGAGGATGGCTTGAGCTCAGGAGTTTGAGACCAGCCTGTTAACAGAGAAAGATTTTGTCTCTATTAAAAATAAAAAAAATTAGCCAGCATGGTGGCATGTGCCTGTAGTCCCAGTTACTCAGGAGGCTGAGGCAGGAGGATCACTGGAGCCCAGGAGTTTGTGGCTGCAGTGAGCTATGATAGCACCACTCCGGGTGGTGACAGTCTTGGTGACAGAGTGAGACCCCATCTAAAAAATTAAAATAATAAAAATAAAATAAATGCATAGTTTATTGTTATTATGGACAAATATATTGTGATATATGATTGTATATATTTCATTAGCATGTAAAAATGATCTCTATCTGATATAGACATCTGATAATAGAAAATGCGGAAGAGAGCATTAACACAAAATGAATACCAAATAAAAATCACTTAATGATTTAAGAGTAATACTACACATATTTAATATTTAAAAGTTACTCTTAAAGGTTAAAACTAGAGAAAAGTTAAAAGAATAAAACAATGAATTTCTGTATTTCCTTCACCAAGATTCACCAGTTGCTAACAGTTTGGCGCATTTGCTTGATGTGTCATAGATTGTCCACATTCCATATCTGTTGGATTGTTTCCTTGTGATTAGATTCGGGTTTACGTTGTTGGTGGGAACCCACATAGATGAGGTGTGCTTCCTGTTGCTTACATCAGGAGGCACAGTGGTGCCAGTTGGCCCTAGTAAAAGTGATGCTAACTTGATTCACCTAGTTAAGTTGGCATCTGTGAAGGCTACTTTTGTATTAAGGCAGTGAACTTCGAAAGGAACTTTTCCCTGACTTTGGGAATTGCTGACAGCCATTTAGGAAAAGAGACGACTGTTTTCTCTGTCACGTGTAGCTGCAGTTAAGAAACATCCTAGTATAGTCAGACAAGCTCTGGAAGCCAGTATGTCAGGACCTGGGACCAAGCTCTACAGCCATCTCTCCCTGTGACCATAGCCAAGTCATTTCTGAGCTATGTGAGACTGTACGTATAAGGAAATAGACACTCAGAGAAGTGAAGCAGTTTGCCCAAAGCTACTCAGCTAGTGAGTGACAGAGCTAGGATTCAAACCCATTTTTGTCTGGGGACAAAGCCCTGCCCTTGTCCTTATGCCAAGCTGCCTCCTTTGTGAGGCAGCTGGTTGTTATGATTGTGGCACTGACCACTCAGATGTTGTGCTCGGAACCAAGCAGAAGAGCACCAAGCCTTATAGGCCCTGACAGGTGAGAGGGAAGAGAGAGGTGCCTTCCTTCATCCATCTGGACTGCCCTTGGAATTCCTGGGCCAATTTGGGGAACCCTGGCACCAACCCTAACATGGGCCAGTGCCAGCACCAGGTATATGCAGCCTGTACTTCCCAGTCTGGGCAGGCAAAGGCTGGAACCGCACCAGCAGCTCTCCTCTGTAACGCAGCACGGAAGTATTTATTTCAAGGGTGGCTCAGAGAAGTGAAGCAGTTTGCCCAAAGCAAACTGGTTCCTCCCCTGCATGTGGCAGGCTGTCCTGCAAGCTGGGAGGCGGGCTGTTGGACGCTCCCCAGCCACCCTTGAAATAAATGCTTCCATGCTGTGTTGCAGAGGTGAGTTGCTGGCACCGTTCCAGCCTCCGCCTGCCCAGACTGGGAAGTACAGGCTGCACATACCTGGCACTGGCCCACTTTAGGGTTGATGCATGGGATCCCCAGATTGGCCCAGGAATTCCAAGGCCAGTCCAGATGGATGAAGGAAGGTATTGCCTCAGCCTGCCTGGGTTCCTCGGGGGAGAGAGGGAGACAGGAAGCATTAATGGGGGAAAGGTGTGCCAAGCCTTGCCAAGCAGGTCATTGTGGGTGGGGAGACACCGCCTACGTGCTCGGGACGCCCCAGGATTTGGGTGGAGGTTCTTGAGGAGGCAGCGAGAAAGGAGAGCTGTGACAGCGACTCTGGAGCACTCTAGAATGGCTCTTAGTGACCTTCTGCTCTGGTGACCCACCAGCAGCCCACCAACCTGTCATCTTCCAGTTAGCAGCCATCCCCAGGGCCAGTAGCACCTGAGCACTTGGTAAGTAGAAAGACCCAGTGTCTGCTCCTCATGTTACCCTGGTGTCCTTCCCCAGAGCAGTTGTTTTGGGAAAAACTGGCTCCGGCTGAAGCAGGAAATGGTGCTCCTTGTCAAGGTCATGTTGTCCTGTTGCTATAGAACTGAGAGACCCTGAGGATCAGCCCTCTGAGGTTCCTGTTACCTCTCTTTACACTATTCATCCTCATAGGCCTCCAGGAAGGGGGCCAAATTCAGGGCCAGGACCAGGGCCAGTGGCTTGGTGAGGCATAGGCTTTGCTGTATGGGCCCTGTGGGGAGCTCTGGGGAGTTCTTATTCCCCTGGCTCATGGCCACCATCATGGAGAGACCCCCAGGGCTCTGGCAGCCAAGTGGGCAGGAGCGGAGGGAGGGGGCATCTTGGGAGGGAGAGCCCCGAAAGGAAACAGGGTTTATAGACAGACTCCCGGTCATCACTGCTTGTAATGCTTGCTCAGTGAACAGTGGCAGTGCTTTTCCTGACTCTTTCAAGAGAGTCCCTTCTCTCTCCTGCTAGGTGGGCTGAGATCCAGACTGGTTAGAAGCCTAACATGACCTGGCGTGTGAGACCTTGCACTCTCTGAATGTATTCCCCAAGTGTCATCAATAAGTCACTCCGGTTCTGGCATTTCCCTATCTTATCCTGCATACCCCTCCTCCTGGCTCTGAGTCCTGAGGAGTGAGATTGCAGTTTTTGACCCATGTTCTTACTGAGAAGTGGGCTGTCATGCAGGTATAATATAAAATCCAGAAGCTGCTGTCAGAATTATGTGAGAATTGGGAGGTGACAGCATGGGCCAATTTTCTGAATCTCTAGGGTGCTTTGATGCTTAAGAAGTCTTTCTGGGCTCCCTGAGATTTGAAACCTCTTGTTTTATCTGTCCTTTCACTCTGGTTCTTCCTTTCCTTTCTTGGGGACTTCATGCTTCTCAAATATTTGTTAAGTGGGTGCTTATATGGGACCTTAGAAAGCAACCAGCTAGGCATGCACTTGGAAAGGGACAGGAGGACTGAGAACAAGACTAAACATTTCTGTGAGATTGAGCAGCAGGAGAGCTTTGCTTCTTTACTGGTGTCAGTATGTGCCTGCAGCTCCTGGGCTGCCTTTACTCGAGTGAGATCCATTTACAAGACTCCTGACTCTTCTACTCCACTTTATTACAAAAGATGTTGATGCTCGTTTTAAAAACAATTTAAACTACAAACATGAATAAAGGTATTTATCTCCCCACCAGTCCCCCTCATTCTCCCTTCCCTCCTGTTCTTAGACTGGTTTCCCCTCCCAGTAGTTTAGGTTGTGGGGCAAGTGTGTGTAGCTCTGCATCAGTGTCTTAAACAAAATGAGTGTGTCGCGGATGCGCAGCTCGGCCACTTCCTGTTTTCTTCGGCTGTATGTCACGGCCATCCTGCCATGGCACCATGTCTGTGCCACCTGCTGCTCTTGGGCATCTGCAGAGAATTCCATGACATGGATCTTGAGGTAGTCTTCTTCAGCTTTTTCTACTTCATCTTATTTTCTACAATCATTTATATCTGCTTGTAAAACCTTTTTTTAAAAAACTTGCTTACTAGACACAGCACATGTTCATTTTAGAAAATGTAGAAAAATCAGATAAGCAGCCGGGCATGATGACTCATGCCTGTAATCTCAGCACTTTGGGAGGCCAAGGCAGGCAGATCACCTGAGGTCAGGAGTTCGAGACCAGCCTGGCCAACATGGTGAAACCCCATCTCTACTAAAAATACAAAAATTATCTGGGTGTGGTGGTGCGTACCTGTAGTCTCAGTTACCTGGGAGGCTGAGGTGGGAGAATCACTTGAACCCAGGAGGTGGAGGTTCCAGTGAGCCGAGATCATGCCACTGTACTCCAACCTACGTGACAGAGTGAGACCCTGTCTCCCCGCCCCCCCCACCAAAAAAAAAAAAAATCAGATAAGCAATAAAAAAAGTAGAAATGACCCCTAAGAGGTAACATTTTGGTGTGTATAATACAAATGTCTTTTACATTTGCTCCCTCATCTCAGCATTGCCACTGCCATTAAAGAAGGCACATGGTCATTAGTCCCATCTCACAGATAGAAAGCCTGAGCCACAGAGAGGGTAGCAGGTTGCCCAGAGGTACACAGCATAGTAAAGACAGAGCTGGGGGTGTACCTGTCATATAACTCAGCACTAATGCTCTCTCCACTGTAGCCCACTTGCTGTCTTCGCACCTTGGGACAGAGAGGGGGGTGCCAGGCATTGGATTTCAGATGCATTGAACTGCCTTATCCGAAGGTTAATAGACAGATGACTGCTTGAGGAAAGCCCCTGATTGACTTAGGAGAAGAGGTAGAAGACACGCTCTTCAGGTTTACAGACAATATGAGACAAGGGATTGTTTGCGCTTTAGAGAACAGAATCGGGCTTAGAAAACCCTCAAAGAGCTCTAATGACAGGTCAGGAGCAACAGGATAAACTTTGGAAGGGGTGGATGTAAAGGGGCCCCCTTCTATTTCCGTAAGCACAGGAAGGCCTGACTTGATGTTCAGGCAGTGATGACTGGTCTGCCTGGGAGTCATAGTGGACTGTAAGCAGGGGGACATGTCATTTCAACACTTTAACTTCATCTTACTTCCTGGGAGTGTTAGGAGCCACACATCAAGAGGACGTGATGAACTAAGGAAGAGGGTTTGGGAACCTGTCAAATGACAAATGCTGCAGTGACAGAGGTTTCACCTAGAGAAGATGGGTTTGGGGAGGAAAAGGTGCAGGCCAAGACTTGGTGACCAGGGCCAGGCAGGACAGGACCAGGAATGGCAGTTAGTTGAAGGGAGAGTCTAATTGGTCAGGATACAGAACACCTTTTTAGCATTAGAGTTCAGGAATAGTAGCGAGAGGCAGTACAGTAGAGTGGTTAAGAGCTCCTGCTCTGATGGCTTACTGGCTCCCGGCTCCCAGAGTCTTGGAAGTTACCTCACTCTTCCATGTTCCAATTTTCTCATCTGTAAATGGGGATAATGGGTACCTGCCTTATAGTCCACTTGTAAAACCTAAGGGAGTTACTCCATGAAAGCAGCTTAGAATAATGCCTGGCACACAGAGGTGCTGTGCACTGTTTGATTCACACGGAAGCTGGGTAGGCTCCATGGAAGAAGAGTTGTAGAAGGTCTTCTGCATGCATTTGGTATGACCTGCTTACCCAGCCTTTTCCATTCCCTGCCTCCCTGTCTCCTTCTTTCTTTCTCCATCTTCCTCTCCTGGGTCTAGGATCCTACATTTCCCCTACCTAGGACACCCTACCCCTCAATCTTTATTTTCTTCTTTGAAACTCTTAAGTATTTTATTTCTTCTTCTTCTTCTTTTTTTTTTTAGACAGAGTCTCGCTCTGTCGCCCAGGCTGGAGTGCAGTGGCACGATCTTGGCTTACTGCAAGCTCCACCTCCCAGGTTCACGCCATTCTCCTGCCTCAGCCTCCCGAGTAGCTGGGACTATAGGCGCCCGCCACCACGCCTGGCCAATTTTTTGTATTTTTAGTAGAGACAGGGTGTCACCGTGTTAGCCAGGATGGTCTCGATCTCCTGACCTCGTGATCCACACACCTCGGCCTCCCAAAGTGCTGGGATTACAGGCGTGAGCCACCGCGCCTAGCCCTATTTCTTCTTCTTTAAATTGTTTTTATTAAAAAAAAAAAAAAAGGCCAGGCGTGGTGGCTCATGCCTATAATCCCAGCACTTTGGGAGGCCGAGGCGGGCAGATCATGAGGTCAGGAGACAGAGACCATCCTGGTTAACGTGGTGAAATCCCGTCTTTACTAAAAATACAAAAAATTAGCTGGGCGTGGTAGCATGCGCCTGTAGTCCCAGCTACTCAGGAGACTGAGGCAGGAGAATCGCTTTAACCCAGGAGGCAGAGGTTGCAGTGAGCCGAGATTGCACCACTGCACTCCAACCTGGGCAACAGAGTGAGACTCTGTCTCAATAAAGAAAAAAATGAGACAGGGTCTTTCTGTGTTGCCCAGGGTGGTCTGGAACTCCTGGGCTCAAGCAATCCTCCCATCTCAACCTCCCTGCCCAGCTGCTGTGCCCAGCAGTATTTTCTATAATTAGCATAGTGTACTTTTCAGATTATCTTGAAGACCCAGCTCTCCTTGACCTTGAACCTTCCCTGAGGCCTCCAGAGGCAATTTCCTCCTCAGGACTCAGCTGCCCTTCACTCTTCCCTCGTGCACAGCCTGTCCTGTGAGTAGGTGCAGGTACTGACTGGTCTTATCTTTCGCCCTGAAAATATAAACGTTTTAAAGGCACCTGAGGATTTGTCAGCACCTCCCCACCCCCACCCTGGGTCTGACCTAGGACTCTGAGTCAGGGAGGCCTCCCTCCACTGAGTAATAGTAGCCTTGGGATCTGCTCAGCAAGAGGATTGTATAGTTTAAGGGAGGAAGAAGCACCAGTGCTGCCTCCCCATGGGAAAAATGAAGCCCCCCCTCCCGCAACCACCACCACCACAGAACCACCAACCCCAACGTCACTTGGCAGATTAGCAAAAGAACTAGCCAGACGCTGCTAGGCCCCTCAGGCTTCTAGATTCGCTCTCCACCACATTTCTACCAATTTATGCTCATCTTGATAAGCTCCTCCTTTGAAGGGTCTGGAATGGTCTGGAGTGGTCTGGAAAGCAGGGTCAGATACCCCTGGAAAACTGAAGCCCGTGGAGCAGTGATCTCTACAGGACTGCTTCAAGGTGCGTGGTGAACAGACGTCTTTTTGCAATTATGCCAGTTGCTCCTCTGATACTTGAGGGTTATGTGAATCTAACAACAGACAAAAATCTCTGCCTCCTGGGGCTTATATTCTTTGGGAAGAGACAAGCACTAAACAAATAAGGAAATATATATACACTCTGCCAGATAGCCATAAGACGGATGGAGAAAGTTGAAGCAGGGAAGGGAGATGGAAGTACCTGAGGGTGGACTACGCATATTTGAAATAGGGAAGCCAGGGAAGACCTCACTGAGATGGCCACATTTGAGAAAGGACCTGAAGAAGGTGAGGCAGTGAGCTGTGGAGGTGGGTAACTGGGGAGGGGGAAGAACTTTAGCTAGAGAGAAAAGCCGCTGCAAAGGCCCACTGAAGGCAGGATATGCCTGCTGTGTCGAGACCAGCAGGAGGCCGTGTGCCTGGTACTTAATATACCAGAAGGAGTGGAGCAGGCAGGGGTACCAGTTCCAGAAGGACTTGCTGGCAGGTATTAAGATGGGCTTTTTCTCTGTGATAGGAAGCTCCAGGAAGGATTTGATCACAGGAGGGACAGAATCTGAATTGTATTTTAGAAGGATCACTTTGACTGCTGTACAGAGAGTGGGTGGTGAGGTGGGAGGCAGAAGCCAGAAAGCCAGTTAGGAGGCTGTTAAGTAATCCAGGCAGGAGATGGTGTTGGCTGGGACCAGGGTCATAGCAGTAGAGGTGGTGAGAAGTAATTAGATTCCGTATATTTATTAAAGGCAAAGCCAGCAAGATTCCTTGACTCTAACTTAAAGGTTGGAGTTGTCATTTACTGAGATGAGAGAGACCATGGGGGGAAGGTAAAGGGCTCGGTTTTGGATGTGTTAGGCTTGTGCTGCCATTGGACATCCGTGTGGAGGTGTCAGAGAAGCTGGCCTGGAGAAATAAATTGGGGAATCATCAGCATACTGAAGGCATTGGAAGGCACAAGCTGGCATAAGATCAGAAAGAGATGGAGCGTAGATGGAGAATGAAAGAGACCTTTAGAGATTAGGAAGAAAATTACTGACTGAGACCAACAAAGTAGATTGATACGGAGCAGCCAGTGATATCAGAGCAAAACCTGGGAGGAAGCCAAATGAAGAGAAGGCGTAGAGGAGGAGGGATCGAGCAGTCATATCACTATCACATGCTATCGTGGGTCAAGTAAAATAAAGATCATAAGTGTTACCGAAAGTTTCAAAGTACAGTGACATTGGCCAGGCGCGGTGGCTTATGTCTGTAATCCCAGCACTTTGGGAGGCCAAGGTGGGTGGATCACTTGAGGTTATGAGTTCAAGATCAGCCTGGCCCACATGGTGAAACCCTGACTCTACCAAAAAATATAAAAATTAGCCGGGCGTGGTGACGCATGTCTGTAGTCCCAGCTATGGGAGTCTGAGGTGGGAGAATTGCTTGAATCCAGGAGGCAGAAGTTGCAGTGAGCTGAGATCGAGCCATTGCACTCCAGCCTGGGCAACAGTGAGACCCTGTCCCCCAAAAAAAAGGCCGGGCGTAGTGGCTCATGCCTGTAATCCCAGCACTTTGGGAGGCCGAGGTAGGCGGATAACTTGAGGTGGGTTCAAGACTAGCCTGGCCAACGTGGTGAAACTCCATCTCTACTAAAAATACAAAAATTAGCTGGGTGTGGTGGCAGGTGCCTGTAATCCCAGCTACTCTGGAGGCTGAGACAGGAGAATCACTTGAACCGGGGAGGCAGAGTTTGCACTGAGCTGAGATCGTGCCACTATACTCCAGCCTGGACGACAAAGTGAGACTCTGTCTCAAAAAAAAAAAAAAAAAAAACAAAGGCTGGGTGCAGTGGCTCATGCCTGTAATTCCAACACTTTGAGATGCCAAGGCGGGAGGATCACTTGTGATCCGGGAGGAGTTCAGTTCAAGACCAGCCTGGCCAACATGGTGAAAACCCATCTCTACTAAAAATACAAAAATTAGTTGGGTGTGGTGGCATGAATCTGTAGTCCCAGCTACTCTGGAGGCTGAAGTAGGAGGATCACTTGAGCCTAGGAGGTGGTTCAGTGAACTGAGGTCACACCTGCACCCCAGCCTAGTGACAGAGCAAGACTCTGTCTCAAAAAAATCACCTACCACCCTCTTCATACAGGGGAACTTTCTTCTATTCTTTTTCTAGTCATTTTCATGAGAATCATGATCTTTATGTAAATTCGTATTGTATTTTTCACTTATGTTATTAAATATTCTATGAAAACATGAGTTTAATGACTAGGTAATACTCAGTTGTCTGGGTGTGCCCTAATATATTTAACCATTCCTCTATTATTGGGCATTGGGCCATTTCTGATTTTTTGTTATTATAAATAACATTGCAGTGAACAGCTCAGTGTTTTCCTATAAGGGGAAGTATAGGGTCAAAGAACGTGAACGCTTTTAGGTGAGACTTGAACTTGAGATCCCTGGGTTCTCCTGGACAGACCGACCAATCACAGCTTAACTGTGGGATTTTTCCATGTCTCCTCTCTCCCTGGGAAGGTTGAGAAGTCTCTCTGCCCTGCAGATCCCTATTCCTGCCTCCCCGCTGCAATTGCACGTCCCATTTCTCCTGGGCCAGTCAGAGTTTCATTGCCTCTCATGGGGCCTGCTGGCCACCCACTCAGTGGCTGCCCTTCTCCTTACCACCAGCCTTCGTCCCCTCACCTAGAGCATTCACAGGCGAGCAAGAGCCAGTCAGAGCTTCCCTCAGAGTAGGGGGTGTAGTGATAAATGAAATAGCCCTGCCTTCACTCATCTCACTGGGTCGATTAAGTGATGTGTGATGTACCTGAAAGCACTTCAGGAACTTAAGAGTCTCATGCTCTACCAACTGAGCTAGCCAGGTGCCCTTAAAGGGCTGTCCTAGTCTTAATTGTTTGTAAAGAAATAGGTAGCTGGGCATGGTGGCTCACACCTGTAATCTCAGCACTTTGGGAGGCTGAGGCGGGTGGATAACCTGAGCCCAGGAGTTCGAGACCAGCCTGGGCAACATGGCAAAACCCCGTCTCTACAAAAAATACAAAAATTTGCCAGGCGTGGTGGTGCACACCTGTGGTCCCAGCTACTCAGGAGGCTGAAGTGGGAGAATCACCTGATCCTAGGAAATCGAGGCTGCAGTGAGCTGTGATTGTGCCACTGCACTCTAGCCTGGGTGACAGGGAGATCTTGTCTTAAAAAAAAAAAAAGAAAAGAAAAAGGTATAAGTGGTGGTGTCCACATTGTAACCACAGAGCCCCTAAAGCAGGGCTGTTGACCTATGGTTGGCATCCTGGTCACAAGAGCTCTGTGTCAGATGTGTGAGGGGCTTGGGTGTAGTTGTCAAGCCTGGGAATGTGGCTGTTAGTATCGATTGGCCTCATGCCAAGCAGTGCCAAGCGCCACGTCTGCTCCCCAGATACCTGTGTTTGTATGTGTGTGTCATAGTCGGGAATCACTGAGACCAGGACCTCTGGGAGGCTGAACCCTGGGAGGGCAGAGCAGGAACAGGCCTTGGAGATGATCTAATTCTGACATTTTACTCAGTGAGGACACAGGTGGGGCAGCCAGAGAGGTACTCAGCTCTGAGTCAGGGCCCCATCCCTCAACTCCTCAGCCTGAGTCTTCCCAGGAACACAACAGGCAGCTGCTTCCCAGACCTTGCAGGGCTCCAGGTGGCCTTCCCCTCCTGCCGACTCCCTTGCCAGGTTTGCTGTAACTATTGCTCCTCCGAGCCTGGCTGAAATCATCTTCAGTCTGTTATCACCTTCAGTCTGTTCTCATCTTCAGTCTGTTCTCCACAGCAGCCTGAAAAGTCTTTGTAAAAATGCAGCTCTGTTCCTCCCCATCCTCTTCATAACCCCCTTGGCTCTCTGCTCCTCCCAGAATAAATACCCACATCCTCAGCTTACCCTTCAAGACGCTGAGTGACCTCTAGCCACAGCCCTTCTCTCTACCCACAGACAGCCCAGGTCCTCATTCCTTGGGCCTTTTCACATCACTGTTCCCATCACCCTGGAATCCCACTCAGCCTGCCTGGGCCAGAGGCTACGTAAGGTCCTCAGGAAAGCGTCTCCTGGCCACTCGCACCTGACTCATGTGCTCTGAGTGCCACACCTTGCTTGGCATTTGTCCTTCATAGCCCTGGTCATTGCTGGCTAATGTAGCCTGGCACATGGTGGTAGGTACTTGACAAATATTTGTTGAACAAGTGAATGAAACCAGCTGGCAGGGACCAGAAGGGCAGAGGGGCAGGGACAGTGTCCACAACCATAGCCCCTGTGGTCTTAGCTGAGAAGGGCTCTGGCTCGGTCTCTGGTGAGTCTCTCTGCTGGCCGGCAGAACCACCCTACCCTGGAAGCCCTCTCCATGTAGTGTGAGGGGTCTCAGGCCCATTCAGGCTTCAGTAGGAGAGATCTGGGTCTCTTCTGGGACCTGAGCAGGCCTTTCCTTTACCTCGTTGGCATCTCTCAGCATTTTATTTGGTTTTAAAAATGTCTCCCCCTTCCCCCGACCAACCCCAGATTATAAAGGTATCCCACGCTCACTGTGAAGAAATTGGATAACATAGGAAAATATAATTAAGAAAATCGAAATCACCTACAGCTCCACCCCTCAGAGAAAAGTACCCTTAACATTTGTGGCCATGTCTTTTCAGTTTTGTTTTTATGCATGTGTATGTGCTTTGACATTGCTGAGCTTCTCTTTGTGAAAACCACAGATTTTTCGCAGTCTTCAGTGGCTGCGGTCAGAGGTGGTCAGCACGTTAGTGCTCCCAGTGGAGAGGTGATGCAGGGATCTGGGTGCCCCTTTCTCCCTACTGCAGGTGGGTGGGTGGGCACACCCAAGGCCCCCTTCTGTGGCAGCTTTCCTATCCCTGGTGAAGAGTACCCTCCTGTCTCTGGTCTCTTCTCCAGGACATTCTCCAGCCCTGGAGGCTGTTCCTAGGGGGCTGCCTCTTGGGGCAATGGGAAGAATTGTGGAATGCGTGGGTGGCCTCCTGGCTGTCTTTTCTCTGGTTCCAGCACTCTCTGAACAAAACCAGCCCCAGGCCACTCCTGGGGATTGGCCTCAGGTGACTCTCTGGGCTGACTCTGGCCAGCTAGAAGGCCACCCGGGCTTCTCCTGTGTCCTTAAGAGGGTGGGGTGACCTGGATTGGCAAATAGTAAGCAGAGAACACGGCAGAGTTGCTGGCCTAGAAAACCAGGTCACTAGGTCAGCACTTGGATTAATGATTGATAAGAAAGGTTGGGAGAGAATCAGCCAGACCCATTCTCCCATGACATCCCTCACTTCTGATCCCAAAAGCACCTGCCACGGAGACGGGGCAACCTCTGTCTTGTATCCAGAGGCTGCCCCTTATTCCGTTGCAGTATGGGAGGAAGGAGGTGACAGCAACTGGGTCACCTGCATGTGGGGCGAGAAGGGGAGGAAGGTTTAGGCCCTTCTCCCTGAAAAAAGAAGCATGTGCCCAGAGTAGGGGGCTCCCTGCCGGTTCTCTCCCCACAATTGATGGTGAGGCAGGGAACTGGGAAGTTCTGTCTGTGGAGGTCCCTTGGGTTTCAGCAGGCTAGCACATTTCTAGGACTGGAATATCACCATACAATCCCTTAACACAAGCCATGGGTGATAATAATAGCAGCAGCCACTGTGGTCCTTATTTGTAGGACCCTTACTATCTACCTGGCACTGTTAAGCAGTTACTGCATCGTTATTTATTCCACACAGCAGCCTCTCAGGTTAGGTGGTAGTATTCCAGTTTTAATGTCTTCCCCAAGTCATAGGATGGGAGGGATGAGCCAGGGTGTGAACCCAGGCCTGACTGAAGCCGGTGGAATTCACTTCTTTGGAGTATTGCATCTCGATGGCAGTAATATATGAAAACTGATACAGTGGCAAGTGCTACAACTCAGAATAGTGTGGCTAAGGCTCATGTTTTTAGTATATTTATTCATCCAGCAAACGTATGTTGAGGACCCACTAAATGCCAGGCACCGTGCCAGGTGCTGGGACCTACCTCAGTAAGATACAGGGCATTCTCTGGGAAACTGATAACATGGTGAGGCCAGAGCAGTTAGCAGACATTGCAGTTTGGTGTAGTGATTGCAGATCTGGAGGGCCCGGGTCAGGGTTGTGGTGAGAAGGAACAGAATGGAGCTAGTCCAGGAGAGCTTCCCGGAAGAGGAGGTGCAGACAGGTCGCGAAGGAGAGAAGGTTTTAGCTAGTGGAGGGGATGGCATTCAAGGCAGGTGCCAGTTCAAGCCTCCATGCTCAGGGAGTGATGTGGGATCATGAGGCACATAGGCAGGCAGAGCAGGAGGATAGGCCTGGAGAGGGAGGCAGGGACGAGAGCCTGTGGCTGTCTTCAGCACACAGGAGTCATTTTCTGGCAGTAATGTCCAGAAGGGCTTTGACCAAGGTGTTCTTGACAGAAACAGCTGGGGACTGGCAGCCAGACAGAGGATTCAGAGGTGATGGCTCCAGACTGAGACTAAGGAGCCCCAGCTGGGCAAGGACATGCCAGCTCCTGGTCCAGTCTTACCCAGCACCATATATGAGGCACACAGTAGAGTGGCTAAGACTTGAGCCAACCTGCCTTGACTCAAATCCTGCTTCTCTAGTTACTGTGTGACCTTGAGCCAATTACTTTGCCTCTCTGTGCCATAATTTCCACGTCAGTTAAATGGAGATGATAATAGTACCTGCCTCTTAGGGTTGTTGTGAGGATTACATTTGCCAACATACACAGAGCATGGTGTGTAATAAGTCCTTGGAGAAGGGAAGCTAGTACTATTGTGATGGAGGTGGTGATCCAGCTTAGGCTCTGGTACAGTAAGAAGGTCCATCAGGCTGTACCATGTGGCAGATGGAGCCCATGGAGGATGGAGGCCCCTGGCACACTGACTGTCCCCACTCATCCCCTGGGTAGGGCAGAAGTGTTCCCACACCGTACAGCCTGCCAGTGGGCATCAGGGAAACACCTGAGTCACCACGAGGAGTACGAGGCACTTGGGGGTTGCCCAGCTGACCAGGAGCACAGAGGGCTGCCCTGAAAGTGAGCCCCTCCCTACTCCTAGCAGAGACGGGGAAGGGAGACAACTGGACTTGGTGGGAAGGACTGGGCCCCAGGTGGCTTAGTTGCTCTGGCCCCAGACCAGGTCTCTCTAGAGCTCTGGGCCATTTGGGTTAAGCTTCTAACTACCACTGCCCATGAAATTCACCTGCCAATGGGCAATGGATGGAGTCATGCCCCTCCCTGCACCTAAGTTCTCTGAAGGGCTGAGTTTCTTCTTGGGGCCAGACAGTGGGTATTGGAATGGGAGCATGGGGGCTGCATGTGCACTGCAGGCTTTGTGTGTGTGTGTGTGTGTGTGTGTGTGTGTGTGTGTGTGTGTGTGTACACACATACATATATGTCAGAATTGGAATAGTCCAGGGGTTTGTTTTGCAAGAAATCCTTTTATTTTTATTTTTTGAGATGGAGTCTTGCTCTGTTGCCAGGCTAGAGTGCAGTGGTGTGATTTTGGCTCACTGCAACCTCTGTCTCCCTAGTTCAAGCGATTCTCTTGCCTCAGCCTCCCAGGTAGCTGGGATTACAGGTGCGTGCCACCACACCCGGATAACCAGGGGTTTTGCCATGTTGGCCAGGGTAGTCTTGAACTCCTGACCTCAGGTGATCTGCCTGCCTCAGCCTCCCAAAGTGCTGGGATTATAGGTGTGAGCCCCCTTGCCCTTCCCCCATGCCCCATGCAAGAAATTATTTTGCTAGGGACTACTTTTTGGTGAGGGGCTACATTGCTGCATTCGTGCCCCCTCATTCTGGCTCAGGGCCCTTGTGTTGTCTGGGGGTCTGAAGCTCCAGCCTCTTAAGTGGGGCAAAGCTGTGACATGATCAGAGGGCTTCTGGCTCTGGCATAGTGCTGGGGCGTGGAGAGGGGAGATAGCCAACACTGGGAGCCAGACCAAAAAAAAAAAAAGCCAGGGTTTTTTGCCGGCATACAAATTAAACTTAGTGCCTGGCTGTATTGTGGTTGTTGTTGTTGTTTTGAGACAGAGTCTCCTCTGTCACCCAGGCTGGAGTGCAGTGGTGCGATCTCGGCCCACTGCAACCTCTGTCTCCCAGGTTCAGGCGATTCTCGTGCCTCAGCCACCCACGTAGCTGGGATTACAGGCGTGCGCCACCATGCCTGGCTAATTTTTGTATTTTTAGTAGAGATGGGGTTTCACCATGTTGGCCAGGCTGGTCTCGAACACCTGACCTCAAGTGATCCACCCACCTTGGCCTCCCAAAGTGCTGGGATTACAGGCATGAACCACCGCACCTGGACTTTTTTTTTTGTTTTTGAGACAGGGTCTCAATCTGTCCTCAGGCTGGAGTGCAGCAGTGCGATCTTGGCTCACTGAAACCTCTCCCCTCCGGGTTCAAGTGATTCTCGTGCCTCAGCCTCCGAGTAGCTGGGATTACAAATGTGCACCACCGCACCTATCTGATTTTTGTGTTTTTAGTAGAGACAGGGTTTTGCCATGTTGCCCAGGCTGGTCTCGAACTCCTAGCCTCATGTGATCTGCCTGCCTCAGCCTCTCAAAGTGCTGGGATTACAGGCATGAGCCATGCCCAGCCCAGCCTGTGCTATCTTTAGTGCCAGGGCTTAAGAAAGGAAGAGGAGAATAGGGTTCATTGCAGGAATTGTGGTGGGTGGGGTGGCAGCTACCTGAGAAAATCTAGACAGTGGGCCTAGGTCCAGTGGGTCAGGGGAGAGAGCCTAGGGGTCAAGGTTGCTCCTGGCTGGGCAAGCTGAGAACAGGGAGCAACCTTGGCTCAGGGTAGATGACAGACCTCAGCTGTAGATGGAGCAAGGAGGCCATATGAAAATGGCAGGCTTCTGGCAAAATGCAGGGATGGGCTGCAGCACAGCAGTTCAATCTAAATAGGAGCAGCCCAAGGGACGTGGGTAGGTTTTAGAACAGCCAGGCTACAGCTCCCCTTCCTCTTCACTGGTGTCCTTGAGAGGCCACAGTCAGAAGAGACAATTCCAGGCTAGGGAGAGATGTCAGCGTGGGAACTAGAGACCCTGGTCCCAAATTCAGAACTCTAGCCAGAGTCCAGAACTGCATCTGAGTCTAAGAGGCAACCACTTACTTACACCTCCCGAAACTGAGAACAGTTTTACCGGTTCTGGTGAAAAAAACCCACTACCAGCTCATATGTGGGAGTGGGAGCTGAGGCTCTGCTGAGTAACACGGCCCAGTGCACACAGCTGTCAGGGCCTGGCCCGGCTCGAGTCCTGCTGTGTCCGAAGCTCTGCCGTTTTCTGCTTCGTCCTCTAGCATGTTCTGAGATGCCCTGTTGGGATCCTCAGGCCTGTCACTTTTGTCATCTGCAAGGGGGGCCTATAAGGCCTTAATGGGGGCTGGCGAGGCTTGAGTGGGAGCGTGACGCATAGTGGGAGCTCAGTCAGCTCCCTCCCCTCCCTCCAGGATTTGGTCCTGACAGGGAGCTCCATCAGGTCTTCCCCAGGGTCACCAGAGGCTCAGATGCTGTGTTGTCAAGTATATATACCAGGCAGTATTGTAGCTTTTCCTCCTCTGTTACTGCCTGCTAAGCGGGGACCCCACATCTTCACGTCCTCCTCTTCCTGGCTCTCATCACCACAGCCTGGTGTGCATTGCCCCGTGTCCACTGACACCCACGCCACATGGGTCCAAAAACAGAGTGTGTTCTCATTGCCTCATCCCACTCACCCTGGGCTCTGCCGCCACTGCGCTGTGGCTCTCGGGGGTCCCACCATCTGACCCTTGTCACCCGTGCTGCTCCTTCTCTTGGGACTCATCCCTTCTGAGGCCTCCCGTGGCCCCTTCTCACCCTCCCCTACCTCCTCCATCTCCAGGCTTTCAATCTGGTGGAGCATAAAGAATCAGTGTTTCTGGTACTTGTTATTTGGATAATGGCACCTAATGCTAAATGACGAGTTAATGGGTGCAGCACACCAGCATCGCACATGTATATATAGGTAACTAACCTGCACATTGTGCACATGTACCCTAAAACTTAAAGTATAATAATAATAAAATAAATAAATAAATAAAATAAAATAAAATAAACTTTGAAAAAAAAGATTTCAGCTAAAATTAGTTTCCTCTCCATGCCGAGTCTGAATATATTATAAAAATAAAAGAATAATTGTCTTTCACACAATTAAAAAAAAAAAAAGCTGACTAATGCCACTACAGTCACACACTGCTGTTGGTAATTGCTAGGGTCCTTTTTCCAGTATTGTGGCCAACTTCCACCCCAGAACCCCACTCTACTCTTGAGCTAAGTGTCTTTATGTCTCCTATTTTAAATTAGGATTGCGTTCAGTTGCATGCAACAGAAATCCGGCAATCAGTGCCTGGTAAAACAAGTTTGATTTTTTCACCTAACAAGCAGTCTGGAGGCCGGCATTGCAGGGTGGGTCCAGCAGCTTTGGGAGGCCACAGTGGCCAGGTGCTTTCGGACTTTTCACCCACCCTCCTACCCTGTCTTCTGCTGCTCCGAAGGCAGCTGCTACACCTCTAGGCATAGTATTCCTGTTCCAGGCAGGAAGATGGGAGGGGCAGAAGTTTGTCTCTCTATTAGGAAATAATAGCTTTTTCGGAAGCTCCTCCTGGTAGATTTCTGTTCACATATTGCTGGTCAGAATTATGCCAATGAACACTGTAGCTGCAAGAGAGCTTGGGGAAATTGAGTGTTTAGGTAGGCACAGATTGCTGATCCAGAGAAGACTGAGACTCAGAAGGAAGGAGAATGGAGCTGGGGAGAAGTAGGAGTGACTGCCCCAGCTGCCACTTGGAGAAAGCCACGGGGTGAGCAGGACAGCACCTGTGAACATTTCCTGTGCTCTGGGTCTGGTGCTTCTCAAGTTTAACACCCAGGGGCGAGTGGTCAGGGACTGATCCTTGAGGAACTGATGTACATTAAACAAACTATCAAGTCCCTGCAATGCAGTGTAAATGAGTAAAGAGCCTGCAGGGGAGAAACTGCCACTAGTGGAGACCATGCGAGTGGGCAGCCGATTGCTTGGCTCTGGGGGTGGGTGCCAGAGGCATGCAGGTGCCCAAGGGCCAGGTCTGCCCAATTTTCAAGAGAAGCCAGAAAACCAAAATTTTTAAAGGTTTTTTCGTTCTAACTCTATTTTGAAAAAAGTTCGGTGTTACAGAGTAAGTTGCAGAGATTGTACAGAGTCCCCACATATCCTTTACCCAGCTCACATTAAATCTTACATAAAGGAACACTGGTACAATACTATTAACCAAAGTCAGTGTGTTGTTCAGACCTTACCAGTTTTTCTGCCACTGCCCCCTTTCTGCTTCGGGGATCTGGTCCAGGATCCCACATTCATTTAGTTGTGTCTCTGTGGTCTGCTCCTGTCTGTGAGGCTTCCTCAGTCACAAAGCTAGAGGTTTACGTGACCTTTTCCAGGTTTTCCCACTCTAATGATTTGGAAATCATACATCGGCATCTTGAGACATCTTTTGAGAAGTAAAGGGACTTGAGCTGATTGAATGTTGATCACTCCCTCTCATCTTCCACATTATTAAGTTTTGCCTTCTTATTTTATTATAATTTAAATTATTTTTAAGCCAGGCACAGTGGCTCATGCCTGTAATTCCAATACCTTGGTAGGCCAAGGTGGGCAGATTGCTTGAGCCCAGGAGTCCAAAACCAGCCGGGGCAACATAGCAAAACCTTATCCCTAAAAAAAAATACAGAAATTAGCTGGTGTGGTAGTGCACACCTGTGGTCCCAGCTACTTGGGTGGCTGAGGTGGGAGGATCCCTTGAGCACGGGAGATAAAGGCTGCAGTGAGCCATGATTGCGCCACTGCACTCCAGCCTAGGCGACAGAGTGAGACTGTCTCAAAAAACAATAACAACAACAACAAAAAAACCCATCAGAAAACAGCTAAGAGTTTTGTGGTGGTGTTTTATTTTAGGTTCAGGGTACAGATGCAGGTTTGTTATGTGGGTGAACTTGTGTCACAGGCGTTTATTATACAGATTATTTCATCACCCAGGTACTAAGACTAGTACCCGATAGTTATTTTTTCTGCTCCTCTCCTCCTCCCAGCCTCCACCCTCAAGTAGGCCCCGAGGTTATTGTTAAGTCCAAGCAAGGGAAGGCCTGGTGGAAATGAATGTGTAGCCTTAACATGTTTTGTACAAACTTGGCTGTACATTACAATCACCAGGACAATTAAAAAATAAGAAACCCAATGTCCAAGCTGCTCCCCAAACCAATCAAAGGAGAATCTCTGGGGATGGGACCAGGCATCTGTCTTTTTAAAAACTCCCCAGTGACTACAGTGTACAGCCGAGTTGGCAGGTCTAGAGCAGGGAGAGAGAGCAGAAGGAGTCTCTGATCACTCCAGGTTCTGGTTCTGATGAGTGGGTAGACAGGCAGGTGGGTTGCTAAAGTAAAGATTACTAGAGGACGAATGGGTTTGGGGAAAATGATGGGTTCTGTTTGGATAGATTGAGTTTGAGCTGTCGGTAAAATATCTGAGAGTTGGGGTCCCACAGATGCTTAACATCTTAAAGCAGATCTTTTCTTCTCCTGATCCTTCCACAAGGTCTGGTGCAGACATTTCCCCGCTGGGAGACTCTCCACAGTACCTCATGATCTTATCATCTCTGACTGTGGCATTTGTGGATAATGTTTTACTTGCTAAGGGTTGGAACTGTCTCCTCCTGGGTGATGTGGACGTGGCATCACCACCCAGTAAGTTGTCACCTTGGAAAGACTCCAGGATGGAGCACATCTTCCTTTTTCTGATGTCTCTGCTATTGAGGCCATGGTTGCAGATCTGCTGTCAACATGAGCCAAGAACAGCAGGGCTTTATGTCTTTTTTCCACACCCAACCACTGAAAGGATGGGACTCACCCCTTCAGGAACAGTAGCACAGCAGAGCCGTGATTCTTGGGCCTGAGTGCTGATAGGGACAGGGTCGGGGATGGGAGGCGTGATGCATATCTGGATCTCCAGGTGGGCTGGAGAGTTGGGAAAAGCCCCTCAAGTCATTCCAATGTGCTTCCTGGAGACTCAGAACAGAAGGCAGCAGAGGAGGCAGGGAAGGGTGGCACAGTGATGTGTCACCTCTCTAGTTTATGGAGCCTGCTCCGAACCCCACAAACCCACTACAAGAGCCAGGTGGGAAGGGTGATAGGGCAGGTGACTTGTGATACAAGGAGCAGAGACCATGGTATAGCACTGCAGGAACTAGGGAAGGAGCAGGAGCAGAAGAACCCCCTCCATGACAGCAGCCCCCAAGCGTGCCCCACTCGCACCATCCTCTTCCTTGTCACTGCCTCCCCTGACCTCTTCCTGTCTTCTCCTCTGCCCAGGCTGATGGGAACCACCCTGTAGAGGTCCATCTGCGTTCAGACCCAGACGATGCCAGAGCTATGACTGGGCCTGCAGGTGTGGCGCCGAGGGGAGATCAGCCATGGAGCAGCCACAGGAGGAAGCCCCTGAGGTCCGGGAAGAGGAGGAGAAAGAGGAAGTGGCAGAGGCAGAAGGAGCCCCAGAGCTCAATGGGGGACCACAGCATGCACTTCCTTCCAGCAGCTACACAGGTGAGGAGAGGACTGGCAGGGGACACGGGGCAGAGGAGGCACAGCCCAGTGCAGTGGGGATCCTGGCCCTCTGCAAACGCCATCATGTGGGGCGCAGAGTAGCAGAGTGCTGAAGGACTGGAGCCGGAAGCCTGGGTTCACGCCCAGTGCGGTGGGGATCTGCTCTGCCACTCACCAGCAGTGGGGCCTGGAGCAAGCTGCACCACTTCCTTCTGTAAAACAGGCCAAAGGATGGTAGGTGATGTGGATATGGGCTTTCGTGAGAATTAAATGAGTGGGCATCTGTAACACATGTCATCATCATTATTAGTATTCCCACCACTGTTAACACAAGGCATCTGAGACCAATCTCCACTAACAGCACACTAGAAAGATCAGCTGTACCTGGGATTGTTATGATCAGTCGAAACACACAGTTCAATTGGTCTGGTAATAATTATACACATCATCATTGAGCCGTATCATAATTAGATAAAAATGCTAAGCAGTTAGTATGAATAACTCAACTAATATTATTTTTATGCAGCCAAGCAGTTGTAGCTTCTCCTGTCTCACTTATTGGTTCCCCTTTATTTATCAGCAGTGCAGACAGTTTTCTCTAGTACCCTGTACTGTTCTGTCATCTTCATCATCATCATGTTATGTTTACCTTCAAAAGCACCCAGAATCCATGCAGCCCCTGGCTTTCCCTGCTGCAGTTCCCCCTGCTTTTTTGTTTTTGTGGTTTTTGAGACAAAGTCTCCTTCTGTTGCCCAGACTAGAGTGCAGTGGCACAGTCTCAGCTCACTGCAACCTCTGCCTCCTGGGTTCAAGTGATTCTCCTGCCTCAGCCTCCCGAGTAGCTGGGATTATAGGCGTGCACCACCACGCCCGGCTAATTTTTGTATTTTTTTAGTAAAGATGGGGTTTCACCATGTTGGCCAGGCTGGTCTCGAACCGCTGGGCTCAAGCAATCCACCCACCTCAGCCTCCCAAAGTGCTGGGATTACAAGCAGGAGCCACCGCGCCTGGCCTGATCCCTCTGCTTCTTGCTTTCTCCCACCACTTCTCTCCTTACCCAAGTGCTGCAGGCCTGCACATGCAGCTCATCCTCGCTCCTCCCCTTAGAGGGAACTCAGGGTCATAAGGATATACTGCTGGGAGTAGACACCCTGCACTCGCTGCTGCTTTCAGCTGCAGGAGATCCTAGCCACAGGCGGTGACTCAGGCAGAGGAGCAAGCCCACCCCGCAGAAATGGGCTCTGGACCCCTGTGACTGCATGGAGCAGGAGGAGGCAGTTAGTGTCCAAGCTAAGGCAGGGTGAAGGCTGTGGAGGTAGCGCAGGCTCCTGTTTGGGTCTGCAGCTAAGATGGGTCTGAATCCTGGAGCCACACCACCTTGAACCTGCAAAGCAAGTCCCAGAATTTTGCAGAAGTTCTTCCTCTTCAGTGTATAGAGTTGGGTGGAGGGAGTATAGAGCCATCATTCAGTCCTTCTCATCTCACCCAGGATCACCTGGGAGTGACCAAAGTAGGCCAAATGTGATTCTAGGGCCAAAGTGAAGGTGTCCGCCATTCCCCGAGTAAGCAACTTCCTGTCTATTGGCTGGTAACTGGGATGGCTTTGGAGACACAGCCTGTCTCAGAAGAGAGGAACAGCTAACCAGGAGTGATAATTCACTCAGTGCCAGTAGCACATACTGTTCTAAATCTGAAGAAGGTAGGGAGGGTTAGAAAGCAAAGGGAAGACAGTGGGGACTAAGAATGAGTGTGGGATGTCATGAGGATTCAGGGGAGAATGCAAGGAGAAGAGACGGCCACAGGGTTTGTGGCTATGCCGCCTGCCGTGGCCCACCTCATCCCCACATCTGAGCCCAGGCAGATGGAAGTCCCCTGCAGAGCAGTGTTCTGTCCTGGAGTTTCCTCCACACCCCTTCTTGGGACCAGGGCTGTTTCCCAAATAGCATCACTGTTCCCGTGCAGGCCAGGTGAGGTGCCTGGGAGCAGGGGTAGGGTGAGGCAGGCATGGCGGTGACCTCTCAGGCAGCTTCGTTGTGGGATTTAGGGCACAGCGGGAAACGTCCAGGGCAGAGGTTGCCTCACCAGTCACATGGTACTATGTAGGCGGTGGTGTTTAATAGATTCTGTTTATCAATAAGTGGATGAAGTGGAGATAGACTTCCTTGTTCAGTCATTGAAACAGGAGAGAGGGTTACTTGACATAATCACTTTGTGTTAAAGCTGTAGTGTATGAAAAGTTCCCAAAAATTCTACAAGACAAGCAACCTAGCAGGAAAATCAGAACAGGTAACAGTAAGACAAATACGAATGGCCTGAAATCCCGACAGGTTTTTCAGTCTAACCAACTCAAAGAAAGCACCTTAAGTTGCAATGCCATTTCACCTGTCAGATGGGTGGGGAGGACTTGGTCCTCCCACCACCAGGGGTGAAAGGGTAGTGTGGGCCAACACTTCTTAATGTGTGATTCTTTTTTTTTTTTTTTGAGACAGAGCCTGGCTCTGTCGCTCAGGCTGGAGTGCAGTGGCACACGATCTCAACTCACTGAAACCTCTGCCTCCCGGGCTCAAGCGATTCTCCTGCCTCAGCCTCCCAAGTAGCTGGAATTACAGGCGTGCACCACCGTGCCTGGCTAATTTTTGTATTTTTAGTAGAGATGGGGTTCCACTGTGTTGGCCAGGCTAGTCACGAACTCCTCAGGTGATCCTCCCGCCTCGGCCTCCCAAAGTGTTGGGATTTCAGGTGTGAGCCACCACACCTGGCCAAGTGTGCATTTCTTTTACCCTGCATTCCCACTTCTAGGAACGTGTCCTGTGTAAGTACTTGCTCAGCATGCTCAGAGATTCCCATGCCAGCTTATTTACTGCAGGACTGCTCATAAGAGCAAAAATAGGAACGTGCCCATCTGTGGGGAACTGGTTATGTAAACTGTGGTAGAGCCATATGGTGGAATACTCTGGAGTCATTGAAAAGGATAAGGCTGGTTTATATATATATTAAATAAGTTCCTGACAAGTTGGGGATCCCATTGTTTAAAATCCTTATGTTTCATAGAAGGCACCGGAAGAGTCTATACCGAAGGACTCAGGGGCTAACTCTGAGGAGCAGGATCATGGTTAAGGAGGCTGTGTCATAAGATCCTGCATACCCTTCTGTGTTTTTCTCAACAAGTCTGCACTACTTCCATAATTTGAAAGGCAACTGTACTTTTTTTAAGGGTAAAATTAACTGTTTAAAAGGGGGGTGAGGATCTGGCAGGTGAGGGGCCCTGGAGACAGAGCCTGATCATGTGTCCAGAGCAGAAGGGCTTGGAGATCACAGAGACCAGGGCAGGCATCCCAGGTCTGTCACTGTGAGCTGTAGCCCTCGCCAGTGCCATCACTTCTCCAAGTCTCATTCTCTTCACCTTTATAGGCTGTGTCCTACCCAGCCTGAGGGCCAGCCAGGTGAGAGTCAGTGGGGGTATGTGACACATCGCAGGTCTCAGCACCTGCTAGTTCTCTGCCCCATCCCCATGAGTTATTACTTTGGCCTCGGGAGTCCCCTGAGGGACCCATAAGGACAGCGCACAGCTTTGAGCCCTGAAACAGCAGGAAGGCTCCACAGTCACCCCTGACCACCCTCCTCAGCAGTTCAGCACTGACTCTCAGTGCAGATATTGAGCTCAACACCTGCCATGCACCTTCTCACCCTCCCCCCAGCCAGGCAGGACAGACCTTCCCATCAACAAGGAAACTGAGGTTACCAGAAACCCACTTGCCAGGGTCCCCTGGGCGTGTAGGAGTAGAGACAGCTAGAGCCAGGATTCACCTCCCATTCCCATTCTCATCCCTCCTGCTTCAGTGACATCCATCCCAATCACCCTTGAGAAAGAGGAAGATAAAGTGTCCTTCCTCCTGGCCTCAGCACCTCCTCACTTGGCAAGCACTTGGTGGGCATCAGGCTGGGCCCAGCACTGTGCCCAGGGCTGGCCATACAGTGGTGGACAAGGCTGAGTGCCTGTCCCAAGGAGCCCACAGTTCAGGCAAACAGGACAGCAGAAGTAAAGAGGCTGCTCAGTAACCCAGCCTCAAATCCCTGCAGAATTTGGCCTGACTTCAGAAGCTGCTGGGTGCTTGTTTGCCTGTGAGCTCTGCCAGCAAAGTAAATAGACCAATCGGGCGCCTCCTGGCTGTCTTCACAGCCATGACAACGGCATTCTCCCAGCATTGGAGGCTAGATATGCAGGAGAGCTCTCAGCCACAAATGATGTGAATAAGGTCAATAGTGTCTATTTGCTGAACTTGTCATCAAAGATGGTGAAACTGATACTTTACTCTCTGGGTGAGAGGGCTAGTGTTTACACTGAATCCAAACATTTGGATAATGACATGGTGCCTCCTCAGCAGTGACTGTGTCTTCTTGTTCATCATAATAATGTTATTGATTAGCGGTACTGAACATGTAGGTATGCGTAGTAGTGAGATGCCGAGGTTAAGAGCTCAGCTCCAGGAATTGCATGGTTCTAGGTTATAATTCTTGCTCTGTCACTGTATTAGTCAGGGTTCTCCAGAGAAGGAGAACCTGTGTGTGTGTGTGTGTGTGTGTGTTGAAAGAAAGAGATGTGTTTTAACGAATTGGTTCACACAGTTGTTGGAGTGGCAAGTCCAAATTTTGAAAGGCAGGCAGGCTGGAGAGCCGGGGAAGTTGATGTTGCAGCTCAAGTCCAAAGGCAGCCTGGAGGCAGAATTTCCTGTTCCACAGTGGGGCCACGGTAGGCACTCAGTCTTTTTTCTTAAGGCCTTCAGTTGTTGGATGAGGGCCACTCACATTATGGAGGGTAATCTGCTTTACTCAAAGTCTTCTGATTTAAATGTTAATTGCATCTAAAAAATATCTTCTTAGTGGCCGGGCACAGTGGCTCATGCCTGTAATCCCAGCACTTTGGGAGGCCAAGGTGGGTGGATCACCTGAGGTCAGGAATTCAAGACCAGCCCAGCCAACATGGTGAAACCCCATCTCTACTAAAAATACCAAAAAAAACTAGCTGGGCGCCTGTAATCCCAGCTACTCGGGGGGCTGAGGCAGGAGAATCGCTTGAACCCGGGAGGCAGAAGTTGCAGTGAGCTGAGATCGCGCCATTGCACTCCAGCCTGGGGAACAAAAGCGAGACTTCATCTCAAAAAAAAAAAAAAAAAAAAAAAAAAAAAAAAAAAACACCTTCTTAGCACATTGTTTGGTCAAACAACTGGGCACCGTGGCCTAATCAAGTTGATATGTAAGACCAACATAGCCGCTGCCAGCAAGTTACTAACACTTCTGAGCCTTGGAGCCTCGGCTTCCTTGCCTGTAAAGTGGGGGTAAGAAGACCATCTTGAAAGGTTGTTTTGAGGTTTTACGTGAGATGAAATGGGTGTCCAATGGAGTGCCTTTAGCAGGACACCTGCTTACCCCCACCTCTACCCAGGACATCATGATGCGGGGGAAGTGGTGGAACCTTCAGAACCCAGCCCCTAGTATGAGAAGAATTCTGCCATCACCTTTCTTTCAGCAGAGAGGGAAGCAGTCCCCTTCCGTGACAGTCACATGCGTGAGTGATGGCTCCTTCCAATATCCTGCACTTCTTACTGCCCCTTACCTGGCGTTGCTCCACTCTGTCTCATGTTCTAGTTTTCTTATCTCTTTCTCTTTTTTTTTCTATTTTATTTTTTTCCTGTAGGCACAAGTGAGTTACAGTAGGTTAAGTTACACCTTACCTTTCCTTGTTTTTCTTGTTTATTTATTTGTTTATTTATTTTTTTGAGACAAGGTCTTGTTCTGTCACCACAGGCTGGAGTACAGTGGTGCAATCACAGCTCACTGCAACCTGGACCTCCCAGGCTCAAGTCATCTTCCCACATTCAGGCAATCCTCCCACCTCAGCCTCCCAAGTATCTGGGACTACAGGCATGTGCCACCACACCCAGCTAGTTTTTAAAATTTTTTATAGAGATAGAGACAGGGTCTCACTATGTTGCCCAGGCTGGTCTCAAACTCCTGGGCTCAAGTGATCCTCCCGCCTCAGCCTCCCAAAGTGTTGGGATCACAGGTGTGAGCCACTGCACCTGGCCTTTTGTTTTTTTTAAGTAGAGACAGTCTTGCTTTATCACCCAGGCTGGTATACGATGGCACAATCACAGCTCTCCTAGGCTCAAGGATTTTCCTGCCTCAGCCTCCTCAGTAGCTGGCACTATAGGCAGGTGCCACGACACCCAACTATTTTTTTTTTTTTACTTTTTATAGAGACAGGGTCTCACTATGTTGCTCCTGGCCTCAGGTAATCCTCCTGCCTTGGCCTCCCAAAGTACTGCGATTACTGGCGTGAGCCACCACACTCAGCCGAGTGCAATGGCGCGATCTCAGCTCACTGCAGCCTCCGCCCCCCTGCCCCCGGGTTCAAGTGATTCTCCTTCCTTAGCCTCCCGAGTAGCTGGGACTACAGGCATGTGCCACCACGCCCAGCTAATTTTTGTATTTTTAGTAGAGATGGGGTTTCACCATGTTGGCCAGGATGGTTTCAATCTCTTGACCTCGTGATCCGCCCGCGTCGGCCTCCCAAAGTGCTGGGATTACAGGCGTGAGCCACCACACCCAGCCCTGCTGTTACCTCTTTCTTACCTCAGCTATTTGAGGATAGAGTCTAGGTCCTGTCCTGCATATAGAAGGTGCTTATCATGTGTCTTTTGAGTGAACACAGAGGGTGACATTGTCACGTGCAGTGCCAACAGAAACCAAATGACTAGACACCTGCTGACCTTCCATGGCCACAGGGAGGATGAGAAAGGCACCTCCAGGAGGTGTGAATAATCTGAGGGTATTGGCCACTGTGGACAAGACTCGGTGGTGGAAGTGAGCTCAGAGATCCAAAGGGAACGTGAGTAGAGACATGCAGAGTCTCGCAGAGGAAGCAGACGTGCAGGCCACAAAGACAAAATTACAAGAAATGCCCCAACACGAGCATATGCTCACGGACTGCACAGATTCAAGGAGGAAGTGCCAGAAACCCTGCCTGCCCCAGCATCTGCACAGGCATCCACAAAGGGTTTCTGTCATGTTATCTCTTTTTCTTCCAACATCCGGTGCTGTGAGTTTTATTGTCCCTGTTATAAATGCCTCCAGGAGTGGCAGGTCCTGCCCAGCCCCATCAGCCAGTTGGTGCTGCAGTCAGGACACCCAGGCAGCCTGAGGACTGCCAGATGTGCAGAGAGCTATCGCGTGCCTGCTGCGTGCCCAGCACCTCACACAGCTCTCAGTGTCTGACCACGCTGGTGCCCTGGTGGACAAAGTTCCTGCCCTTGTGGCCCTTTTGTCTAGTGGGTGGCTTCCAACAATGAACACACACAGGATATGTCAGGCGGTGACAAAGGCTACTGAGAAGACCAAAGCGGCTTCACCCTCCCAGAGCACAGCTTTTCCCTCCCAGGCCCGAGAGATGTAGGGAGCCCACTGTCCCAGTCTGGGTCAAGAGGAACAGTTACAACACCTTGGAATGACTGAAGTTGGGAGCTAAGGTGCCAGGACAAGACAGGCCATTTTAGGAACCAGAGACTTGTGTTACCCCTAAACCTCACCAGCCAGGAGGGGAGCAGCCCACTGGGTCCTCTCTGCCACAGTTGGGTGCTTCTTGTGCTCCCCCTCCTGTGGTCAGGATAGGGGAAGCAGGCTTTCCTGCTGCCACTCCTAGGACCCAAGGGGAAGCTGGGGGAGTGGGGAGACCATGTGGGAAGGATGGAGTGCACTTTGATTGGTAGCAGGTGGATAGGTACTCCCATGGTGGGGAAATCAAAGTTGCTTGGCCTGTGTAGTAGACAGGTATTACCACAGGCCTGGAAAACATTAGCCTGGGTTTATCTCTGTGGCTTCGGTCCCCCAACATCCCCTTCTACTCAAAATGGCTGATTCTCTGGTTTGGAGGTTTGGCACCTGCTTTTGGGGAGGTTGCTCAGTCATTAGAGAAGAGTGCAGAGGTTGGACGGTCATCATGGCAGAGGTAGGACAGCTGGTATGTGGGGCCATGAAACCAGCTTTGGGCTAGGAGTCAGGAAGCTGAGACTCAGTTCAGGTCCCCTTTCCAAGATGAAGAGATCATTTCCGAGTGTCCAAAGGGCACTGGGAAGAGAATCCTAGCAGTTCTTATGAAATCATCTGACAGCAGATATATCCTGAAGTCATAGCCTTAGCAAACTGCCTTTCTCGCCAACACACTCAACACCCCGTGGTTCAAACATCTATACGTCTGATAGAAAAACTTGGAGAAATTCAGTGTGTTGCTTAATCAATATGACTGATACCTAAGCTGTTCTACTCAAGAAGTTTTCATGGGAATGAACTTGAGCTTCTTGAAGAGATTGTTTACAGCATCCCTGGAGTCTATGCAAGAATAGAACTTCCTGTGGGGGATGGTGGGGAGGCTAGCTCTGCAGAGGTCTACAGTCCTGCAGTTTCTGCAAAACACGTTGCACACATCTCCATATGGGCCACACGGTGGCAACCTCTGAACCAGGAGAGCTGCTTCCTAAGGGCTAAGACCCTCTGTCTGCTTTCTCTCTCTTGCTTTCCTCCCAAAACACAGCCATCCTCCTCCCCACTGCTACCCCATGGTGAGTTCAGCCCAGGAAGCCTCTGACCCAGCCCTGATGGTAATAGCTGCTGTGTACTGGACATCTTCTGTATGTTAGGCTCTGGGAGAAATGCTGTGGAGACTTTTTGCCCATCCTCCCAGAGAAGCTGTCAGTACCCCCTGTTCTAGGTGAAGAAACTGGTCCTCAGAAAGGTTGACTCCCTGAGGCCACACAGCTGTTAAGTGGCTGAGGCGAGGGCTGTGGGGCTGTTCCCACGCCCTGGCTTCCAGGCCTGGCAGCATGTGGAGCTGCCCCTCCATCGTGTGTCCGCAGACCTCTCCCGGAGCTCCTCGCCACCCTCACTGCTGGACCAACTGCAGATGGGCTGTGACGGGGCCTCATGCGGCAGCCTCAACATGGAGTGCCGGGTGTGCGGGGACAAGGCATCGGGCTTCCACTACGGTGTTCATGCATGTGAGGGGTGCAAGGTACGGACTGGGGGGAGCGGTGGCTGGCCACTGAGGCTGTGGTCACATGGTGAATTGACCCTCCACAAAGCTTTCCTTGCCTTGGGGTGGGGCCCTGACTGTACCTATTGCAGAATTCCTGCCCAGGAGGCAGCCAGGCCCTTGTGCTCCAGACCTCAGCTCTGGGCACTGCAGGAGAAGAGGGGGTTCCCTTGTCAAGCCTACCCTGCTGGGCACCTGTGTTGACCCAGCTCTGTGGGTGATTGTGTCCCCCTGGGGACCAGGCAGCTAGGGCAGAATGAGGGTCTTGGGCTGAGCCATCGTCTTACCTGAGGTCTGGGTTTCTTGTTTCTCAAGGCTCAAAGCGGGCTCTGAGAAAAAAGGACAGACATTTGTTTTTCCAGTGATATTTGTGGGTCCTTCCTAACTTCACACCCATCAAAATCTCACAGATTATTTTATTGAATCACCACCTCACAAATACACAGAACCAGATACATTTATGAAGAAATCAAGTTAGCCGTGAGACAATCTTATGTTACCAAACTAACAAAGAAGCTTTTTTTTTTTTTTTTTTTTTTTTTGAGATGGAATCTCGATCTGTCGCCCAGGCTGGAGTGCAGTGGCGTGATCTCAGTTAACTGCAACCTCCACCTCCCGGGTTCAGGAGATTCTCCTGCCTGAGCCTCCAGAGTAGCTGGGATTACAGGTACATGCCACCATGCCTGGCTAATTTTTGTATTTTTAGTAGAGATGGGGTTTCACCACATTGGCCAGGCTGGTCTCGAACTCCTGACCTCAGGTGATCCACCTGCCTTGGCCTCCCAAAGTGCTAGGATTACAGGTGTGAACCACTGTGCCTGACCCAATTTTTGTAGTTTTAATAGGGACGGGGTTTCACCATGTTGGCTAGGCTGGTCTTGAACTCCTGACCTCAGGTGATCCACCCACCTCGGCCTCCCAAAGTGCTGGGATTACAGGCGTGAGCCACTGTGTCCAGCCCCAACAAAGAAGCTTTAGGACTTCTTTAGACATTTAAAATAGTTGTGTTTTTTTTTTGTTTTGTTTTGTTTTATTTTGTTTTGTTTTGTTTTGAGATGGAGTTTCACTCTTGTTGTCCAGGCTGGAGTGTAATGGCGCGATCTTGGCTGACTGCAACCTCCACCTCCCGGGTTCAAGCGATTCCCCTGCCTCAGCCTCCTGAGTAGCTGGGATTACAGGGGTGTGCCACTACACCCAGCTAATTTTTCTGTATTTTTAGTAGAGACGGGGTTTCACCATGTTGGCCAGGCTGGTCTCAAACTCCTGACCTCAGGTGATCCGCCCACCTCGGCCTCTCAAAGTGCTGGGATTACAGGCGTGAGCCACTGTGCCTGAACTAAAATAGTTTTAATTAAAGTTTTAGAATTACTTTCCTTCTCCATCTCCCCTCCAAAAAAATTTCTTCTCGTTACTTCCAAATGTCAGGAGTGTTTACACCTTATACATAATCGGGCCCTTTGGCACAGCCTCCCTCCCACCTCCTGGTGGCCTTTCCTCACCTGTTCTTGGTGCTTCAGGGCTTCTTCCGTCGTACGATCCGCATGAAGCTGGAGTACGAGAAGTGTGAGCGCAGCTGCAAGATTCAGAAGAAGAACCGCAACAAGTGCCAGTACTGCCGCTTCCAGAAGTGCCTGGCACTGGGCATGTCACACAACGGTGAGAGCTGACCAGGGCAACTCACGGGCTGCTGGCTCCACACAGCCTGAAACCAAGGTCCAGGGAGCCCTTGGGGCAGCCTAGAGGGGGCACCTGTAGAGCAGTGCCTGGCGCACAGTAAGCACCATGGCTGTTGGCTGTTGGCTTTGCTGATCTGGACCTTGGATCTTAGAGCCTAAGACCTGCCACTTCCTCAGACTGCCAGCATCTACCATGGGTCCCAGGCGTGGGGTAGTGTTTACCTCCCTATACCTGAGGTTTACGCATTCTGGCCCAGAAGGGAACTGATAATTGATACCAGCTTGAACAATTTGGGGAACACCAGTCCCAGAAACTCAAGCCTGTCTCAGATGACCTGACACAGCATGAAAGCTACTGCCAAGGCCAGGTGGCCCTTCTTGGTTATAGAAGGCAGGCAGTAACCAGTAAGTAACCACATTTGTCAACTGCCAGGAGCCAGGCAGAAGTTTCTTGGAGGTCACCCACTCCCAGGAGACAGAGCCTTCTCTGCCCTGTGCTCCAGGCCTCCTGCAGAGCCTTGTCTTCGGACCCCAGGGTAGGATATTGCAAAGCCCACCTGTCCCCTCAGTACCTCTCTGAGTAAGACCCCTAGAGGACAGGGGAGAGCCTCTTGTGATCTCTACAGGCAGGTTAGCTGCTTGGCCAGCTTTTACCCAGGGATGCCCTAACTGCCTTGCATCTTAGAGGGTAGCAGTACCTGAGCCCTCCATTTGCGGCTCTCCTGGGTAATGGGGTCTGGCAGGTCTGGGTTTGACTCCTTTCTTAGGAAATCTCGGAACTGACTGAATCCCTCTCCTTACGCTAACTCCAGGAGAAGTCGAATTCGTATCCTACTCAATTACTAATGACAACAATTTTTGAGTGCTTACTATGTGAGGATTCTTATTTAATTGATCTAATAACTCAGTAAGTTTTAAAAAGTATTAGCCTCATTTTTCTGATTAAAAAAGAAAAGTGGCCAGGTGCAGTGGCTCACACCTGTAATCCCATCACTTTGGGAGGCCAAGGTAGGAGGATTGCTTGAGTCCAGGAGTTTAAGACCAGCCTGAGCAACATAGTGAGACCTCATCTCTACAAAAAAAAAAAAAAAAAAAAAAAAAATTTAGCCAGGCTTGGTGGCGTGCACCTGTAGTCCCAGCTACTCAGAAGGCTGAGGCGGGAGGATCACTTTAGCCCAGGAGGTCAAGGCTGCAGTGAGCCATGATTGTGCCACTGTACTCCAGCCTGGATGAGAGTGAGACCCTGTCTCAAAACAAAAAAAGAAAAAGGCTGGGCATGGTGGCACATGCCTATAATCCTAGCACTTTGGGAGGCCAAGGCGAGTGGATCACCTGAGGTCAGCAGTTCAAGACCAGCCTGGCCAAGATGGTGAAACTCTGTCTCTACTAAAAAAAAAATACAAAAATTAGCCAGGCATGGTGGTGGGCGCCTATAATCCCAGCTACTCGGGAGGCTGAGACAGAGAATTGCTTGAACCCGGGAGGCAGAGGTTGCAGTGAGCCGAGATCGTGCCACTGCACTCCAGCCTGGGAGACAGAGCGAGACTCTGTCTCAAAAAAAAAAAAAGAAAAGAAAAAGAAAAGTGAAGGAGTCTGCCCCAAGTCACAAAGCTAGTAAACTGCTGAGCTGGAACTCAAGCCCAGGCCTTTGTCACCAAAGTCTGTCTTACCCCAGCTAGCGTAGCTCAGTCACTCAGTAAGTTAGAGTCCTTGTGTGCTGGGCACTGTGAACAAAACAGACAAAATCACTGCTCTTGCAAAGATACACCAAAAAAAAAAAAAAATCACATCTTGTGGAGCTTGCGATCTGGAGGGGCCACCCCATCATTCCTACCTTGCTGACTCTAGAGCTTCTGGGGGCCTTAGGCTCCAAAAGGATTTGGCCCATGCACCTGTAAAGGGATGGGGATGTCAGAGGTGCTGGGGCCTGCCTGGGCTCCTTGCTGACTGCCCCCTTCCCTGTGCAGCTATCCGTTTTGGTCGGATGCCGGAGGCTGAGAAGAGGAAGCTGGTGGCAGGGCTGACTGCAAACGAGGGGAGCCAGTACAACCCACAGGTGGCCGACCTGAAGGCCTTCTCCAAGCACATCTACAATGCCTACCTGAAAAACTTCAACATGACCAAAAAGAAGGCCCGCAGCATCCTCACCGGCAAAGCCAGCCACACGGCGGTGAGTGTTGCTGCTGCTTGGCCTGGCAGCATCCTGGGCTCTGGGTCCCACTGCCGCCTGCCTGACTCCGGGAGAGCCAGGCCTTCTCCCTCCCTCAACTTCATGGTGCAGGCAAGGGACATGGGGAGCACAGGGTGGGGGTCTCCCGAGGCCTGATCTCTAACGGGGCCTGGTTTTCAGCCCTTTGTGATCCACGACATCGAGACATTGTGGCAGGCAGAGAAGGGGCTGGTGTGGAAGCAGTTGGTGAATGGCCTGCCTCCCTACAAGGAGATCAGCGTGCACGTCTTCTACCGCTGCCAGTGCACCACAGTGGAGACCGTGCGGGAGCTCACTGAGTTCGCCAAGAGCATCCCCAGCTTCAGCAGCCTCTTCCTCAACGACCAGGTTACCCTTCTCAAGTATGGCGTGCACGAGGCCATCTTCGCCATGCTGGCCTCTATCGTCAACAAGGACGGGCTGCTGGTAGCCAACGGCAGTGGCTTTGTCACCCGTGAGTTCCTGCGCAGCCTCCGCAAACCCTTCAGTGATATCATTGAGCCTAAGTTTGAATTTGCTGTCAAGTTCAACGCCCTGGAACTTGATGACAGTGACCTGGCCCTATTCATTGCGGCCATCATTCTGTGTGGAGGTGAGTGAGAGTGGGGCAGGTGGGCTGGCCTGGCACACCCAGTCGTCCTGGGGGTTGGCCCTCACTGCAGGGCACTGTGCCTGAGCTCTGACAGTGTGGGGAAGTGTCCCTGTGATCTTGGCAGTGGAACATGCAAGGCACTGACTGAGCATGCAGGATCAGCTCCATCTCATTATGTACGTAGATAGAGGTGGAGACAGGAAAAAGACTAAGCCAGACGTGGTGGCTCACACCTGTAATCCCAGCACTTTGGCAGGCCGAGGCGGGTGGATCACTTGAGGTCAGGAGTTCGAAACCAGCCTGGCCAACATGGTGAAACCCCGTCTCTACTAAAAATACAAAAAATTAGCCAGATGTGGTGGCACGCGCCTGTAATCCCAGCTACTTGGGAGGCTGAGCCAGGAGAATCGCTTGAACCCGAGAGGTGGAGGTTGCAGTGAGCCAAAATCCCACCACTGCACTCCAGCCTGGGTGACAGAGTGAGACCCTGTCTCAAAAAAAAGGAAAAGGACTAACAGGCAGTATGCTGTCATGTTAATGTGGGGTGGAAAAATTGTCTGCATTTTTTCTGCATTTTTAAAATTCCAACACAATAAATACAATAATAACTATGCTAACTAACAGTGGTCTAGAGCTTACTTCATGCCAGGCACTGTTCTTTTCATCGATGATGACTCACTTGATCCTCACAACAACCCTGTGCAGGAAGAATGTTTTGTGTCTCCATTTTACACATCAGAGAGGCTGAATGACCTGCCTATAGCCTCACAGGCAGACACAGGATTTGAATTAAGCATTGAGTCTCTTAACCACAATACTACGTTGCCTAATCGGGGGGGAGGTGGGGACAAATTGGCAAAAAACAAAAGAAGTGGATTAAGACCAGGGGTAGGGAGATTAGAACACCCAGTGGAGCATTGCTGATGGGACAGGGCTTGGTCTGTCACGGCCAAGGAGGCCTGCCGTCCCCTGGGCCAAGTCACCTCTTGGGGTGGAAGTAGGGGAGCTCCACTGCCTTTCTGAGCTCCCTGGCGTGCCCTGTGTCCCCACAGACCGGCCAGGCCTCATGAACGTTCCACGGGTGGAGGCTATCCAGGACACCATCCTGCGTGCCCTCGAATTCCACCTGCAGGCCAACCACCCTGATGCCCAGTACCTCTTCCCCAAGCTGCTGCAGAAGATGGCTGACCTGCGGCAACTGGTCACCGAGCACGCCCAGATGATGCAGCGGATCAAGAAGACCGAAACCGAGACCTCGCTGCACCCTCTGCTCCAGGAGATCTACAAGGACATGTACTAACGGCGGCACCCAGGCCTCCCTGCAGACTCCAATGGGGCCAGCACTGGAGGGGCCCACCCACATGACTTTTCCATTGACCAGCCCTTGAGCACCCGGCCTGGAGCAGCAGAGTCCCACGATCGCCCTCAGACACATGACACCCACGGCCTCTGGCTCCCTGTGCCCTCTCTCCCGCTTCCTCCAGCCAGCTCTCTTCCTGTCTTTGTTGTCTCCCTCTTTCTCAGTTCCTCTTTCTTTTCTAATTCCTGTTGCTCTGTTTCTTCCTTTCTGTAGGTTTCTCTCTTCCCTTCTCCCTTGCCCTCCCTTTCTCTCTCCACCCCCCACGTCTGTCCTCCTTTCTTATTCTGTGAGATGTTTTGTATTATTTCACCAGCAGCATAGAACAGGACCTCTGCTTTTGCACACCTTTTCCCCAGGAGCAGAAGAGAGTGGGGCCTGCCCTCTGCCCCATCATTGCACCTGCAGGCTTAGGTCCTCACTTCTGTCTCCTGTCTTCAGAGCAAAAGACTTGAGCCATCCAAAGAAACACTAAGCTCTCTGGGCCTGGGTTCCAGGGAAGGCTAAGCATGGCCTGGACTGACTGCAGCCCCCTATAGTCATGGGGTCCCTGCTGCAAAGGACAGTGGGCAGGAGGCCCCAGGCTGAGAGCCAGATGCCTCCCCAAGACTGTCATTGCCCCTCCGATGCTGAGGCCACCCACTGACCCAACTGATCCTGCTCCAGCAGCACACCTCAGCCCCACTGACACCCAGTGTCCTTCCATCTTCACACTGGTTTGCCAGGCCAATGTTGCTGATGGCCCCCTGCACTGGCCGCTGGACGGCACTCTCCCAGCTTGGAAGTAGGCAGGGTTCCCTCCAGGTGGGCCCCCACCTCACTGAAGAGGAGCAAGTCTCAAGAGAAGGAGGGGGGATTGGTGGTTGGAGGAAGCAGCACACCCAATTCTGCCCCTAGGACTCGGGGTCTGAGTCCTGGGGTCAGGCCAGGGAGAGCTCGGGGCAGGCCTTCCGCCAGCACTCCCACTGCCCCCCTGCCCAGTAGCAGCCGCCCACATTGTGTCAGCATCCAGGGCCAGGGCCTGGCCTCACATCCCCCTGCTCCTTTCTCTAGCTGGCTCCACGGGAGTTCAGGCCCCACTCCCCCTGAAGCTGCCCCTCCAGCACACACACATAAGCACTGAAATCACTTTACCTGCAGGCTCCATGCACCTCCCTTCCCTCCCTGAGGCAGGTGAGAACCCAGAGAGAGGGGCCTGCAGGTGAGCAGGCAGGGCTGGGCCAGGTCTCCGGGGAGGCAGGGGTCCTGCAGGTCCTGGTGGGTCAGCCCAGCACCTGCTCCCAGTGGGAGCTTCCCGGGATAAACTGAGCCTGTTCATTCTGATGTCCATTTGTCCCAATAGCTCTACTGCCCTCCCCTTCCCCTTTACTCAGCCCAGCTGGCCACCTAGAAGTCTCCCTGCACAGCCTCTAGTGTCCGGGGACCTTGTGGGACCAGTCCCACACCGCTGGTCCCTGCCCTCCCCTGCTCCCAGGTTGAGGTGCGCTCACCTCAGAGCAGGGCCAAAGCACAGCTGGGCATGCCATGTCTGAGCGGCGCAGAGCCCTCCAGGCCTGCAGGGGCAAGGGGCTGGCTGGAGTCTCAGAGCACAGAGGTAGGAGAACTGGGGTTCAAGCCCAGGCTTCCTGGGTCCTGCCTGGTCCTCCCTCCCAAGGAGCCATTCTGTGTGTGACTCTGGGTGGAAGTGCCCAGCCCCTGCCCCTACGGGCGCTGCAGCCTCCCTTCCATGCCCCAGGATCACTCTCTGCTGGCAGGATTCTTCCCGCTCCCCACCTACCCAGCTGATGGGGGTTGGGGTGCTTCCTTTCAGGCCAAGGCTATGAAGGGACAGCTGCTGGGACCCACCTCCCCCTCCCCGGCCACATGCCGCGTCCCTGCCCCGACCCGGGTCTGGTGCTGAGGATACAGCTCTTCTCAGTGTCTGAACAATCTCCAAAATTGAAATGTATATTTTTGCTAGGAGCCCCAGCTTCCTGTGTTTTTAATATAAATAGTGTACACAGACTGACGAAACTTTAAATAAATGGGAATTAAATATTTAAGAGCTGACTGGAAGCTGACTCAGTTACTTGCATGTTTTTCCTGGGGCTTACAGGGCTCCACGCCTCCTCCACATCCAGTACTGGAGGGCAAAGGAGGCTTTGGGCTCCAAAACCCTCCCCTGCCTCCACCTCGCTTTGCTCACCGCTTGTCAGTCAGGTGGACGACTATGCCATTTCCGCCCTGCAGAGAGAATTTGGGGTGTGAGGGGACAAAGGACTTGTGGTGCCCTGGCCTCACCTGGTGGAGCACTTGGGGTCTGGGGAAGGGGAAGGCCCCTGGAGGAGGCGGATGCAGGACTCAATAGATCAAAGCCAGTTTTTCATCACCACAAGAGATCACGGCTTTCCTCTCCTTTGCTGCCACCCAGCTCTCTCCTGTCTTTCCTGAGTGCCATCTCCCCAGCGGTCCAGTCGAGCCCAGCCCCCGGCAGCCATGGGTTTGTTTGCAGTGTGAGGCCAGGTCAGGGTGTGTAACAGAGTATGTGTTTAGTCAGGAAAAAACTACAGCTAAATATTTCCAAATGGGGAATGTACTGCAGGGAGTTGTTACAAAAGTATTGGAAGTACTGAAAGATCAATAGGGGGAAATAGGAGTCATCCAGAGATGACTAACTGCAGGAAGCCATTCTCACCTCCAGGGCTGAATGGGAAAATGGTATTCAGGGCCCACCGTTGCTACAACACACACTGACACTGCGGCGACCCAGGAGCCTGAAGTCACCAGTTGATTTGACTGTAGAACCAGACTGCTGGTGCCTGAGTTCACGCAGATGGTACATATGGGGCCACCAGAGTGCCCGAGGCCACCACCACTGCTGCCCCTGGAACCTCACTGCTTGAGTGCTGTAGCCCCATAACTCATAGCCTGGTCTCAGCTGCTTCTGCCAGAAGTGCTGTCAGAGTTTGGGGTTGGGGAAGCAAAGGATTCTTCCTTCTGCCTATCTTCCAGTCTGTTGCTTTTACCTCCCATTGGGGGAAAAAAATGCATGGTAGTCTAGGAAATGGAGTTTGTAGACTTCCAGCCCTTGCAGCATAGAGGAGCATGTGGAAGGGTGGGAACTGAACCAAGCGTCTGCAGGCAAACAACTAGCACAGCGTACAGGCACCAGCCCCAGTGTGAGGGATCCCAGAGGCCCACAGCTAAGGGATGGTCACTACAGCACTTGCCTCCTTGTTTTCTTTCTTTGCTGGTCATCTTGGCAGAGCAATCTGAATTGTCAGGTCCCATATGGTTCATCTCAGTCCAGAGAGTGACAGCCCCAGGGGAACAGGAGGAAAAGAGGAGAAGGAAGAAAAAAAGGGGTGCTTGGAACCAGGGCATCTCTGAAATTGGTAGCCTTTTTTATAATGGAATCCTCTGGTTTACTTGGTGTTATAAGTAAAATGTTTATTCAGAAACAGAATGCTTGTTCCTTGGAACTATAAGGAAAAATTAGCATTTAGACAAAAAGTTTTCTCAGCAAGGCAATTTTACTTTCTGCAGGAAGGGTGTTCCTCACAGATGGAACAATGGCGAGAGCACACACGAACAAAGGAGGGAAGCAATTTTTATCCTTTATGCAGCTTGTCCCTGCTACTGTGTCCTGTCTCCATTGGCTGAAGCCAGACCACACAATCTAAGCTAAACCTGACTGGCTAATAACTTAAAACTTTCCTAAATAGGTGAAGGCAAGGGAGAACAAAGGAAAAGAGGAAGTTGCTTGCAAAAGGACTTAGAAAAGTAATAACCAAATATCTGGTTAAAGTACAAGGACATAGAATGTACTAATTCCCTTATATCTAACAGCTACACAGGATAGGGCTTAACAAAGAGTTATTAGCACAAAACAAGGTGGCTTGAAGGAAGTTAGTCTTTAAAAGAAACTATTATTTCTAACACTTATGATTTATTTTTTAACAAGAAGGGAAACTTTGAAGAGGAACCTTTTTTACTTTCTACACTTGGTTTATTTTACTCACCTCCCTATTCTTTCCCACACTATCAAATGGGGAAAAAATAGTCAAAGACTGTGTGTGTCTCAGTTGTTAAAGGCCAGTCCTCTTCCCAGCACTGAAGAACCCAGTATACTAAATAACCAGTTCTCACTCAGTTCAGAGAGTCGAAGCTGTCTCAACCACTTTGCCTGGCTTCTGGTGCTGCAAAGAGCATCATATGACTCTGGCCCCCGTTGTTACTACCCTAATTGCTATTCCTTATTAAGCAGCTATTCATGCATTATACATACATCACCTCTAATCTTATAAGGTAAACATTATCACCTGTCATTTTACAGAGGAGGAAGCGCAATGAGAGATTAAGGGGTGTGCCTGTGGTCACAGCTAGGAAGAGGCATGGCCGGTATTCCATCCGCAGCCTTAGGATCTCTGCTTTTCAGCCAGGATCAAAACTTTGGGGAAAACAGTTGGTCACCTGGTCTCTTTTTAATAATGCTCAGGACAAATGAATCAAGCATTTAAACTAAAAAAAGAAGAAAGCAAACTTAGGAGACTTAGAAGATTCTCTTGGCAATAATTCTATAAACCTAAAAGTATTCTGAAATTAGAAGTTTATTAGAGAGATAGCCGGGCACGGTGGCTCACGCCTGTAATCCCAGCACTTTGGGAGGCCAAGGCGGGTGGATCATGAGGTCAGGGGATCGAGACCATCCTGGCTAACACGGTGAAACCCCATCTCCACTAAAAATACAAAAAATTAGCCAGGCATGGTGGTGGGCGCCTGTAATCCCAGCTATTCGGGAGGCTGAGGCAGGAGAATAGAGTGAACCCAGGAGGCGGAGCTTGCAGTGAGCCGAGATCGCACCACCGCACTCCAGCCTGGGCGACAGAGCGAGACTCCGTCTCAAAAAATAAAAATAAAATAAAAAATACATTAAAAAAAAAAAAAGAAATCAAGGTTGGGCGTGGTGGCTCACACCTGTAATCCCAGCACTTTGGGAGGGTGAGGCGGGTGGATCACCTGAGATCAGAAGTTTGAGGCCAGCCTGGCGAAACCCTGTCTCTACTAAAAACACAAAAAATTAGCCAGACGCAGTGGCACATGCCTGTGGTCCCAGCTGCTCCAGAGGCTGACACAGGAGAATCTCTTGAACCTGGGAGATGGAGGTTGCGGTAAGCTGAGATCGAGCCACTGCACTCCAGCGTGGGCGACAGAGCAAGACTTCGACTCAAAAAAAAAATCAAAACATAAGAAAGGAATAATTTGCTTTGTTTGTTTTTTTGTTTTGAGATGTAGTCTCGCTCTGTAGCCCAGGCTGGAGTGCAATGGCATGATCTCGGCTCACTACAAACTCTGCCTCCCAGGTTCAAGCAATTCTCCTGCCTCAGCCTCCCAAGTACCTGGGATTACAGGTGGCCGCCACCACGCCCGGCTAATTTTTGTATTTTTAGTAGAGATGGGGTTTCACCATGTTGGTCAGGCTGGTCTTGAACTCCTGACCTCAGGTTATCTGCCCGCCTCAGCCTCCCAAAGTGTTAGGGTTACAGGCGTGAGCCATTGCGCCCAGCCAATTTGCTTTTTTAAGAAAAAAAAAATTAAGAAATGCCTGGAACTTCTAAGAAAAAAAAAAAAACCTGAATGAGTTAAAAATTAGACACAGCTAGAGATTATTTTTTGCTCCTCAAGAAGGATCTGTAGAAATTTTCGGCCGGGCATGGTGGCTCACGTCTGTAATCCCAGCACTTTGAGAGGCCGAGGTGGGCGGTTCATGAGGTCAGGAGTTCGAGACCATCCTGGCCAACATGGTGAAACCCTGTTTCTACTAAAATACAAAAAATTAGGCAGGCGTGGTGGTGCACGCCTGTAGTCCCAGCCCCTTGGGAGGCTGAGGCAGGGGAATTGCTTGAACCCGGGAGGCGGAGGTTGCAGTGAGCCAAGGTCATGCCACTGTACTCCTGCCTGGTGACCGAGCAAGACTCCGTCTTAAAAAAAAAAAAAAAAAGAAAGAAAATTTCCAGAAAATAACACAGGGAAATCAAGATGTAGAAAATATGGAAAGAATATCAATAAAAATTCTCATACACTGCAGAAGGGAGAAGTTGTGCTGTACGATCAATTTGAAAAACAATTTGGCAAAATCTAGTCAAGTTGAAGGTGCACACACTCTGTTACCCTGCATTTTCCTATTAAAATGTGCCTGTGGATGCTACCGGGCACCACCCAGATCCCACCCCTCAGGACCCAGCTGCTGGGGGTATCGGCTGCTGAATTCAAAGCTGAGTTCCTCTCAGTGAATTGCCCTTACCAAAGGAAGCTGCCTCACCCAAGGATATGCACACGCCCTGCTCAGGGCAGCCTGTGTCCAACATGGGAGTACAAAGGCCAAGCCTTCTTGCCCGTTTTGGGACAACTGCAAAGACTGGCCCAGCTCCAGAGCTGAGGCTTCTCTTATAATTACATTGCAGCTTAACTTCAATGGTTAACTTAACTGGTTAGGGAGAATCCTCTGACCAATCCTGCTTCCTTCAGTTCCTTACAGGTGTTGTTCTAAAGAGCATTCCCCAGAAAGTGTTGTGCAAGTAAACTTCCAAATCTATTTCCTAGAGAAGCCATCCTGAGACAGTACCCTAGAGAGAAACCCATCAAATTACACCAAGACTTATATAAACGTTTACAGGAGCAATAGCAAACATTTGGAAACAATAAAAATGTTCATCAGGCTGGTGCAGTGGCTCATGCCTGTAATCTCAGCACTTTGGGAGGCCAAGGCAGGAGGATCACTTGGGGCCAGGAGTTCAAGACCAGCCTGGGCAACATAGTGAGACCCCCATCTCTCCAAAAAGTTTTGTTTTGTTTTGTTTTGTTTTGTTTTTGAGACGGAGTTTCACTCTTGTTTCCCAAGCTGGAGTGCAATGGCATGATCTCGGCTTACTGCAACCTCCATCTCCCAGGTTCAAGCAATTCTCCTGCCTTAGCCTCCCAAGTAGTTGATATAATCTCCCAAGAGATTATAGGCGTGCGCCACCACGCCTAGCTAATTTTTGGTATTTTTAGTAGAAACAGGTTTCACTATGTTAGCCAGGCTGGTCTCAAAATTCCTGACCTCAGGTGATACACCCACCTCAGCCTCCCAAAGTGCTGGGATTACAGGCATGAGCTACCATGCCCGGCCAAAACGTTTTTAAAAATTAGCCGGGCGTGGTGGTACATGCCTGTAGTCCCAGCTACTCGGGAGGCTGAGGGAGGAGGATCGCTTAAGCCCAGAAGTTTGAAGCTGCAGTGAGCTAAGATGGCACCACTGCGCTCCAGCCTGGGCATAGAGGGAGACACTGTTCCCCCAAAATATAAAGTATTAAAAACTTTTGCTACATACATTTAAAAATGTTCTGCCTGAAATAAAACACACCATAAGGAAGCAATTTTAAACCAACCATGTAAAAATGGCAAAACCTTTGGGCTAATTTCTTTATTATATAAAGAATAGTTATAGGCCGGGCATGGTGGCTCACGCCTGTAATCCCAGCACTTTGGGAGGCTGAGGCAGGTGGATCACCTGAGGCCAGCAGTTCGAGACCAGCCTGGACAACATGGTGAAACCCCACGTCTACTAAAAATACAAAAATTAGCTGGGCATGGTGGCGGGCACCTGTAATCCCAGCTACTCAGGAGGCTGAGGCAGGAGAATCACTTGAACCCGGGAGGCAGAGGTTGCAGTGAGGCAAAATCGTGCCATTGCACTGCAGCCTGGGTGACAAGATCAAGACTCCGTCTTAAAAAAAAAAAAAAAAAAAAAAAAAAGAACAGTTATAAATCAATGAGTAAAAGGTCAATCCAATTGAAAAATGAGCAAAGGATATGAACATAAAAGGAAATGCCTCTTAATATGAAAAGATGGCCGGGCGTGGTGGTTCACGCCTGTAATCCCAACACTTTGAGAGGCCAAGGCGGGCAAATCACCTGAGGTCAGGAGTTCGAGACCAGCCTGGCCAACATGGAGAAACCCCATCTCTACCAAAAATACAAAATTAGCCGGGCGTGGTGTTGAGCGCCTGTAATTCCAGCTACTCGGGAGGCTGAGGCAGGAGAATCGCTTGAACCTGGGAGAGACGGAGGTTGCAGTGAGCCGAGATCACGCCATTGCGCTCCAGGCTGGGTAACAAGGGCAAGACTCTGTCTCAAAAAAAAAAAAAAGAAAAATATGAAAAGATGCTTAACCTCATTCATAAGAGAAATGTAAATTAAAACTACAATGAGATACTGCTTTGTTTTTGTTTTTGTTTGAGACAGGGTTTTACTCTGTCACCCGGGCTGAGTGCAATGGCATGATCAGAGCTCACTGCAGACTGGACCTCTCAGGCTCAAGCGATCCTGCTGCCTCAGCCACCTGAGTAGCTGGGACTACAGGCATGCACCACCACACTTCACTATTCTTGATTTTTTGTAGAGACAGGGTCTTACTATGTTGCCCAGACTGGTCTCAAACCCCTGGGCTCAAACGATCCTCCCATCTTGGCCTCTCAAAGGCCTGGGATTACAGGTGTGAGCTGTGGCACCCAGCTGAGATACTGTTGTTTTACTTACTAAATTGAATACTTAAAAGTTTGATAACATTGTGTTGGCAAGGGTGTGAAGAAACGGGCAGTCCATACTGTTGGTAGGATTGTAAACTGGCGCAGCCTCCAATGAAGGTCATATTGGTAATACCTATAAAAATTAAAAAAAAAAAATTTGATCCAGCAAAAGTGAAATATATAACAAAAATTTCCAGGACTATTGGTTTCCCAACCTAGTGTTTCAACCTACTGATAGGCATAGGAAGTTGTAAAATTCAATTTTAAAATCTCTCCTTTAATTTTAAGTTAATTCCTCTTACTTTTTTTTTTTAACTTTCGCATCTTGTCTCCCACACAGGGCAGTACAGTCTGGCAGAGAGAGACTGGGCTTTGGAGGCGTAAGATGGGAATTCAGGGAGTCTTAGAAACAGAGCTGGAAGCGCTCTTAGAGGCCATGATCCCCCTTCTCTAAGGTCCCCATCTCCTCAGACACATTATGTAGCAGAGACTGAGGCCAAGGCCTGGGAGGCACCTTGTCCAAGGTCATATCAGGTCTCCTGGCTCCCCGCCCGTTGCTCTTTCCCCGCTATAAACCCTCGCTGAGCTGTGTGTCAGGCCCAGTGCCAAGCAATCTTCACCTATGGCCTCATTTCATCTTCACAACAACTTTATCAGATAATCTTTGCCGCAAACAATTTAAGACAACAGATTGTTTATCTGGAAAAGGGAGTTATGAAGTGTAGTGCCAGCTCACAGAACCTCCTGGCAGCCCAACTGCCAAGCCTGGAGCCTCCTCGGCCAGAAACAATGTTCCTGTGCCCCACTGGGCTGCTCAGCACCCCCATCCCAGGGAGAAGGGGAGAAAGTCCCCGACCAACGCTCCAGCAGGGCCCAAATCCCACGGCCATGCTGCTCTCAGGACCAGGTGCGGGGGACAGACTCACTGAGAGAGGGAATCAATCAGTCCATCACCCAGCTCAGGCTCGCCATCGGGGCAGGGATAGCCTGGTTCTTGGGGCCGGTGGATTTCCAGGAGTGCCGGCGAGCCCTGCCATCAGTCAGTCCCCAGGAGGTTGCAGGGAAGAGGCACACAGCATGTCTTTGAGGAACTTGATTGAGAACTCTTGGGAAGATGCACTTAGGGTCAGTCCCTCCCAGACAGACATTTCCATAGGCCTCCTGGAGGGCACAGACGTAGGCTCTGGATCACTCAGGGTTAGCCCCAAGCCAGGTGAACCATCTACTCTCAATATACCCAAAAAGGAGGCTCTGATGGGCTGCCTTCCTCCCATCCGATGTGGAGTGTCCTCACCACATACAGTTTCGGGCAGCCCCCTCCTGGCTACCTTTCATAGTGGCCTTTGCTAGGACATCAACACTATTCTAATTTTTTGTGACCAGGTTAGCAAGCTGGTTTCATTGGCAAACACAGGCCAGGCAACAGGGACTTTTTGTGGAAAGATCTCAGGCCTGGAGTCAGGACCCTAGAGCCTCCTGGATCTGTCCAGTACAGGGCCAGTTTGGATCAGCCTCTCTGTGCCCCCACCCAGCTCACACCATCTCCCAGCCTGCTCTCTGATCTCTCCACCTGACCTTAGCTCCACAGGTGGGGCTCATGTAGCTCTGGAGGTGTGGGGAGGCTCCCAAGCGGCTTCCTCAGTCACAAATACCTTCAGACGACACATTACTTCCCAAGCCCCAGGACTCCCAGACTCCCAGGTCCTCGTGGCCCCCTCCCAAGTCACCCTGCCTTCCCAGACTGTTAAAGTCCTTAAACCATCCCCCAATTTCCTCCAATAATTACCTAAACATCCTTGAGGGCTTTTATACCCCACCCACAGCCCTGGAGCCTGGATTGGACACCCTGAGCCCCCAGCTCCCCAGCCATCATGGCTGGGCCCTCCATGCCTCCCACCAGCAGGCCTGGGGCCATGGGATGGGGCGGGCCTGGCTGCAAATCGCCTCCTCCCTTTGGCCCTGCCCCCAGAGGGTGGGATAAAGGAGCACTAGGGCGGCCCCACCAGATTCTTACTAAGGGCTGCAGCTGGGATGGACCCTGCAGGGCCAGACGGCAGTGGCCATGGTGGGGAGCTCAGCCGCCACTCCCAGAGGTCATGCAGGTAGGGGGCTGGACCTCAGGGAAACACAGGGGAGGTGGGAAAAAATTCTTTGGAGTTTGGCCTGGCCTCTGGAAGCCCAGCCTCTAAGAATTTGGGATGCATCTGATAAGAAGCGGCTTCCTTTCCTCCTGCCCAAAGTTGGAAGGGTCTAGAGGTCATGTCTCACCCTCATATAGTCTACAGGAGGAGACTGAGACCAGAGAGGGGGAAAGACAGACTGAGGCTGCCCAGCTGATTCAGGCCTGGCTCAGGGTCTGACCATCTAGAGCAGGGATTCCCCACTTTCTTTTCTTTTTCTACCCAACAAAGGTTTCTCTTGCCCAGAAACACCACACAGCTCCATGCGGCTGGGATCTGGTCTTCTGGTCACCTTTGTAGCCCCAGCACTTAGCATGGTTCCAGGTACACATAAATGTTTGGACGAAACATGCCAGGTTGAACATTGCACCATTAGAGAGTTATGCCTTTGGGGATACCAGCTTTGTAAAAGGGCATGCTAGCTCATTGGGCCTTCCATCATTCTTACCTGAGCACAAATTCATTTTGCAAACAGCTGTAAGAGATCAGTTCTCCAAAGAAAACTGACTTTGGGTAAAGGAGGGGTACTTGTGGAGCTTGGGGTCTCAGTGTGTCCTGGTTTTCCCAGGCTAGAAAGAAAGGCAGCCATGTAGTAGATGGGGAGGTTGGCGGGTAGGGGAGGATGTTTACTAAAGGATTGTTTTTTTTTTTTTTTGAGACGGAGCCTTGCCCTGTTACTCAAGCAGTGGTGCGATCTCGGCTCACTGCAGCTTTCGCCTCCCGGGTTCAAGTGATTCTTCAGCCTCAGCCTCCTGAGTGGCTGGGACTACAGGTGTGTGCCACTACACTGGCTAATTTTTGTATTTTTAGTGGAGACGGGGTTTCACCATGTTGGCCAGACTGGTCTCGAACTCCTGACCTCAGGTGATCTGCCCGACTCGGCCTCCCAAACAGCTGGGATTACAGGTGTGAGCCACCATGCCCAGCCCCTAAAGGAGATTTTCAATTGTTCCTTCCTGAGCCAGGACAGGAGGGTGGCACCTAAATTTGGGCTCTCAGGTTGTAAAAATCCTGGTAGAGGGCTTATTTGGCAGCTCCACCTGGCCCCTCCTGCTGCCAATCATCCCCTTCTCAATTCTCCCTTTTCCCACAGTCTCCCTTCACCCATGGAGTCCAGTCCTCTCTCCTCGGGCTCACTGTTCAGGGCCCCACGGCTCCACCCCTTCTTTGGCTTCCCAGCCTCTGAGCCCCTTTGGCTGCCTCCCCAGGACTGCATGACCTGTCACCTCTGGCTGCTCTATCCCTACCCCTTGGCCTGAGAACTTGGCCTGAGAAATTCCCCAAATCCAGCAGCCCTCACCCCTGACAAGTCAATCTTGGTTAACAAGAGAATTATTGGCTGAGTGAGGACACCTGGGTTATATAAGCTTAGCTCTTGTTTGGAGTCTCAGGCCAGTTACTTTCCTGTCTAAGGGGGTTTGAAAACTGGAAGAATGATTCCTGACTTTTAAGGCTTGTGTTGAGGATCAAATGAACTAATTTGACATTCCCCCAAACAAAATGTGTTTTATTGGTATGCTAAGAGGTGTCTGGCTGTGGAGGGCCTAATCGAGTAACAGAAAGGACAAGTTTAAGCAATCCTGGGTTAAATCAAATCAATTCCTTTGCAGGACATATCAGAGCCTTTAATATGTTTACCTACAATAAACACTATATAATATGCCCCTAAGAAAATACAGAAGGAGGCCAGGCATGTGACTCACTCCTGTAATCTCAGCACTCTGGGAGGCTGAGGCAGGAGGATCACTTGAGCTCAGGAGTTCAAGACCAGCCTGGGCAACATAGTGAGACCCTAGGCCTGCAAAACATATAAAAAAAAATTAGGTATGGTAGTGTAGGCCTGTAGTCCCAGCTACTTGGGAGGCTGAGGCGGGAGGATTGCTTGAGTCCAAGAGGTCGAGGCTGCAGTAAGCCAAGATTGCACCCTCTCTCAAAAACAAAACAAAAAAAAGAACAGTACCTGAATTATAGAAGGTGCTTGCCTTTGGCCTTGGATCTCTCAAGCCACCTGCTTGGCCCTTTTCCAAGTGTACTTTACTTCCTAAAAAAAACATATATATTGAGAGAGAAGGAAGAGTTTTTCTTTTCTTTTTTCCTTTTTTTTTTTTTTTTTTTTGAGATGGAGTTTTGCTCTTATTGCCTAGGCTGGAGTGCAATGGCGCGATCTCGGCTCACCGCAACTTCTGCCTCCTGGGTTCAAGCGATTCTCCTGCCTCAGCCTCCCGAGTAGCTGGGATTACAGGCATATGCTACCATGCCCAGCTAATGTTGTATTTTTAGTAAAGACAGGGTTTCACTATGTTGGCCAGGCTGGTCTCGAACTCCTGACCTCAGGCAATCCACCCACCTCAGCCTCCAAAGTGCTGGGATCACAGGCATGAGCCACCGTGCCGGGTCTGAAGAGTTTTTCAGATTGATTTAATCATAAGACCCCTACCCTCTGTTTCTGTGGCCCATCTAATGGGCAGAGAGTCCCTCTGGATGTGCTGGGAGAGCTCTGTCACTGGACTTTTTGGGCTAATGAAGGAGCTAGGGTGATGGCCTCTGACAGTCCTCGAGGTCAGCCTCATTAGTGGCCCTTAGGAAAAGGCAAAGCGTTTCCAGCACATCCCCTATTGGTGGACAGGGGACATGAGGCCTGCAAGTCCCTTGCTCTGAGGGTTACTGGCTCCACCCCTGTGAGATTAGAGGCTCCTCCTCTCAGGGCTCACCCCTTCCACGGTGACTGTTTCACCTCCACTCACCCCTGAACCCCCACCCCTCAAGCCCTCCCTAACTTTGGCTGCTGCCCACTAATCTAATCCCTACTTCAACCCAGCCTCTTACTGTCTGCTTCCCTCAACTCACCAGCCTAGGCATATTCCAACATTTTTACTTGTAAACCACCTAAAAGAAATTTGGAAAGTTATGTCTCCCCTTGATACTCTAAGTTATCTGATGGTTTTCATCATAAACATAAATTATTGCAAAAGTTACAATTTCTTTCTTTTTTTTTTTTTTTGAGGCAGAGTTTCGCTCTGTCACCCAGACTGGAGTGAAGTGGCACAATCTCAGCTCACTGCAACCTCTGCCTCCTGGGTTCAAGCAATTCTCCTACCTCAGCCTCCTGAGTAGCTGGGATTACAGGCGCGAGCCACCATGCCCGGCTAATTTTTGTATTTTTAGTAGAGACGGGGTTTCACCATGTTGACCAGGCTGGTCTCGAACTCCTGACCTCATAATCCACCCGCCTCGGCCTCCCGAAGTGCTGGGATTACAGGTGTGAGCCACTGCACCTGGCCCACTAGTGATGATTATTACTAGCACCTCCTCAAAGGCCTTTCCTGACCTCCCACCCCACCATCCACTTCATCACTGTTGACTGTTTCTGTCAGAGTCCTGCTATGATCTGCATTAGTCTTGGTTATTTACGCCTGTGTTGTAGGGCCTGGACTGGGGAAGGGAAATGAGATGAGTTGCACAGGGTTGGCTCTTGTCTTTATTCAAGAGTTTGATTTTTTTTTTTTTTTTTTTTGAGACAGGGTCTTGTTCTGTCACCCTGGCTGGAGTACAGTGGTGCCATCTTAGCCCACTGCAGCCTTAACCTTTTGAGCTCAAGTGATCCTCCCGCCTCAGCTTCCTAGTAGCTAGGACCACAAGTGCACACCACCACGCCTGGCTAATATTTTGTATTTTTAGTATAGACAGAGTCTCACCATGTTGGCCAGGCTAGTCTTGAACTCCTGAGCTTAAGCGATCCCAAAGTGCTGGGATTACAGGTGTGAGCCACTGTGCCTGGCCTGAAGTTTGATATTTCGTTAGTGGATATTTTTGCATTAGTTTTGATCGTTTTTTTTTTTTGAGATGGAGTTTTGCTCTTGTTGCCCAGGCTGGAGTGCAATGGCGCGATCTCGGCTCACCACACCCTCCGCCTCCCAGGTTCAAGCAATTCTCCCGCCTCAGCCTCCCGAGTAGCTGGGATTACAGGCATGCACCATCACACCTGGCTGATTTTTTTTTGTATTTTTAGTAGAGACGGGCTTCTCCATGTTGGTCAGGCTGGTCTCAAACTCCCAATCTCAGGTGATCCGCCCACCTCGGCCTCCCAAAGTGCTGGGATTACAGGTGTGAGCCACCACTCCCAGCCTAGTTTTGATCTTTTAAAAAAAAAAAATTATTTTTTCCTTTTGAGATAGAATTTCGCTCTTGTTGCCTAGGCTGGAGTGCAATGGCATAATCTCGGCTTGCCGCAACCTGGAGTGAGAGAAATAAAATATTATTTCTCTTGGTTACTTAGTTCTTTTGGCAGCCCCAGGAATTTCATGTCCAAGACGAGTACCTCACTCACTTGCCCTAGTCCTGGCCCTGGTTTCTGGGTTCTCAGCTGGAGTCATAGAGTTATCATGCAGGGGCTCCACGCACTGTTATAAATGAAGGACCATGTGACTGACAATCTGGCATCTTCACTAGCAAGAGCAGGCCCTGTCAGCCGCCTCTCCTTTTCTGTGTCTGCTTCTCTGCTATAGCACCTTGTCCTTGGACACTCCGGGGAAGAGGTGTGACCCACACTCTGGCAGACCCTCAGCTTGGGCTGGGCCAGCCTGCTCTCATGGAACTAGAATGCAGCCTCTGTCCCTGTCCCTGCCCTGGTCTCCTCATGTGTGGGCTCCTTCCCCCTCAGGGCAAGGTAAGGCATGACAACAGCTGAGTTCCTTTCTACCTTGTACCTGTCCCAGACCCCTGGCCTAGGCCTGGACACTGAGGAGACTCTCACTAAATGCTTGCCCACCTCATCCTCCCCTCACCCTTCTCTACCTCCCACCTTGATTCCTCAGAGGAGGAGGGAAAGGGGGCGGGAGAGGGGAAGTGATAAGAGAAGTGATGGCAACAGCTGTCATTTACCCAGGGCTTGCTATGGGCCAGGGACTTTACAGACAGGGTCTTAAGTTTGACATCACCCCAGGAAGTAGGTCCTACTATTATCCCCATTTTACGAATGAGAAAACTGAGGCATGGAAAAGTTAGGTGACTTGTCCAAGCTTACGTAACCAAAAAGTAGTGTTACTAGGCAGAACTGGCTATATAATTTGTGGGACCCATTGCAAAATGAAAATGTGGGGCTCAAAAACTATTAATAATTTCAAGACCGGGACAGCAGAGTATTAATGCAAGTGTAGGGCCCCTGTGTGATTGTATAGGTCCCCACTGGTGAAGCCAGTCCTGGTGGTAGAATGTGAACCTAGAATTCTGACTCCAGAATCCACAACTCTACTTTTGGGGAGAGTAATAGTGATCACTGTGATCACCAAGCACCTGCTATATGCATTGTGCAAAATCTTTTTTTTTTTTTTTTTTGAGATGGAGTTTTGCTCTTGTCGCCCAGGCTGGAGTGCAATGGCACAGTCTCAGTTCACCGCAATCTCTGCCTCCTGGGTTCAAGCTATTCTCCTGCCTCAGCCTCCCAAGTAGCTGGGATTACAGGCATGTGCCACCACACCCGGCTAATTTTGTATTTTTAGTAGAGATGGGCTTTCTCCATGTGGTCAGGCTGGTCTCGAACTCCCGACCTCAGGTGATCTGCCCGCCTCAGCCTCCCAAAGTGCTGGGATTACAGGTGTAAGCCACCAGGCCAGGCTGATTGTGAAAAATCTTAAAAACCTTTACAACAACTCAGCAAGGGCTAGGCATTGTTACCACCCACCCCCCCTTTTTTTATTTTGAGATGGAGTTTCACCCTTGTTGACTGGGCTAGAGTGCAGTGGTGTGATCTCGGCTCACTGCAACCTCCACCTCCCAGGTTCAAGCAATTCTCCTGCCTCAGCCTCCTGAGTAGCCCAAGGTGCCTGCCATCATGCCTGGCTGATTTTTGTATTTTTAGTAGAGACAGTGTTTCAATATGTTGGCCAGGCTGGTCTTGAACTCCTGACCTCAGGTGATCTGCCTGCCTGTGCCTGCCATAGTGCTGGGATTATGGGCATGAGCCACCGCATCCAGCCTGTTACCCCACTCTTAAGAGTGAGGAAACCAAGCTTTAGAGAAGGTGAGTTACTCACCTAGTGTTCCCAGTGGGGTCAGGATTTGAACACCAGATGAATTCCAGAGCCTGTGTTGTTCTCACCGTATCAGACAGCCTCTGTCTGTAAGGATCACAAAGGCAGGAACTAAAACAGGGCTGGGCATGACTTAGACAATCTCTTAGGAACTTTGTTTTCCGGGCCCATCGCTGGGGGTCAAGGCATCGCTTTGCTCATGATGGAAAGGTGTCCCAGGTCTGCAAGTACTTCCAGCAAGGCTTCTGCTTCCCTGGACATCGTGGAGATCAATGCAGGTAAGTCCCTCTTCTTCCCCTCTGGGGAGTGGTGTTAGGGTGGGACACTAGAGAGATCGTCCCTTCACAAATCATGTATCTTCCCAGAGCTGCTTCTCCCAACTCAGCTCCAAGTTCTAGGCTGAGCTGGCTCTGAGCCCCGGAGGGCTGTCCCTGTCTCCTCACTCTCTTCTTCCCCACTACAGCTGTCAGCACCCAAAGACCCCCAGCCCCCTGGAGTGGGGTCGCCGCCATTCGGAGCCACATGTCACTCTGCCAGGGCCCCACCTAGGACTGGCCCGCAGGGGATCCGAGCCCACCTACCTGCCCTCTGTGGCTGTGGGCTGGGGCTGGGCCAGGGCCTGCTGGGGCATGGAGCCTGCCCTGGAGGGGCTGGCTAGCAAGGCTGAGGAGGTTGGCGGCAGCTCCTGGAAGTCCCTGCCTTCATCATGTGAGTCATCAGGGGCACCGCAGGTGGGCATAAGTGGGCACTGACACTAGAGCTCGTGCTCTGCCTCTGAGCAGGGTTTATGTTTTCATCCATTCCCCTTCCTCTTCAAGATTCCCAGCTGGAGGGAAATTTTCCTCTAGTTCTGTTGCTTTGTGTGTTCTAAAAGCAGAATACCATGGTACCAACAGAGTAAAACCCCCTAGTTCCAAATGCCCTATCCCTATACCCAGTAGCTGTGTGATCTTGGACAAGTCACTTAACCTCTCTGGGCCTTGGTTCCCTCATCTACAAAACGGCATTGATAATAATACTTAACTCACAGGCTTATTTTGAGGGTTGATATGCTTAGCACAGTACCTGGTACAGAGTATGCACTAAATGTTAGTGGCTATTTTTTATTTTATTTATTTATTTATTTGAGACAGGGTCTCCCTCTGTCACCCAGGCTAGAGTACAGTGACGCTATCTCAGCTCACTGCAACCTCCGCCTCCAGGGTTCAAGCGATTCTCCTGCCTCAGCCTCCCGAGTAGCTGAGATTACAGGCATGCACCACCATGCCCAGCTAATTTTTGTATTTTTAATAGAGACGAGGTTTCACTGTGTTGGTCAGGCTCATCTCGAACTCCTGACCTCGTGATCCGCCTGACTTGGCCTCCCAAAGTGCTGGGATTACAGGCGTGAGCCACCGTGCCCGGCCTGGCTATTTTTTAAATTATTGCTCTAAATCAATGTTATTCAGAATATAAAGAAATTTAAGTCACATATGTAATTTTTTATAACAGCTTTATTGAAATATTCACAAACCAAAAAATTCATCAATTTATACAATTCAATGCGTTAATTCACAAAGTTATGCAAACATCACTGCTACCCAATTTTAGAACATTTTTATCATCCCATTAGCAGTCAGTTTCATCCTCCCCGCTCCCAGCCTCTAGTATCCACTAATCCACATTCTGTCTCTGTGGTTTGGCTGTTCTGGACTTTTCATATGAACGGAATCTTACAATATGTGGCCTTTTGTGTCTGGCTGCTTTCATTGAGTGTGAAGTTTTCTAGGTTCGTCCATGTTGTAGCACGTATCAGTACTTCATCTTTTTTTTTTTTTTTTTTTTTTGAGACTGAGTCTCACTCTGTCGCCCAGACTGGAGTGCAGTGGCACAATCTCGGCTCACTGCAAGCTCCGCCTTCTGGGTTCATGCCATTCTCCTGCCTCAGCCTCCCGAGTAGCTGGGACCACAGGCGCCCACCACCACACCTGGCTCATTTTTTTTGTATTTTTTTAGTAGAAACGGGGTTTCACCATGTTAGCCAGGATGGTCTTGATCTCCTGACCTCGTGATCCGCCCGCGTCGGCCTCCCAAAGTACTGGGATTACAGGCATGACCCACTGCGCCTGGCCTATTTTTTATTTTTGATAGAGACAGAGTTTGCCATGTTGTCCAGGCTGGTCTCCAGCTCCTGAGCTCAAGTGATCTACCCACCTTAGCCTCCCAAAGTTTTGGGATTACAGGCGTGAGCTACCGCGCCTGGCCCTATTTTCTACTTATAGCAGGTGTCAACTCAGACTTGCCCCATTTCAGTTGCTCAAGAGCCGCATATGGCTCTTGGTTACTGTATTGAACAGCACTCTTCTAAATGGCTATAGGAGAGGCTTCTTTTTTTTTTGAGTCAGAGTCTCGTTCTGTCTCCCAGGCTGGAGTGCAGTGGCACGATCTTGGCTCACTGCAACCTCCGCCTCCTGGTTCAAGCGATTCTTCTGCCTCAGCCTCCTGAGTAGCTGGGACTATAGGCACATGCCATCACGACTGGCTAATTTTTGAATTTTTAGTAGAGACAGGGTTTCACCATATTGGCCAGGCTGGTCTCGAACTCCTGGCCTCGTGATCTGCCTGCCTTGGCCTCCCAAAGTGCTGGGATTACAGTCTGTTTTTTTTGTTTTTGAAATGAAGTCTCCCTCTGTTGCCCAGGCTAGAGTGCAATGGCATGATCTCAGCTCACTGCAACCTCCGCCTCCTGGGTTCAGGCGATTCTCCTGCCTCAGCCTCCTGAGTAGCTGAGATTACAGGCACTCGCCACCACACCTGGCTAATTTCTGTATTTTTACTAGAGATGGTTTCGCCATGTTGGCCAGGCTGGTCTTGAACTCCTGACCTCAGGTGATCCACCCACCTCGGCCTCCCAAAGTGCTGAGATTACAGGTATGAGCCACCGAGCCTGGCCTATATGAGAGGCTTCTAATTCTGACTGGTCTCTAATCCACTTGGGGGCAGGACGTGGGTTACCACAGAGTCTTGCATGCAGGAAATGCTCAGTGGTTGCCTCAGGGGTGAGTGAATGGATGCAGTTTTCCCAACAGCTGCTGACAGGGATCACGGCCACTCCCAGGAGTCTCTGCCAAAGTTCCACCTTGTCCGAGAGCTCATGGCGCCACTTCAGAGCCTGGACCTTGAGGTGCAGCAGGTTGTGGGTGAGGGGTGGCAAAAGATGGCTTTCTGGCCCTCTGGGACACCCAGATCTGCTGGGGGAGGGCTTGGTGGCCACTGAGGCTGAATGTGGGCATGCGGGTGGAGTGTCTGACCCTACCTGTGGCTGCCTGGGAAGCAGGACAGTCGGGATGTGGTGTGTGGCATCTGCATGGACAAAGTGTGGGACAAGCCAGAGGCCCAGCGGGTCTTCGGCATCCTGCCCAACTGCACCCATGCCCACTGTCTGGGCTGCCTGCGCACCTGGCGGAAGAACCGGCAGGACTTCCCGCTGGATGTCATCAAGTCAGTGTCATGGGGGTCCCAACAGGGATGGAGGGAAACACCCCAGTGAGGAGGCTGGCCTGGGGGCCTGTGACTATTCTCCCACATTCTACTCCACTGCTCAGGGCGTGTCCACAGTGCCGTGTCCATTCCAGCTACATCATCCCCCACAAGTTCTGGGTGAGCAAGGGGGCCCAGAAGGAGCAACTCATCAGGAACTTCAAGGCTCGGACCAGGTGAGGCTGCAGAGGGAACGAGACTCAGGGTTAGGGAAGTGGAGAAGGTAGCCCCTGATTCATTCTGGTTCAGCCATGGTTCCCAGCCAGTGAATCCCCAAAGCCCTGAAGTTTAGAGTGACCAAAATGGCAGGTGAAGGCATGAACTATTTTCATGATTTCAGAAAGCCCAGTTAATAAGGCCAGGCATGGTAGCTCACACCTGTAATCCCAGCACTTTGGGAGGCCAAGGCGGGCAGATCACCTGAGGTCAGGAGTTCAAGACCACCTGACCAACATGGTGAAACCCCGTCTCTACTAAAAATACAAAAATTAGCCAGACGTGATTGCAGGCGCCTGTAATCCCAGCTACTCGGGAGGCTGAGACAGGAGAATCGCTTGAACCCTGGAGGTGGAGGTTGCAGTGAGCTGAGATTGTGCCACTGCACTCCAGCCTGGGCAACAAGAGTGAAACTCTGTCTCAAAAAAAAGGAAAGAAAGCCCACTTAATAAACGGAGAGTGGCTGAGATAGCAGAAGGAACACCAGGGCCAATTTTCTCTTCTAACTTGGCTCAGAATCAACTTAGAGCAACTCTGGTTCTCTCTGCACCATGAGAAGCCTTGCTTTGGCTTTTATTTCCAATTTGTCATAAGGCAGGAAAGTAAACTGATATGAATACATGTTATTTGCTTAGCTGCTCTTTGAAAACATGGGGTGGCTGAGAAGGGGGCTGAAAGGCAGCCTTATTGGATAGGTCTGAATCTCTTGGGGAGGGTAAGCACTTATTCAAAATCTGGAATTAGCTGCAATTCCAAGTTCCTAACTCCACCTTCCCAAAGGGTTTACTACACTTGATCTATGCAAAGTGTATTTGGGTAAAGGGAGGGATAAAGAAGGAGGCCTCGTCTTCACCCAGGAGATAGTCAGGCGTGTTCTGGAGACACCTGTGAACGCTAATAGCTGCATCAACAAAATTACTGAAGGAAACACTAACTCGAGTGACTCTTACAGAAGGGGAAGTATTTAAGCTGTGCATGGGAAGAACAGGGTTCCTCAGGAGGAGAAAAAAGAGGGTGTCCCAGGCAAAGAGAGATGGAAGTGAGGAAATACAGTTGACCCTTGAACAACTTAGGGGTTAGGGGCACCGAACCCCATGCAATCGAAAATCCATATAGAATGTTGTTGTTGCTGTTGTTGTTGTTGAGACAGAGCCTCGCTCTGTTGCCCAGGCTGGAGTGCAGTGGTGCAATCTCGGCTCACTGCAGCCTCAGCCTCCTGGCTCAAGCAATCCTCCCCAGTAGCTGGTACTATAGGCGCGCACCACCATGCCTGGCTAATTTTTGTATTTTTTGTAGAGACAGGGTTTTGCCATGTTTCCCAGGCTGGTCTTGAACTGCTGAGGTCAAACGATCCACCCGCCTCAGCCTCCCAAAGTGCTGGGATGACAGGCGTGAGCCACCACACCTGGCCATGTATAACTTTTGACTCCCCCAAAACTTAACTAATAACATGCCGCTGACCAGAACCCTTTCGGACAACATAAAGTCAATTAATACAGATTTTATATGTTATATGTATTATATAACATAATATGTATTCTTACAATAAAGTGAGCTAGAGAAAAGAAACGTTAAAATCATAAAGGAGAAAATATATTTACTATTCATTAGGTGAAAGCAGATTACCATAAACGACTTGATCCTCATTGTCTTCACATTGAGTAGAAGGACGAAGAGGAGGGAATTGGTTTTGCTGTCTCCAGGATCTTGTCTGCGTATAAGCTGCCCCAGGCAATTCAAGCCTGTGTTGTTCAACAGCAACTGTACTGGCAGCTGGGCCACCAGTTGGAAGTTTCCCAAGGGGAGCGCTCAGGACTGGATGTGATAGGAGATGGTGTAGATGGAGGTTTATTGTGTGACAGGCTTTGTATCTCGTAAACTGCATGAGGCAGGGACTCTTACTATCCTCATACTGTAGAAGAAGAAACTGAGGGGCTGGGCACGGTGGCTCACACCTGTAATCCCAGCACTTTGGGAGGCTGACGGGGAGGAACTCTTGAGCCCAGGAGTTGAGACCAGCCTGGGCAACATGGTGAAGCCCCATCTCTACAAAAAATATAAAAATTAGCCAGGCATGATGGCACACGCGTGCAGTCCCAGCTACTCAAGAGGCTGAGGCAGGAGGATCACCTGAGCCCCAGGAGGTCAAGGCTGCAGTGAGCGTAATCATGCCATTGCACTCCAACCTGGGTGACAGAGCAAGAACCCTGTCTCAAAAAAAAAAAAAAAAAAAAACAAAAAGGCCGGGCACGGTGGCTCACACCTGTAATCCCAGCACTTTGGGAGGGCAAGGTGGGTGGATTATCTGAGGTCAGGAGTTTGAGACCAGCCTGAGCAACATGGTGAAAACCCGTCTCTACTAAAAATACAAAAAAATTAGATGGGCGTGGTGGTGGGTGCCTGTAATCCTAGCTACTTGGGAGGCTGAGGCAGGAGAATCGCCTGAACTTGGGAGATGGAGGTTTCAGTGAGCCCAGATCATGATACTGCACTCCAACCTGGGCAACAAATGTGAAACTCCATCTCAAAAACAAAAAAAAGTCTGGTATAGTGGTTCACACCTGTAATCCCAGCACTTTGGGAGGCTGAGGTGGTTGGATAACCTGAGGTCAGGAGTTCAAGACCAGCCTGGCCAATTTTGTGAAACCCCACCTCTACTAAAAATATGAAAATTAGCTGCACGTGGTGGCATGCACCTGTAGTCCCAGCTACTCGGGAGGCTGAGACAGGAGAATTGCTTGAACCCCAGAGGTGGGTGTTGCAATGAGCCGAGATTGCACCACTGCACTCCAGCCTGGGTGACAGAGCAAGACTCCATCTCAAACAAACAAACAAACAAAAAACCCAAAAAACAAACAAAATAAACCAGAAAAATGAAAGGAGGTTCCCAGGGCCGCTGCTGTTGCTGGCTCAGAGACTGAGAAGTACAGAAAGGGGCCCCTTAAGATACTTTACTGCCATCTGCTGGAAGATAGAATAAATGTAAAAGCTACACTATGATGCTAGTGGTGTCCGCTTAGATGCGGGGCTTTGGTGCTGTGTACAACCTGCCCAACCTTATGTGTCAGCCTTGAGTGCCCCTTGTTCTTGGGGTAACAGGTTTTGAAGGTGATGGTCGTCGTCTTCTCTCTCATAGCCAGATCCGATGCCGGTTCTTCGTGCGAGGGAATGGCCGCTGCCCCTTCAAATCTGAGTGTATCTACCTGCACCAGCTCCCAGCTAAGGCTGGGACCTCCGGTCCTCCCTGGCCTGAGAGAGTGCAACTGGCCTCTGGGAGTGAGGTGGTAACCGCAGGGGTATGGGGCAGGGGAGGCTGCTGGTCATGGCTTATAATAAATGTTTGTGATAAATATGAAACCTATGGATGGTATCTATGATGCTAATATGGTGCCTACTTAGATGTGGCACCTTTGTGCTATGTACAATCTGCCCAACCTTATATGTGAGTCTTGAGTTCCTCCATTCCTGAGGCAACCAGTGTTGAAGTTGATGGGTTTTCACTGATTTTTCTCTCTACTCCCAGGTGCTGGGCCCAGCATTGTTCCTAAGGGGTGCTGAGCCAGAGGACAATGTGCTCTTCACAGACGGTGCCCTGGCCATGACCTTCTGGGGTTCAGAACTCCTGCAGGACCCCAACAGTTCTTACCATGGCCTTCTGTAATCAGGATCAACTTGAGGAAAATTGGGGTGAGGGGAAGGAGTTTCTAGGTGGTAGGTCTTTCCCTTTTAGGGTTTGGTGGGGGGGCAAAAGTAGCAAGCCCTCCACCCCCATGAACTGCAGCAGTGACACAGCTGGGGACATGGAGGAATGGGGGAGGGCTCCTGGAATGAGGAAGGTTCAAACCCTCTTGCCAGGGCCTTGGTTTTTAACTTTGCTCTTTTGTAGAATGACTCTGAAAGAAAACCAATAAAATGCACCTAAGTTATCATTGCTGGTGTCTGAAGAGTGGTCCGCTCATAGCCCAGCCCCACTGCCAAGTGCAATAAGGCTGCTTCTGCATTCAATCTGTTGCAATATTACTTGTCACTTAGCTTCTGGAAAACTTCACAGTGCATTTTTGCATTATGAAAATAGTAATAACCTCATGAATCTTGTGAAAGGGACTCGGGGATCCACCAGGGTCCTTGAGCCATGTTTAGAACTTTTCCTCCCTGTTCCCTTTCAGGTGGCCAGAATACAGACCTTGGTGGGTGGGAGCCACAGCCACTCAGAGTAAAGCTGTAGGTGAGGATGCACAGGGCATTGCAGGCTTTTTAGCATTCTTGGCCCTGCCTGCTATTCATCAGGTCCCACTCCTCTAACAGCTTGTCATTCGAAGACCCAAAACATCCCCTGTAAAGTTAGAGCTGCTTACCTGAAACAGAAGGTGTCTGGAAGAAACTTCTTTCTTGCTATTTTGGCATTTGCAAAGCAGCCATTATCTAAGAAATATCACTAGTCTTTCCCGACATCTCCCTTGAAATCATTTTGGCTCAAATGGAGATCAGATCAAGCTCAAGATACTCCCATGGCTTTCCATACTATTCAGAGTGAAAGCCCAACTCCTTTCTGTGACCTCAGGCCTCTTAAGATCTGACCTGGTTCCCACTCTGATCTCAACTCCTATTACTATCCAGCAAGTGCCCTCCGTTCCAGCCATGCTTTTGCCCCAGAGCCCCCCCGCCCTCCACAGGGAGGACTGAAATGGTCTTCTCACAGACTTCTATCTGGCTTGCCAACCTCATCTTCACATTCATCTTGCCTGACCACCCTATTTAAAAGCACTTCGTGCTGTGTGTCGGTGTTATGTTCTTTTTGAACACATCACAAACATTGTTTAATTAGCTTTCCGTCTCTCCCCAGTTGTGTGACAATGAGGGCCAGGATCTTTGTTTTGTTCCCAGTATCCCCAGTCCCTAGGTGCTCAGTAAACATTTCCTGAATGAAGGGCTGTGTGTGGCAGCAGAGCTGGGACAGGAAATACAAGCTAGCCCCCAAAGCAAGGTTTAGGAGGCACTGTGGGGCTCTTCTCGCTTATTTCCTACGCTTTGCAGTGATCCCACCCTTGGCTGGAAGCCAAGTTCTCCAGCGGACTTCCTTAAACTGAACCCTAGGAAGTGGAGCCACACCTGGCCCCCTATAAACGACCCAGAGCAAGGTTACTGCTTGGTCTTTGGGAGGAAGTTCAGAAGAAAGTCTTTGGCCGTATTAATAGTGTTAGGTTTTACTGTGACCATGTCATTCTCAGGGATGTTTGTATATCAAATACTATTTCTGGAGAGGACTGAAACCCAAATGATAGCACTTTTGGCCTGTGGAAGAGATGAAGCTAAGTGGGGTGGTAAATTGTGGTCAAATTCTATGGTGAAGTCCATGACAAGCAACATGCCGTCAGCGTAAATACAGCGCGGGTCCTCTAGCACAACAGAACCCCTGACATCCACTCCATTCCACTACTTTGGGGAGTGATGAAGAAAGGGAGAGGGTTGGGGTCGTCAGCGGCGGATCCACCCCTCCATCAACCCCCGCCCCCGCCCCGCTCCAGGCTCCCTGGCCCGACACCGCCCACAAACTAACCACTTGTTTTGTCCACGCCCCCTCCCATGGGCACGCCCCAGGCCTTGGCCCCGCCCACCTACTCCGGCTGGACTTGTGCCCGGCCCTGCCCCTTGCGACCGGCCCTCGCGCCGGCCTCACGTTCAGGCTCCGCCCCCGGCCGCGCCTCCCTCCTTCCCTTTCCGACAGCGCGGGAACGGCTGCGGCTTCGGGCGGCCGGGTTTCTCCGGTCTCCCAACGCCGAGGAGAGCTTGTAACAGGCGCTGGAGCTGGCCCGCCACCGCCGCGTCAGGGACGGCGCTGGAGTCCTCCGTTCCCCTCAGCCTCTGAGCTGAGGCCCCACACCAGAGTAGGGGGCGGCGCGGCACCCGTGCCCCGGCATGGCGACACCGGACGCGGGGCTCCCTGGGGCTGAGGGCGTGGAGCCGGCGCCCTGGGCGCAGCTGGAGGCCCCCGCCCGCCTCCTGCTGCAGGCGCTGCAGGCGGGGCCTGAGGGGGCGCGGCGCGGCCTGGGGGTGCTCCGGGCGCTGGGCAGCCGCGGCTGGGAGCCCTTCGACTGGGGTCGCTTGCTCGAGGCCCTGTGCCGGGAGGAGCCGGTCGTGCAGGGGCCTGACGGCCGTCTGGAGCTGTAAGTCCTCGCCCGCGGCCCCTTAGCAGGTATGGGAGGCGGGGGGCTGTCGGGGGAACGACACACACAGAGGTGAAATAAGCCCCTTCAGCGACGGCCTGCCGCGCACCCTATGAGCAGGGGCACCCTTCACTGAGCACTTGCTGTGTGCGGGACATCGAGGATCCGGGAACTCGAGGCACACGCCTTCTGTTCGCTGTAAGGTATAGTGATGATAAGTGGAGGCAAATCACTTTTGATCGCGTACTTCCATCTCTAAAAAACTGGACTCGTACGTCCAGTGTAAGTATACTTATGTATAAAGTGTACACATGTGTTAAAATACGTACATTTTAAAGTACAAAAATAGATACTTAAAACGTGATGGTGGAATACGTATCCGCTATCCTGGTGGCTGTATGCTCTGCTTTTCAAAGCATAACGTTCACTTTAAGGCAAGATTGCTTTCTCTAAGAATGGTAACTGTGAATCCATATTTTAGTGTTCTTGATAATTTCTGGCTCTTGGATGACATTGAACTTTTTTTTTAACCTCTCTGTGGCTGACGAAGGATTCCTACTAGGAGCAGAGGTGTCGGCCCTGCCATTTTATTTGGTTGTGTTTCTGTTATTGATATTATCTCCAATTTTTTGGCAGGCATTCTTTTAAGCCACGTGCTTATTTGTGAGGACAACTTTTGCTTAAAAAAAAAAGAGTACAGTATCTACAGATGCACTTAACTAGCAAAGTTAACTAAAACACACAGAAAAATGAGTGGGTGAGGTGCCATGTTCAGCTCCTAGTGGGGCCAGCCTTCCACTCCTCTTGGATACCCCTCCCCCATAATTTATGCTGGAAACCATCCAGATGCTAAATATTTCTAATGCTTAATTTCTTATGTTTTAGATAAATAGGGGAAAATGGGAGTTCCAATATTTTCTTCCTACACTCCACTTTGAATTTCTTTCAGGAGATGGGTCAGGAGAACTTGTCTGAATCCCCAAATTGGAAGCTATAGAAATGTTTGCCCAGCTATCTGGCTTATTCTGGATAGAGTAAGGAGAGGGCAGGGCCTTAACCTGGGGCCCCTGGATAGAAGAGTATTTCAGCACAATTGATTTCCTTTATAATCCTAGATATTTTATCAAATGCATTTAACACTCATTCTGATCACAGGTCTCTGGCACTAAAACAGGTTAAAATTTCCTGGAGTAGGGTCTTCCCTATCTCTCTACCCCCAAATATCCTCCCCACCACAAATTAGCCATCTTTTAAACTTAGGTTTTTTTTGTTTGTTTTGTTTTTTTTTTTGACGGAATCTTGCTCTGTTGCCCAAGCTGGAGTGCAGTGGCGCAATCTTGGCTCACTGCAACCTCCACCTCCAGAAGAAGCAATTCTTCTGCCCCAGCCTCCTGAGTAGCTGGGACTACAGGCGCGTGCCAACACGCCCAGCTAATTTTTGTATTTTTAGCAGAGATAGAGTTTCACCATATTGGCTGGGCTGGTCTGGAACTCCTGATCCACCCACCTCGTGATCCACCTACCTTGGCCTCCCAAAGTGCTGAGATTACAGGCATGAGCCACTGCGCCCAGCCCATCTTTTAAACTTTGACTCTAGTTTTTCTCTCTCACATAGTGTCTATATTCCACAAAGAAATAGTTGTCTTTTTTTTTCTGCCTCACATCCCAAGTGCCTCTGTGTTGACAAACGGCCCTGCAAAATTATGCATAGGGAGGAGTAGAGACGTGAGGGGTGGTGGGCTAGATGCTGCCATGACTTGCCACACCACGCCTCAGGTCACGTAGGATCTGGGTTTGTGCCTCAGCAGAATTACAGATGGTTACATTGCATCATGGGCCTCTGGAGCTCTGGGGAATAGTGTTGAATCTATTTTAAGAAAAGCTGGGTGCTTGCAGGACAGAGCATTGGTTCTGCTTAAACTCCTGGGGCTCCAAAACAAAAGATCCTCATCCCCCGTCTTTCCCCTTTGGCTCTGTGCATACTGTTTGGAATCTGTAAAGTGATTCCTTCTGTTTCAAGTTTCATCTCTGGGAAGCCTTCTGTGTCCACAGCAGCTCTTGCTGATCTCAGCACACTTAGAGAGTTAATTCATTCAATAAATGCGCAACAAGTGCCTGCTCTGGGCTGGCGCTGTGCTGAGTCCTAGGACACAGAGGAAGGAAACACTACCTTCACCTTTTAGGAACTCACAATTTGGTGAAAGGAACACAAGAGCTGGACAGATGACTGACCCCGAGAGTTCCAGGGGATTGCCGAGGGCAGCCATAGGGCTGCAAGACTAAGCACTGCACAGCATCCTGGAGTATTATTTTTACCTAAAATTTGGGAAAGAACTTTTTTCTTCTTTTGTGTAAAACAAGCATGAATCTATTATAGAGTAGGTTCCAATATGAATTTTGAGCTGAAACAGATGACAGAGGCCAAAGAATAGGGCCTGTCATATGATAGATATTCAATGAACACTTGAACAGTTCTCATCTTTCATGTTGTCCCTGTCTCCATCCACTGACTTTTTTTTTTTTCCTTTTTTTGAAATAGTGTCTCACATTGTTGCCCAGGCTGGAGTGCAGTGGCATGATCTCGGCTCACTGCAACCTCTGACTCCCGGGTTCAAGCGATTCTCCTGCCTCAGCCTCCCCAGTAGCTGGAACTACAGGCGCATGCCACCATGCCCGTCTAATTTTTGTATTTTTTTTAGTAGAGACGGAGTTTCACCATGTTGGCCATGCAGGTCTTGAACTCTTAACCTTGAGTGATCTGCCCACTTCAGCCTCCCAAAATGCTATAATTACAGGTGTGAGTCACCACACCTGGCCAACATCCACTGACTCTTGCAGATACTGCGTGCCAGCCCCCATCTGTCCACCGCCATCTAGCCCCCAGCTCTGCCCAGTCTGCCTTGTGCTCCCTTCAGCCAAACACTTAACTGCTTGCTCTCCCTCTGCTACCCAGGAAACCACTGTTGCTGCGATTGCCCCGGATATGCCAGAGGAACCTGATGTCCCTGCTGATGGCCGTTCGGCCATCGCTGCCGGAAAGTGGGCTCCTCTCTGTGCTGCAGATTGCCCAGCAGGACCTAGCCCCTGACCCAGATGCCTGGCTCCGTGCCCTGGGGGAATTGCTGCGAAGGGATTTGGGGGTGGGGACCTCCATGGAGGGAGCTTCTCCACTGTCTGAAAGATGCCAGAGACAGCTCCAAAGTCTATGTAGGGGGCTGGGCCTGGGGGGCAGGAGGTTGAAATCCCCCCAGGCTCCAGACCCTGAAGAAGAGGAGAACAGGGACTCCCAGCAGCCTGGGAAACGCAGAAAGGACTCAGAGGAAGAGGCTGCCAGTCCTGAGGGGAAGAGGGTCCCCAAAAGATTACGGTGTTGGGAAGAGGAAGAAGATCATGAGAAGGAGAGACCCGAACATAAGTCACTGGAATCCCTGGCAGATGGAGGAAGTGCATCTCCTATTAAGGACCAGCCTGTCATGGCAGTTAAGACTGGCGAGGACGGTTCGAATCTGGATGATGCTAAAGGTCTGGCTGAGAGTTTGGAGTTGCCCAAAGCTATCCAGGTACTTTGGTAGGGAGACTGGGTTTAGAGTGATCTTTCAGCAGTGGTGGCTTTATCCATGGGGAAGGCTGCTTGGGACACTTTTTCCCAATGGAGTTGACTGTAGTTCCTGGAGGAAGAAGGAGGAAGGTAGGGTTGAGGGAATGTAGCCTCCACTCTACAGACTCTTTTTTTTTTTTGAGATGGAGTTTTGCTCTTGTTGCCCAGGCTGGAGTTCAATGGCATGATCTCAGCTCACCGCAACCTCTGCCTCCCGGGTTCAAGCGATTCTCCTGCCTCAGCTTCCTGAGTAGCTGGGATTATAGGCATGCGCCACCACGCCCAGCTAATTTTGTATTTTTAGTAGAGACAGGGTTTCTCCATGTTGGTCAGGCTGGTCTTGAACTCCTGACCTCAGGTGATCCGCCCACCTTGGCCTCCAAAGTGTTGGGATAACAGGTGTGAGCCACCACGCCCAGCCACTCCACAGACTCTTAAGGAGGGGTAGGGAAGGGAGTTATTGGAGGTGGGAAATGTGTCCTAATGATCTATAATGTGGGGTTAAAGGGTGCCAGGCAAGGGAGAGGCTCTGGAGCCACCCCTGCTACCCCGTCATATGTGGGTGGGAAGAATCATGACAGCATCCAGTCTGCCCCTGCCTCCTAGTCTGAGGCCTGGGTCTACCCCCATTTGGGTTGGATGCAGAAGACAATTCTAGACAGCTAGGTTTCACATGGACCTTGTCTAGTTTGGGTTCTTAGGCACTTTTCAAGATAGAGACTTCATGTTCTTGACTTTTTTTTTTTCTCCTCGAGACAGGGTCCCTCTCTTCTCCCCCAGGCTGGGGTGAAGGGGCATGAATATAACTCACTGCAGCCTCGACCTCCTGGGCTCAAGTGATCCTCCTGCCTCAGCCTCCCAAGTAGCTGGGATTACAGGCATGCACCATCACGCCTGGCTAATTTTTTATATTTATTTTTGTAGAGATGGGGTCTCAACTAGTTGTGCAGGCTATCTTGAACTCCTGGGCTCAAGTGATTCTCCATCCTCAGCCTCCCAAAGTGCTGGTGTGAGCCACCGCGCTTGGCCTCTTGACTTTCTTGAATCATCTTTGCCAGCTAGCTCCCACTGACCTGGGGCCTTTTCAGTAGGGGGAGCCAGAACCGGGCTTGGGGTCATGCTGCAGGGGGAGGGACGTAGCAGTGACTGGGCTCTCCTCCACAGGACCAGCTTCCCAGGCTGCAGCAGCTGCTGAAGACCTTGGAGGAGGTGACTGGCCCCACAGTGCTCACCATAGCCTTTCTTCCATCTTCTACCCAGACCCCAACTATGCCCAAGGAAGGCCCAATGCAGTGATATACAAGCTGGCTGGGGGAGGGGGACTGGAGTAAAGGTCTGAGGACAGTCTCTGAAGGAGCTTTTCTTGAACCAAGTGTAGACTTACCATCTAACCCCAGGTAACTTCCTCTTCTCTGGTAGTGCCTTCCAGGATCTCAGGCCACTCCTTCTGCCACCTGAAGGGGTGGCTTCAGTGACTTGTCACTGAGGGCTCTGCCAGCCCTAACATGAGATTTGTCTCCCCAGGGGTTAGAGGGATTGGAGGATGCCCCCCCAGTTGAGCTACAGCTTCTTCACGAATGTAGTCCCAGCCAGGTGAGTCCAGATGACTGCCTGGCTCTGAGGTTACATTCTCTGTCCCTTATCTTTTTCTATTTAAGTTTATGTTTTCCTACCTCATGTGGGAAATGTGGGAGGGGATTTTGTTGTTTTCTCTCTCAGCGATAGGGGTCACCCTGTGTAGTATCTTTTAGCCCTTGGTTCCTTCCCCTAGGGCAGCTCTCCCAGACTTTCTTTGCCCTGGAGTATCTTTGCCCTGCTCTGTCTGCTGTCCAGTTGCTTGAGACAGCCTAGCAGAGGCAGAGTGCATGTCCCGGTGTCCTCTCTCCCCCCGCACTCTGTAAGCAGATGGACTTGCTGTGTGCCCAGCTGCAGCTCCCTCAGCTCTCAGACCTCGGTCTCCTGCGGCTCTGCACCTGGCTGCTGGCCCTTTCACCTGATCTCAGCCTCAGCAATGCTACTGTGCTGACCAGAAGCCTCTTTCTTGGACGGGTAGGTGTATTGGGAGGTACTCAGAGTGCCAAGGACAATGGGGAAGAGCAACTGGGCCCTCAGAAGGGTGGTACTTGAGAGAGGGGATTCCCAGCCTTGTAGACATCTGGGCTGTTTGGGCAGCCTGGGGCAAGGAAAGGATGCCTGCTTAACTGGCAGGGCATGGACCCCCAGGCCATCTACCCACATGGCATCTAACTTTTTTTTTTTTTTTTGAGAGAGAGTGTCTCACTCTGTTGCCTAGGCTGGAGTGCAGCAGTGGCGTGATCTCCTGCCTCAGCCTCCTGAGTAGCTGGGATCACAGGTGCCTTCCACCATGCCTGGCTAATTTTTGTATTTTTATTTATTTATTTATTTAGAGACGGAGTCTTGCTCTGTCACTCAAGCTGGAGTGCAGTGGTGCAATCTTGGCTCACTGCGACCTCTGCCTTTGGGGTTCAAGCGATTCTCCTGCCTCAACCTCCTGAGTAGCTGGGACTACAGGCACCCACCGCCACACCTGGCTAATTTTTGTATTTTTAGTAGAGACTGGGTTTCGCCACGTTGCCCAGGCTGGTCTCGAACTCCTGGCCTCAAGTGATCCAGCTGTGTCAGCCTCCCAAAGTGCTGGGATTACAGGCATAATTAAGCCACCATGCCCAGCTGGCATCTAACTTCTCTTTGGGCACCAGAACCCTTCTAGAAGCTGATCAAGGGACTTTCAGGGATTTGGGAACTGAGCAAGAGAGGTATGTATCTTTTCCAATGGGTGGGTCCATGTGAGTTCTAAATAAAAGAACTTGGTTTTTTTTTTCCTTTGTAACATGTATCATCATCTGAAATGTGCATTTGATAAATGCTGTTGAAATGAAGAAGAAAATAATTAATTTTTTCCTCCCTGTTGGCTGTAGATCCTCTCCTTGACTTCCTCAGCCTCCCGCCTGCTTACAACTGCCCTGACCTCCTTCTGTGCCAAATATACATACCCTGTCTGCAGCGCCCTCCTTGACCCTGTGCTCCAGGCCCCAGGCACAGGTAATTCTGGAACCAGCCCCAGGCCCAGTAGCTCTGCCCTCAGTGTTCTCAGCATCCTTCACCCCAGAGTGGCCCTGGCAGGAGTTGGGTATTCAGTGATTAAAGATGCCTGCTGCTTCCCTGACAATGCCCCTGTAACAGGCTGGGCATTCTGTTACCGCCTCCCTGCTTTCTGCTGTCTTCTGCCATTTCCCCCCAGACTTCCCCTTCTGCTGTCCTCTACCCAGGTCCTGCTCAAACAGAGTTACTGTGTTGCCTTGTGAAGATGGAGTCCCTGGAGCCAGATGCACAGGTTCTAATGCTGGGGTGAGTGTGCAGGCCTCCGTGCTGTCCCCACTGCCACCTGTTCCCCCAGGCTAGAGTGACATCACATGTGTTGGGCCCTGCAGGGAAGGCTTACCTTCTCTAGGAAGCCTTATGTGTATCATCTCACTCCATCCTCTTTCTCCTTTATGAGTCCTCTTTGCCTTTTGTTCTCACGATGCACTTTCTACTCCTAGTTATTTTTTAGGGGATCCTTGTGTCTCACTACCAAATACTTTGTTGTCAGCTCCTGGGGCTCTTGAGGTTGTGACCTCCCTGGCAGTTGTATGAGCTCTGCAACAGTGGCTGCTGGGGCTGGTGCCAGCATCAAGAAGGCTCTGACTACCCATTTTTTTTTGGCGGGGGGTGGGGGGTGGGGACGGAGTCTTGCCCTGTTGCCCAGGCTGGAGTGCATTGGCACAGTCTTGGCTCACTGCAGCCTCTGCCTCCCAGGTTCACGCAATTCTCCTGTCTCGGCCTCCTGAGTAGTTGGGATTACAGGACCCACCACCAAGCCTGGTTAATTTTATGTATTTTTAGTAGAGACGGGATTTCACCATGTTGGCCAGGCTGGTCTTGAACTTCTGACCTCAGGTGATCCACCTGCCTCGGCCTCCCAAAGTGCTGGGATTACAGGTGTGAGCCACTGTGCCCCACCCCTGACTACCCCTTTGTTGGCTGGGGATCTTGGCTGTCCCCAGGGCCTTGCCCTGCTGTGGGAGTTGGAGCAGCAGATAGATACTCAGGCTTGGGTGGGAGGCCAGGCATTTTTCACTAGGGCCTCTGCTTTGCAGACAGATCTTGGAGCTGCCCTGGAAGGAGGAAACTTTCTTGGTGTTGCAGTCACTCCTAGAGCGGCAGGTGAGCAGGCTGCCCTGGGGAAGAGTGGACAAAGAAGTGCTGCAGTCCTTGGAAGCACACGGGGTTCCTGGGTTTCTGAGTCCTTCAGTGCATGGAGGGTCAAGCAGGACAGCTGCCCTACAGCAGCTGCCTGAGACAGTGGGAGAGCCCTGGGCCATGCAAAGCTGGTAGCAGAGAGCTGAGCACATGGTCACTTCAGCTCCACCTCTTACCAGCTGGGGGGGCCTTGGGGGTGGGATTTTTGATGTGTGTGTGTGAATTTAATTTTATTTTTGAATAGGTAATAGATTCATATGTTCACAAATTTTTTTTTTTTTTTAGATAGAGTCTGGCTTTGTTGCCCAGGCCGAAGTGCAGTGGCACAATCTTGGCTCACTGCAACCTCTGCCTACTGGGTTCAAGCAATTCTTGTGCCTCAGCCACCCAAATAACTGGGATTACAGGCGTGCGCCACCACGCTGGCTAATTTTTGTATTTTTAGTAGAGATAGGGTTTTGCCATGACCTGAGGCCAGAACTCCTGTGGCCTCAGCCACCCAAGTAACTGGGATTACAGGCGTGCGCCACCACACCGGCTAATTTTTGTATTTTTAGTAGAGACAGGGTTTCACCATGACTTGAGGCCAGAACTTCTGGGCTCAAGTGATCTGCCCTCCTTGACCTCCCAAAGGGCTGGGATTAAAAGCGTGAGCCACCACGCCCAGCCCATATGTTCACAATTTTAAAAGCTCAAAAGGATACAGTGAAAAATATTCCCCTTACTTCTCTTCCCTAACCATCCAGATTTCCCTCCTTAGGGCTAACCAGTATTACCAGTTTCAGGGGAATCCGCCCCCCTCCAGAGATACCATCTATATGTGGAAACATGTCTACTCTTACTTTCCCTCCTACTTTTTTGGAAATTGCAACACACCAAACTCAGTGCCCTGTAGGTTGCTTTTTTTACTTCACAGTATATTTTGGTGATTTTTTTCATATCAGTACCTGAAATTCTGCCTCATTTGTTTATATCTTAGATAACTGACCTAACTTCTTTTTTTTTTTTTTTGAGATGGAGTCTCGCTCTGTTGCCCAGGCTGGAGTGCAGTGGTGCGATCTCAGCTCACTGCAAGCTCTGCCTCCCGGGTTCACGCCATTCTCCTGCCTCAGCCTCCCGAGTAGCTGGGACTACAGGCGCCCACCACCACACCCGGCTAATCTTTTGTATTTTTAGTAGAGATGGGGTTTCACCATGTTAGCCAGGATGGTCTCTATCTCCTGACCTCGTGATCCACCGGCCTCGGCCTTCCAAAGTGCTGGGATTACAGGCGTGAGCCACCGTGCCCAGCCCTGACCTAACTTCTTTATGCCTGTGGTTTCCTCATCTACAAAAGGGGAGATATAATATTAATAGCACCTACCATATAAGACTGGAGTGAGGTTTAAATGAGATAATTGGTGTAAAGTAGTCAGAATGGTACCTGATGCACAGTGTTTATTAAATAATAATAATAATTATTATTTTTTTTGAGACGGAGTCTCACTCTATCACCCAGGCTGGAGTGCAGTGGCATAATCTCGGCTCACTGCAACCTCTACCTCCTGGGTTCAAGTGATTCTCCAGCCTCAGCCCCCTGAGTAGCTGGGATTACAGGCACGCACCACCACGCCCGGCTAATTTTTGTATTTTTAATAGAGACGGATTTCACCATGTTGGCCAGGCTGGTCTGGAACTCCTGACCTCAGGCGATCCACCCGCCTTGGCCTCTCAAAGTGCTGGGATTACAGGCATGAGCCACCGTGCCTAGCATAAATTATTATTATAAAGAGACAGGTGATTAAGGTGGCAGTGTCTCTTGGGCCCTGGGTCCTTTATATCTTTAACCACTGAACCAGATGAGGGATCCTTGGCTTCCCCTTGGTCCTAATCTGAGCCTTTGCAATGGTAGCCACCATTTTCTGAGACCTGTGTGTCTTATGTGCATTATCTCATTTAATCCTTTTCACAGTCTTCCGTTAGATATCCTGAGCCTCATTTTATAGATATGGAAATGGAGGTTTAGGTTGGTTAAGTTACCTGCCCAGGGTCACCTAGCTAGGAAGTGGTGGAGTTGGGAATTGAATCCAGGACTGGCTGAATGAAGAGCCCAAGCCTTTCTTGTGATTACTGCTCCATCTCCCAATGTGTGCAGGTGGAGATGACCCCTGAGAAGTTCAGTGTCTTAATGGAGAAGCTCTGTAAAAAGGGGCTGGCAGCCACCACCTCCATGGCCTATGCCAAGCTCATGCTGACAGTGATGACCAAGTATCAGGCTAACGTGAGTATTGATAGGGCCTTGGGGCTGGTCCTGCTGGCAGGGCTGCCCTGGGCCTGCCACAAGGGTGTATGAATATGTATGTCAGGGATAAAACCCTGAGTGCTGGCCAGGCACGGTGGCTCACGCCTGTAATCTCAGCACTTTGGGAGGCCGAGGCAGGCGGATCATGAGGTCAGGAGTTCAAGACCAGCCTGGCCAACATGGTAAAACCTCATCTCTACTAAAAATACAAAAATTAACTAGGTGTGGTGGTGCACGCCTATAATCCTAGTTACAAGGGAGGCTGAGGCAGGAGAATTGCTTGAAGCTGGGAGGTGGAGGTTGCAGTGAGCTGAGATCATGCTACTGCATTCTAGCCTGGGCAGCATAGTGAGACTCCATCTCAAAAACAAAAACAAAAACAAAAAACAAACCCTGAGTGCTAGCCAGAGAAACAACAAGTTCAAGCCCAGGACTGGGGAATGAGACTGCTTAGGAGTTCATTCATCCAGCCAACACTTCTTTAGGCCAGATGCTGTGTGGGGCACTGGGAAATCAACAGCGACCATAATGCAATCCCTGCCCTTGAGTTGACCCCGTCACCTAACCCCAGGCTAGTGAGAGGGGAGAAATAAAATAAACAGATAACAGATATTAGAAGTAAGATCTGGTAGGAGCCAGGTGAGAGGTGTGCAAAGGGCATTTGGTGGCAAAAGAAGAGGAGCAAGTGAGCTTTGTTTGTGGTTGGGAATTGGGACGGGCTTCCTGACTTTTTTTTTTTTTTTTGAGTCGGAGTCTCGCACTGTTGCCCAGGCTGGAATGCAATGGCATGATCTCGGCTCACTGCAACCTCTGCCTCCTAGGTTCAAGCGATTCTCCTGCCTCAGCCTCCCGAGTAGCTGGGATTACCTGCCACCACGCCTGGCTAATTTTTTGTATATTTTGTATTTTTAGTAGAGACGGGGTTTCACTATGTTGGCCAGGCTGGTCTTGAACTCCTGACCTTGTGATCAGCCCGCCTCGGCCTCCAAAAGTGCTGGGATTACAGGCGTGAGCTGTCGTGCCCAGACTTCCTGACTCTTAAAAGGTGAATGGTAGTCAAGAGCCAGAGATGAGAGGAAGGGCATTTCAGGAAAAAGATACAGTGTGAGCAGTGAGTGTCTGAGGGGATCTGCAAGTAGTTCATTGTGGATGGAGCCTAAAAATGTGAGAATGGATGGTGGTGGGGGATAAGATTAGAGAGCTAAAGTACTAAGAGCTATTATTTCTACAGTACCTGCCATGTCTCAGTCATGGTTCTTTTATTAAATTTAATTTTTCAAAAATAGAGACAGGGTCTTCTTTTTTTTTTTTTTTTTTTTTTGAGACAGAGTCTCACTCTGTTGCCCAGGCTAGAGTGCAGTGGCGCATCTCGGCTCACTGCAAGCTCCGCCTCCCGGGTTCACGCCATTCTCCTGCCTCAGCCTCCTGAGTAGCTGGGACTACAGGCGCGCGCCACCATGCCCGGCTAATTTTTTGTATTTTTAGTAGAGATGGGGTTTCACCCTGTTAGCCAGGATGGTCTCGATCTCCTGACCTTGTGATCTGTCCGCCTTGGCCTCCCAAAGTGCTGGGATTACAGGTGTGAGCCACCGTGCCCGGCCGAGACAGGGTCTTCTTATGTTGCCCAGGCTGGCCTCAAACTCCTAGGCTCAAGCAATCCTCCCATCTTGGCCTCCCAAAGTGCTGGGATTACAGGCTTGAGCCACCACACCCAGCCTCAGGCGTGGCTCTAAGCCCTTTACATATATGAACTTGCTAGTTTATTCCATGTGTCAGCCCTGTGAGAGATATTCTTTTTTTTTTTTTTTTTTTTTTGAGATGGAGTCTCGCTCTGTCGCCCAGGCTGGAGTGCAGTGCTGCGATCTCGGCTCACTGCAAGCTCCGCCTCCTGGGTTCACGCCATTCTCCTGCCTCAGCCTCCCGAGTAGCTGGGACTACAGGCGCCTGCCAGCACGCATGGCTAATTTTTTTTGTATTTTTAGTAGAGACGGGGTTTCACTGTGTTAGCCAGGATGGTCTCGATCTCCTGACCTTGTGATCCACCCTCCTCAGCCTCCCAAAGTGCTGGGATTACAGGTGTGAGCCACCGCGCCTGGCCTGAGAGATATTCTTATTATTCCGTTTCATAGATCAGAAAATTGAGACTCACACAGGTTAAAGTAACTTGCCCAAGGTCACACTGCCAGGACTAGTAGCATTTTTTCTGTACGTCATGGTGAGGAGCTGTATATATGTATGTATGTATGTATGTTTTGAGAGACAGAGTCTTGGTCTGTTGCCCAGGCTGGAGTGCAGTGGCGCGATCTTGGCTCACTGCAACCTCCGCCTCCTGGGTTCAAGTGATTCCCCTGCCTCAGCTTCCCAAGTAGCTGGGAATACAGGTGTGCGCCACCACGCCCAGCTAGTTTTTGTATTTTTTAGTAGAGATGGGGTTTCACAATATGTTGGCCAGGCTGGTCTCCAATGCCTGACCTCACATGATCCACCTGCCTCGGCCTCCCAAAGTGCTGGGATTACAGGCATGAACCATGGTGCCCAGCCAGGAGCTTTATTTTTAACTTTATCTTGAAAGTCAGGTATTCTGGGCTATTGCCTTTGTACCCTTATGTCGGGGGTGTTACAGGCCCATTTGATGATTTGATGTAGACCCTCCCAGAAAGATGGAAGTATGAACATGCTTCTGTTGCACAGTTTCAGGGGAGCTCCTGAATCCTCTGGAGATCTAGGCAGAAGGACCTCCAATGTGAGGCATCAGGAGTCATTCAAGGGCCTTCAACCTGGGAGTAACTTCATCAGATCTGTACTATTAAGAAGCATCTGGCTTCTGTGAGGAGTGGGATTGGAGGGTGAAGATACAGGGCCTGAGACCTGTCAGGAGGTTGTAGCAACAGGGCAGAAAGAGAAAGTGTGATCCAAAAGGAAGGTAGCTGTCACAGTAGAGTGTCTGTGAACCTCAGTTTTCTCCTCTGTAAAATGGGAGGGTCTTGAGGATTATATACAGCAATGCATATATATGATGTATATGTATGTTTGTATATGGATTGATGCATATAAAGTGCTGCCACATAGTAAACACACAATGATTGTCAACTGTTACTAATGTGGCCGGCTTAGTAAATTGTGCAGCTAGTATTTGGCTCCAGGTCTACCTCGTTAACCATGGTGAAATAATGAGATTAGATTGCTCAGGAGTCTCCTCCTCTTTCCATCCTCCTGGCCTCCTCTCTCCTCAATAGAGCCCCTGGGGTAGTCGGGAGACGGGAGGGATCAGTTGCTGGAGTCCTGACATGATTTTTCCTTCTCCCCAGATCACTGAGACCCAGAGGCTGGGCCTGGCTATGGCCCTAGAACCTAACACCACCTTCCTGAGGAAGTCCCTGAAGGCCGCCTTGAAACATTTGGGCCCCTGACCATCCACCAAGGGACCACCCTCTTGGTGCTCCATCACCAGCTTCCTGAAGGGCATTTCTTTCTTCACCACCTTGTCTTGAGCCCTAGCCTGAGGATAAAGGCTGAGCCTGGCCATCCCAGATTGCAACTGCCTCCCTGTTACAGGCTGCATAGGGAATATTGGCTTCCCAGCCAGCAGGGAGGCTCCTGGGCTAAGGGAGCTCAGCTATATTTTCTTTTTCATTTCTTTTGTTTTTGAGAGAAGGTATTGCTCTGTCATCCAGGCTGGAGTGCAGTGATGCGATTGATCATGGCTCACTGTAACCTCTGCCTCCCAGGCTCGATCCTCCCATGTCAGCCTCCCAAGTAGCTGGGACTACATGCACATGACACTATGCCCAGCTAATTTTTTATTTTGTAGATAATATGCTGGTCAGGGCTGGTCTTGAACTCCTGAGCTCAAGTGATCTTCCTGCCTTGGCACCCAAAGTGTTGAGATTTACAGGTGTGAGCCACCACACCAGGCCAGAGCTATATTTCCAAAGGCTGCTGGCCCCAGGCACACTCCTCATCAATTCTCAGGCTGCAGGGACAAACTTTCCGATAGGGCTCAGTAGGATCAAGCCGACCCAGAGTGGGCATGGGATGCTCCAGGAGGTCTGGGGTACCAGTGGGCTCAGATGAAGCTCTTGTGCTCATGTATATTATGACCTTCTGTGTTTTTGTTTCTGACTTGAATAATTTATCAATGGTGTTGAATAAAAGCAAGTTCAATAATGTCTTTTTCTTTTTTTTTTTTCGAGTCTGAGTCTCGCACTGTCGCCCAGGCTGGAATGCAATGGCATGATCTCGGCTCACTGCAACCTCTGCCTCCCCAGTTCAAGCGATTCTCCTGCCTCAGCCTCTTGAGTAGCTGGGATTACAGGCGCATGCCACCATGACCCGCTCATTTTTGTATTTTTAGTAGAGACGAGGCTGGTCTCAAACTCCTGACCTCAGGTGATCCGCCTGCCTCCCAAAGTGCTGGGATTACAGGCGTGAGCCACCACGCCTGGCCAATGTCTTATTAGAAGCAGTACCTTCCTTCCCATGAATTCTGGGTATTGAGCCCATCCGCACCCCCTCCACTTCCCTGCTCAATGACAAGGAACATCTTTTTCCTGGTGAGGGGAAGGGTGTAGGGTATCTTATTCACCCTCTGAGGGCCAAATAATGTGTAATACCACCCACCCCATCCTATAGGAGCTGCCCCCACCAGGCAGGGGGGTAGGTGAGAATGGGCATCTTAAAGGTGGGAGTGACTCAGTCTGGAGTTCGGGAAGGGTTTTGGGCAGATGAATCCGAGGAGAGATCTGAAGGGCTCTGGGGGTTACTGTGGCTAAGAGGATGAGACCCATTGGACAGAGGAAAGAGCAGAGAAGACACCTTATGGGTGTGCAGTGCTGTGTGCCTGTTTTACATCCTTGTATTCCTGTAGCACCTGGCTAGACGCCTTATTCATAGCAGTCACACTTAAAACGTAGATGTTATCAAATTAACTATCAAGTGAAAGTTCACTTAAGGACTTTCCCAGCTCTTCCCCTCTGCAGGCGTTGAAAGGACAGGAACAGAACTTTCCGGACACTTCCCTTACCACGAGTCCACGTTAGAGCAAGGTGCTGAGGGAGGGAGGTCGGGCCAGGCTTCCTTTTGAGAACATAAGCTGGTGCGGAGGGCGCGAGGGGAGAGGGGTTTGAGGGACAAGCGTGCCGGAATCCACGCTGTCAGTGAACATCACTGGGCTGTACCAGTACGTGTGACTACCGAAGCTCGAGCCCCGAACCCAGCCGCTTCCCTAGGGGTCCAGCAGCAGCGGGCGCGAATCGGCACATTACCGGGGGACCGCGGGGCGCTCAGGACTGCGACAACTCTGTGGGTTACCGCGCCGGCCTAGCGGCCCAGCGACGCCCCCCAGCGGCCAGAGAAGGCCGCGCTTCTCGGGGTTGGCCCACCCAACCGCTCTGCGGGTAGGACCGAGGAGCAAAGCATTATCGCGAGATCAGGGCCACTATTTGAGCGCATGCGCAAGACATGCTAGTCTCTTTTCCGGTTAGCGCGGCGTGAGAAGCCATGAGGTGAGTTGGTCCTGAAAGCCCTATCCGCGTTCATCCGCGCCTTCAGGTGCCCCGCCGAGGGTTCGGATCCTGTAGGCCGCGCCGCGGACCCTTGCGCCACCTGCGCCGCGGGGCATTTCTCAAGGCGGGTCGGCCTGCGGGTCGCCCTTCCTACCAGGTCCGATCACTGAGAGCCTCCCTCTTCCACCGGGGCTTGGGTCTGGGTCTGAGCTCCCGTCGCTCTACTTGGTGTCCGGAATCTACGGGGGAGTCCGCCGTGGGCCGCCCGCCCGTCTCGAAGCCTAGACCTCGGAGGCTTCCAGGCAGTCCGAGCGTGTGGACTCCGCGGCCCTGAGCGCCCTGTCGCTTCTCTCCCGCAGCAGCAAAGTCTCTCGCGACACCCTGTACGAGGCGGTGCGGGAAGTCCTGCACGGGAACCAGCGCAAGCGCCGCAAGTGAGTGCCGACCCTGGGGCACGGCGCGGGTGGCGAGGGCCGGCGGGTGCTTAACCCCCCTCCTCTCTCGAAGGTTCCTGGAGACGGTGGAGTTGCAGATCAGCTTGAAGAACTATGATCCCCAGAAGGACAAGCGCTTCTCGGGCACCGTCAGGTTGGCACCGTTCTGATCCCACCCAGCCCTCAGTGCCCCCGTGCTTGCCCCTCCCCTGCAGGCTCCCGCTGAGCCGGAGGCGGGCACGTCGGTACTGATGTGCTAGGGTAGTTCAGACCCCCTGCTCCGGGCAGGCGCGGCTGGACGGACCCCCACCCTGGGTCTTAAAACATGAGGGGAGGCGTGGGTAGGCCTCGGCCGAGCCCGCCGGCCAGCCTGAGAAGCCAGGCTGGCTGCTGGTGAATGTGAACGCTCCGGGTAAGGCTCGGTGGCTGCTGCGGTCCCAGACCCTTCACCGGCCCTTGGGACCCAGGGCTAGGCGTAACCTGTTGGTGCTGTCCCCCAAAACGCAGGCTTAAGTCCACTCCCCGCCCTAAGTTCTCTGTGTGTGTCCTGGGGGACCAGCAGCACTGTGACGAGGCTAAGGCCGTGGATATCCCCCACATGGACATCGAGGCGCTGAAAAAACTCAACAAGAATAAAAAACTGGTCAAGAAGCTGGGTGAGTCCGGCCGCTGTGGTTTTGCATGTGAGATGTGTGGTGGGGGCGGTAGAAAGGCTTTTCTGCCATTTTCGATTTTTAAATGATGAGGGGCCTAGAATAGCAAAGGATCGGCGGTGGTTGCCTAGCTTGCCTGAGTGCTGTTTTAGCTTTGGGGTGGTTTGATGTTTGTATTGCTATGAGGATTCCAGTTGATGAGGGAGGCCAGGCATTGTAAGTTGACCAGCCAGGTGCTGGTGAACTATGATTTGGAAATCTTTACGCTGCGTTGTTTAGGCAGTGGCATTAGACTGCTTTTACAGGTAGGAAGCAGACATTCCCAGTTGTCACGTGTCCAGGGTCCACAGCTAAGAAATAGGCAGAATTCGAGCCCAGGCAGTCTTGACCAGAGCATCCGTTGTACAGCGGTTATGCCATGGATCATGGGTCAGCCTGGTTTTCTGAGAGCATGTTTTGGGACCAGTGAAGGTCCAGAGGACTTTCTGGAAACCGTTTGGGCTAGGGAAAAGACTGAGGCGGGGTCTTAGAGAGGGTGCTGCTTGGAGGTCACTTACATGATTGATTCAAGTGCGTTTCTGGCCTGCCACATTTGAGGTGTGCCTTGGTGACCAGGTTCTAAGCAATGCCAATGGCTTCCTCTCTCTATCAGCCAAGAAGTATGATGCGTTTTTGGCCTCAGAGTCTCTGATCAAGCAGATTCCACGAATCCTCGGCCCAGGTTTAAATAAGGCAGGAAAGTTCCCTTCCCTGCTCACACACAACGAAAACATGGTGGCCAAAGTGGATGAGGTGAAGTCCACAATCAAGTTCCAAATGAAGAAGGTGAGTGGGTCTGGCGGGTTGCTATGGGTGAAGGTGTTGGCAGGGTCTAAATCTTATCCAAGTCTCTAAATATGCCAGTAAGAGCACCCACCAGGATTGAAACTTTTGGAGTAACCCTGGTCTTGGCCCGGGTCCAAGTACCTGCTCACCAGGCCACTGGGGGAGGAAGGACAGGCCATCTGCTATTCGTCCACCAACCTGACTTGATCCTCTCTTCCCTCCTCCCAGGTGTTATGTCTGGCTGTAGCTGTTGGTCACGTGAAGATGACAGACGATGAGCTTGTGTATAACATTCACCTGGCTGTCAACTTCTTGGTGTCATTGCTCAAGAAAAACTGGCAGAATGTCCGGGCCTTATATATCAAGAGCACCATGGGCAAGCCCCAGCGCCTATATTAAGGCACATTTGAATAAATTCTATTACCAGTTCCCTCTGTCTGCCTGTGATTGAGGGTGGGGGGTGGTTTGTCAGCTGACAAGTGAGGGCCTTGGCACTGCTGATGGCTAGTTGTGTAGTTTGTCACTTTGATGATGGATAGTTGGGTACTATAGGGAAGAGGATGTTTTTCTGCCATCAAAATCAGGCAGTCTTGCATATGTGATAGGGTTGCTAACGGCATTGAAGCTTTTTGACAGGATTGGTCCATGTAAATTTAAAATAAGGATTTTAGTCAGCATTTCTGTGTTAAGAAGACCACATGTGGAGTATCCTATGCTTTGGGTTAGTAATGAGTAAATGTTAAGGAAAACAAGGCACAGCAAACCAGTACAAAAGTATAATTAATGGACCTTGTTTTTTTTTTTTAAATGGAGTTTGTAGCCCAGGCTGGAGCGCAATGGTGCGATCTCAATCTGTGGGTCCCAGTTCAAGCAATTCTGCCTCGGCCTCTCAAAGTGCTGGGATTACAGGTGTGAGTCACCATCCCCAGCCAGATCCTGTTAACAGTATTCCAGGTCCTTGCCCCAGGCAGGCTAAGCCCCCTCCTTTTCTGAGGCATTTCCCTGTTGGCAGTTCTTGCCTCTAGCACCCAGTACTGCTTTAACCTTTGACTAAAATGAGCTTAGTTTGACTTTGGTAAATAGGGGAACAAGTTCATCCCTGCTTTTTTTTTTTTTGAGTCTTCGCTCCATTCCCCAGGCTGGAGTATAAGTGGCGTGATCTGGGCTCACTGCAAGCTCCGCCTCCTGGGTTCATGCCATTCTGCCTCAGCCTCCCGAGTAGCTGGGACTACAAGCGCCCGCCACTATGCCCGGCTAGTTTTTTGGTATTTTTAGTAGAGACAGGGTTTCACCGTGTTAGCCAGGAGGGTCTCCATCTCCTGACCTTGTGATCCGCCCGTCTGGGCCTCCCAAAGTTCTGGGATTACAGGCGTGAGCCACCACCCCCGGCTGAGAACGGTTATTTTAAAGCATAAAAGCAGTGCTTAACAATGCTGTATTTTGGCTGGGTGCGGTGGCTCACGCCTGTGATCCCAGCTACTTGGGAGGCCGAGGCAGAACTGTTTGAACCTGGGAGGTGGAGGTTGCAGTGAGCTGAGATCGCACCACTGCACTCTAGCCTGGGCAACAGCAAGAGTCCATCGGTGGTATGTGTGGGAGTCGGGGGGTCGGGGGAGATGCTGCATTTCTCAAAACAAGCCTTCCCTGTCCCTGAAATGAAGAACACAGGGTTTTTACTCTGAGCAGCTTTTGCTTTTTTAGCTTTTAAGAAGTTAACAGCACTTTCTTGGTAAGAAAGGTATAAAACCTAATGAGGATGAGCAGTGAATTTTGGTTCTCAAGACAGGTCCAGCCAGCTACTTGTTGTGGTTATTTTTCTTTTCTTTGGGCTTTTCTGTATTTTCTGAACCTCCTGTGATCTTTGCAATCAGAAGGAAAAGGGAAACTTCAGCTTAAAGCAAAAGCAATTATCTGAAGGCTCGTGTGCTAATCGCCCACAGATGTAATCGGTGTCCAGTGCAGCCTCCAGGAATTTCTGCTTCCTGGACCCCTCCTACCTACTGGGGCTCGGTACCCTCCCACCCATCCAGCAGGTGACAGTTTGGGGCTCCTAGTGGGATACCAGGCACACAACGTGGAGTCAGGCAGACCAGGTTGGAATCCTGATGTTGGCAGTGACTGGCTGTGAGAAGTACATTTAACATGTCTCAAGTTCTCCCGATCTGTTAACTTGAAGGTTGGACTAGAATGACCTAGAAGACTAGATTCTAGAGGGTTGCCAGATTTAGCAAATAAAAATGCAGGATGTCCTTAGTATTGCATGGAACATACTTAAATCATCTGTTTATCTGAAATTAAAATTTAACTGGGTCATCCCCATTCTGTTTAACCCTTTATTCTAGAGTCTCATCTCTAGCCTGCCACCCTTAGAGCAAATACAGTTTCATCCTGTGACAAGTGAGTCCAATCAGTTCACCCATATTTAACTGCAGGAGAAAAAGCTAGAACAGCCTCTTTGGGAAAATGTTTGCTTAAAGCTTTTTTTTTTTTTTTTTGAGACGGAGTTTAGCTCTGTCACCCAGGCTGGAGTGCAGTGGTGCAATCTCGGCTCACTGCAATGCAACCTCCACCTCCCGGGTTCAAGCTATTCTCCTGCCTTAGCCTCCTGAGTATTTGGGACTACAGGCGTGTGCCACCACACCTGCCTAATTTTTTGCATTTTTTTTTTTTTAGTAGAGACGGGGTTTCACCATGTTAGCCAGGATGGTCTTGATCTGACCTCGTGATCCACCCGCCTCAGCCTCTCAAAGTGCTGGGATTACAGGTGTGAGCCACTGTGCCCGGCCGCTGAAAGTCTTGAACTATCTCTGCCCCAGCCCTCTAAGGACTGTGGTCTGTCCCTACTGTGGACAGGTGGCTCAGGACAGCAGGGCTTTCCAGGCAGACATGGGTAGGTCAGCAGTTGTCACCTGGGGAGAGCGCTTACCCTCCTTGAGTCACTTAGGGTCAGTTGCTAACCCCTAGGCTTTGGTCTGTGTTGTGCTGGCTTATCAGGGGGCCCTGGAGCTTCCATCTCAGTCAATGTGCGACCTTGAGCACATCACTTCCCTTAGGTGACCTCAGGCCAGCACACACAAGTGCTCAGCTGGAAGCAGGAGGGAGTGAGGGAAATGTTGAGTGTGGGTAGGCCTTGGGGCCCCCCAAGAGATGATGGCATTGCAGGGGTTGGCGGTGATGACACACCAGGACCTAGGAGGAGCCCTCACCTGAAGCTGTTCCAATCCAAAGGTCTGGCACACAAGTGGTTACATGACTGACCCACAAACAAATAACTTTAATTTTTTTTTTTTTTTTTTTTTGAGCAGGAGCTGGGCCTTTGAGGGCCCCTGCTCCAACCCCAAGCTGCATTTATGATATAACCCATCACAGCTGGATTTTAAAAATACACAAAAAAATATATAATATACATTATAAAACCTAGGTGGGGTTTGGAGGTGGCCTGAGCGATATGCAAACAGTGAGGACCTTCAGGAAGCTCGGGCAGGGTCGGGATGAGGAAGGGAAGGGGCACAGTACTTCATATGAAACTCATAAATACCCACAGGTGGCTGCTGGACAGGCCCAGCTGGCTCTGGGGGCCTGGGTGTTAAGAAGGGACAGCAGGTGAAGGGTTAACCTTCAGTCCCAGAACTGGGTCTGGGAGCTGCTACTCTAGGCAGGTAGATTGAGGTGGGGAAGAACCTAAGGGAGCAGTGCCCACCAAGGGTTTGTCAGATTCAAGCCTCAGGCAAGAGAAAAATCAAAAGCCTTCTGCTACTCTCTCCCTCTGGGCCTCTGGTCTGCCCAGAGGCTGGGACTCCTTCCTCTACCTTGCTCTCAATCTGGAGGGTGCTGGGGGGTGCCCCATCTTCCTGGGGCCCCTGGCTGGCTTGTGGGCTAATGAGGTGCTAATGGGGTCTAGTAGCTGCTGTGCTCCCTTCTTCATGCCCAGTCTGAAACAGGTGCTCCCCTAACCCAGCGCCCCTCGATGAGGCTCCACTCCACACTGCAGAGCCTCTCCCCTACCCTGCGGCCAGCCCCCGCCCCAGGGAGGTAGTATAAACCTGGGCTCTGGGGACAAGCAGCCCTGGATGAGAACTCCAGCTCTGCCCACCTCTCCTGTGGGTCCCTCAACTTCCTGGAGCCTGGGCACTTCATCTGAAACCCAGAGACCTACGCTCGCTGTGCGGAGTCTGAGGACCACACAAGCCATGCAAGGAGTCTGGGCACCAGGCCTGGGACACAAAGGGGCAAGGAAGTGTGGGCCCCTCTGTCCTCAGTCCAACCCCAACCGGACACTCCCAGGGCCTCTGCTCACTGACTCCCTTGGTCTCCATCCTGCCCTCACCTGCCCATCATGCTCCCCCAAGGGTGGGTGGGGGTACAGTGGCCACACATGCTGGAGGCTGAAGGTGTCCCCTATCCCCACCTCTCTGAGGTCACGCGAGGCTGGGCAGAGCAGGGTGATGGTGGGTCAGCGCCCCGGACAGGCTGCCCCACCGCTGAGCCCTCCTCTCCTCTCTTCTCCCACAATTAAAGCGCAGAACAGTGGCAGGGAGTGTGTGTGCTGGGGTAGGTGGGGAGGCCTCCTGGGTCCTGGGCCTGAGGCCTGGCAGGTAGATGAATCCTCAATCCTGGACCCCCCCAGGGGTGCCAGGCAGGTGTGGAGAGGAGATGCTCACCCTGCATCCTTAAGGAGGCGCAGAGGGCACCCTAGTCTTTGACGAGCTTGTAGACATGGTGCTGGGCCCCGTGCTCACTGGTGGAGACTTCGAAGACAAAAGCAATGACAAGCAGGGTCTCCTGGGAGTCCCGGCTCGTGACCACCTGGGGGGTGAGCAGGTAAGAGATTCAGGAGGTCAGGGAGAAAAGGGCCACGGGGCAGGGGGCTGAACAGACCATTCTCCTTTCCGGATCTATGCCTCTCAGCCAAGCGATGTGTCTGGCTACCCAACTTGGAGGCCCTGGCCTGTGGGACTCCCCACGACCCCTGCTGCCCCCATACCTGCAGGATGGTGAAGTTCTCCAGCACGCTGTTCATCATGTACTTCTCGGGCAGGTGCTTCAGCTTGTGGATGAAGTTGATCATGTACTCGCACATGGGCGAGCGGTGGATACGGTACACAAAGCGCCCGTTCTCCAGCCTGGCATACTCAGTCTGCAGAGAATATGGAGAAGGCGTCACTCGGCCTGCCTGCTCCCAGCCCCACCAAGCCACCCAGAGCCCCCACTCACCTCCACCTTCTCTACCACCTGTTTGCCAAAGGAGCACACCTTGGTGGAGACGCTGATGGTCATGCTATCAGCAGAGCTGTACTGAGAGCTGACCCCATAGAAGGCTCCCGGGCCCTCCTGGATGGTGCTGTTGAGGTCGGCCTGGGCATGGGGGTGGGGGGTGTTAGGTGCTGGCAGAGACCAGAAGTATTCCCGCCACACCACATCAGAGTCCTGCCCAAGGATCCATCTCTGGCACTCTGCCCACAAGCCATGAGGATGCAGCAGGGTCAGAGGTCAATGCAGTGGGCCTGGATGTTGCACCTCTGGGGTGGGGAAGGGGGCTTGGAGCAGAGAAGGCCAGGGGGACTCACCCAGAACTTGACAAGGAAGAAGGCATTAGGGGGCCCCTTCTCATAGAGCTCCTTCAATCCTCCCTTTTTCTCGGGGAATTTGTCATAGATCTGGCGCACATCTACTGCCTCCAGGGGTGGGTCTGAGAAGGCGGGGTTCGTCTGGCCGATGTGCACAAACAGGTGTTTGCTGTACTGTGGGGAGGGCCCAGACAGGGTCAGGAGAGTACTCAGGCTTGCAGGCCCGGGGGCGGGGAAGGGAGCACTGCACAGGTATAGAATTGCCTAGGGCTTCCTGAACAGGCCAGACCCCCAACCCCCAGATCCTGAGTTGCAGCCCTGGATCACCCGGCCGGCCTCTCCACAATTGTGCAAAGCCTCACCCTCACCCCCAAACACGTTACCGTGTCAGGGTCTCGCTGCACCTCCATGAAGGCTGAATACTCCAGGAGCCGCAGCCGGGAGGAGGCAATGGTACGGTCCTGCCACACAGGCACAGAGGCAGCAGCTGAGGGGAGCGGGGCCAGGGGCTCATAACCTGGGAGGGCGAGACAGATTTTCATCTGCATGGATGCATGCAGGTGCTTACTGACAAAGCTGCCCCCAGCTTGCAAAGGTGCCCCTTTTGGGAAGGAACATGAGTTGGATTTTGACTCCCCTACTATGTGTCCTTGTACAGTGTACAACCTGCACAACCATACGTGGTGGCCCTAGTAGTATATATCAAAAACATTTCCTTGTGTGTTTAAACAGAAAACACAGAGAAGTAAAAAAGGGAAAGAACAATTACCCAGAATCCCACCATCTAGAAAGAGAAAGTCTTGTTAAGATTTCAGTGCATTTCCTTATGGGGAGTTTTCTATCCATAGAGATGTGTGTAAATGTAGGTTTTGGTGGTGTGTGCTTGTAGCTGTGTATTGGCTATGGTTTTTTTGTTTTTCTGAGATGGAGTTTCACTCTTGTTGCCCAGGCTGGAGTGCAATGGCACAATCTTGGCTCACTGCAACCTCCACCCACTGGGTTTAAGTGATTCTCCTGCCTCAGCCTCCCAAGTAGCTGGGACTATAGCCATGCGCCACCACGCCCAGCTAATTTTTGTATTTAGTAGAGACGGGGTTTCACCATGTTGTTCAGGCTGGTCTCGAACTCCTGACCTCAGGTGATCCACCTGCCTCAGCCTCCCAAAGTGCTGGGGTTACAGGCATGAGCCACCACGCCTGGCTTGGCTATGGTTTTGTGCCAGAGATCTGGAAGCAACATTGTACAAGGTAAAGGGGCTATTCCTGGCCTGTCCCAATCTCCTGTAGATGTCGCAACCCCCTCCCTCCCAAAGCAAACACACACAGTTGGACCCCAGCTCTCCTGAGTGGAGGTGCAGGTGCCAAGGGAGAGCACCTCGTGTGGGGAACTTACTGCTGAGCGTCGGCGGCAGGGGCGGCTGGATGGGGTAGGCTGGCTGTGCAAAGGGCTTGATGCTGCAGACAGGAGCACAGCCTGGTGAGAGGGTTCCCTCTTCCCTACCTTCCACCTGGCCCAGCCCCTCTTCCAAGACCCCAGGAGCAAGCCACCCAGCCTTTCTGCTGAGGCCCAGAAACGCATGCTGAAAAGCTAACTCGCAAGCTTTTTGTTTTCTGCACATTTTAGCTTTTGTGAAATCCTGCTGCGTCTCCCAGCTGATCTGCCCATTTAGTGTAGGATTTCATTTCAACCTTCCCCACCCCCCACCCTGAAAAGCTGCTCCTTAAGCTGAGGGTCTTTTGATGAAAGTTGTTTTAGAGTTGAAGAACCAGCACACTTGACCACCTGACTTGTTAACTGAGAGACTGCCTCAGAAACTGAGCAGAAAGTAAACAAAGAGATGGATGACAAGTGGATGCATGCTGATGAGAGAATGCATAGTGAACAGCCAGCGCATCAGCTGTCCTGTTGCCACTCTCCAGCTTTTTTTTTTCTTTTTTCAGAGACAGGGTCTCCCTCTGTTGCTCAGGCTGTAGTTGCAATGGTGCAATCAAGTCTCACTACAGCCTGGAACTCTGGAACTCCTGAGCTCAAGCAATCCTAGCCTGCCTTGGCCTCCCACGTAGCTAGGACTACAGGCACGCACCACCACACCCAGCTAATTTTTTTTTTTTTTTTTGAGAGAGCAAGTCTTGCCCTGTTACCCAGGCTGATTCTGAACTCCTGGCCTCAAGCAATCCTCCCACCTCGGCCTCCCAAAGTGCTAGGATTGATTACAGGTGTGAGCCACCACCCAGCCTGCATCCCTCTATTTTTGAATTAAAACTTTGCTCAGCTGTTGCTGGAGCCCAAATGGGAGGGAAGCCCTGTGCGGCTGCCAGGAGGAAGAGGGCGTGGGATGATGAGCCACAATACTCACTCCTGAGAGGGTCCAGGCTGCTGTCCCAGGAGAGGGGGGCTGCTCCAGAACTGCAGGGATGAGACAAGGCCCAGGGGCCCCTCAGCATCCATGAACCCCACTAAAGCTCATCCTTTACAGCACACCCCCACACCAGCCCACCTCCTGGGACCCATGTACCCGCGAGGAAGTGGAGAAGACGGCCTGGGGCAGAGGGGAAGGTGGGCTGAACTTGTTCTGCAGGACACTGGCAGAGACGATCTGGGCAGAGGACATGGACGCCATGCTCTGAAGGGCTTTGTCCTTGGAGACCTGGTCCTGGGGAGAGGAGGCTGCATGAAGCCAGGGCCACGCTGGATGAGGCCAGGCTTGCTTTAGCGCCCCTCCCATGACCCCAGCAGAGTCCAAAGCACTAGGATGGCAGGTGTTCCTGAAGATCCAGGCCTGGATTCCAGCCCCAGCTCTGCTGTGTGATCTTGGGAGAGTCTCTGCACCTTCCTGGTCTCAGTCCCCCAAGTGCCCATCACCGCTGACCACAACCACAGTAAGAAATTATTTTATTCCAAAGGCCAATATATGTCAAGATATTTCCTCTTACTGTATGTCATGTACTCTCCTATTTTCTTTTTTTTTTTTTTTTTTTTGAGACGGAGTCTCGCTCTGTCACCCAGGCTAGAGTGCAGCGGCATGATCTCGGCTCACTGCAAGCTCTGCCTCCTGAGTTCAAGCAATTTTCTTGCCTCAGCCTCTGGAGTAGCTGGGATTACAGGCATTCGTCACCATGCCTGGCTAATTTTTGTATTTTTAGTAGAGACGGAGTTTCACCATGTTGGTCAGGCTGGTCTCGATCCCCTGACCTTGTGATCCACCCACCTCTGCCTCCCAAAGTGCTGGGATTACAGGCGTGAGCCACCACGCCCAGCCATTTCGTTTTTTTAAAATGAGGCTTGCACACCTATTAAGTTGGTTTCATAATCTGTCATTTGAAAATCCTGTATTAGGTGTTAAGACCCTTTCCCCCACTCCCACTGGGGAGGGCTGTGCTACTTACCAGGTTCATGGCCTGTGAGGGAGAGAAGGAAGATAGATTAGAGGACATGTGCAGCACCAGGGCTGTGGGCTGAGGGACGTCTTTGCGCCTACCTCCACCCAGTGCCCATGGGTTTTAGCTTCCGAGGAGCCCAAGGAAGCTCAGCAGACCCTCCCCGTCCCCACAGAGGGAGTGCCTGCCAGCTGGGGCAAGCCCTGGAAAGGGCAGAGTGAGGGAAAACAAGCTGGTGCCCTCTGGGTCTGTCCATATGTTCTGGAACTAGGCTCTGGGCATGGGGGCCTGGGGGTAAGAGGCCCCCTCTGCTGCACCGCTGTGGGCAGGGAGAAGAGCACACGGCCAGCGTGAGGCCCTCAGAAGGGCCTCAGTCATGAACCCCAGACTCTGAGATCCGCAGCTGCAGGACAGCCAGCTCTGCAAGGAACTGCCATGCCCACCTCAATAGCCCTGCCGGCCAGTAGCCCCGGGGCCTCCTCCCTGCCCACGGAAGTCCCCATGCAGTTAGTAAGCAGCAGTCAGGAAGAAGGAGAAAAAGAAAAACAGAGAAGAGGAGGGGTGGGCCTTAGTGGCCCCCAGATGGTCTCCCTCTCCCTCACTGACAGGGCCCTTGGGCTTCCTGCTGCCACTTGTGTTTCTTTCTGGACCCCCTCACAGCTTCTCAGCCCCTTGCCTGTCCCAGGCTGGAGCCACAGAGCAGCGACAGGCCTGCACCCAGGAGGGTGCTGGGCAGGCCAGGCCAGGTGGCAGGGGCCCCGTACCTTCAGCTTAGACTGAATCTCCCGAGATTTCCGCCTGGCTAGAACTTGCAAGTGGCTAGAGACCTGTAGAGAGAGAAAGAAAGAGAAAAAGAACAGAAAGAGCGGAAGGAGAGGCAGAAACAGAGCTTCAGCCAGAAAAGAGGCACAGTGGGGCTGGAGAGCTGGCCAAGGAAAGGCCTGAGCTATGCAGAGATAGCGCCGTGGGTGAGGGGCCCAGGAGGGCTGAAGGCCCCCGCCAGGCACCCAACATACCTTGATGCCAACCTGGTACTCCCGCACCTTCTTCCGAGCTAGAACCTGTATGTGGCTGGACACCTAGGGGCCGCCCCGCGCCCCGCCAGAGAGGAAAACATAGACAGTGAGGAGGCACAGCCATGGGGTGGCCGCGGGCAAGGAGCATCCCAGACCTCTCATCTCTAGGGAACTACATGTAAATGGGGGGACCTTTTTTCTTTTTGAAACAGGGTTTATGTTGCCTGGGCTGATCTCAAACTCCTGGGCTCAAGCGATCCTCCCACCACAGCCTCCCGAGTAGCTATGACTATAGGCATGTGCCATTGTGCCCGGTTCAGACACCTCTTGACACTGCCAATTCTGTTCTCTTTTTGGTCTTATCATGATCAAGAGCCACAGTGGCTTCCAGGGCCACCATGTACAGCTGCACAGGTTGTTCACTGGCCCAAAGGGCACCAGTGAGGGCTGAAATCCAGCCCAAGTTCTGCTGCCCAAGCTATGTGTCCTTGTACAAGGCTGTGCCTAACCCTGTCCTCCCCGCAAAAAGGGTGACTTTTTCTCACTGGTGTCCTCAGAGGAGACAACCTTTTTCTTATTGGCACCACAGGTGCTAGCAACGGCCATGGTGCTCCTGTTGGCCACTAGCTTATACACCAAGGCCACATCCTCTACCAGGGATCTCCCGGGTACCACCGCCTGAGTCCTCCTGTCAACCCCAACCACAGCCCCAGCCTATGAAACGAGGCCTGGCCCTCCTGCTTTGCTCCCATAACTTTTCCCCCCAATATACCTTCTTTCTGCTTGGGCTAATATATGCTAGTGTGTATATATGTACTCAGTGGGTGCTCTTAATTGCAATTCTTCTCTAGCCATCTCCTCCTCGCAGCCTCCGCAGGCAAACTTGAGCTAATCACTGTCTGGATGTGTGTGCCCTGGGCTGTGTGCCCAGCTGACACCACAGACCCTTGACCTTGTGAAAGATCTGACCCAGAGGCACAGAGAACCCAAATGTCACTGTTTTCCCCAGGAAACACACAGATCCTTGACGCCGCTTCACGCTTTCAGCATTGGCAATTGGCTTTCTTTGCGAGTTGTTTTTACTCCCACAAAGAAAGCTCGTTTTTCTCTTTAATCACAGCCTGACAGTGAGTAAGTATGTGATACCACCTGGTTAGGACCTGGGTGGGTGCTCCTCACACTGCCTCACTGAGCCCAGGAATCAGACTCCTGTCCAGCAAAATTACTGACCACTTCACGCTGTGACAGTAACTGGCGTTTACTGAGCACAGATACTATCGTCCTCTGCATTTATACATACTGACCCCTTGATCTTTACAGCAACACAAAAACCTAGGTACTAATATCCCTGACTTACAGATAACGAAACTAAAGCCTGGAAAGGTTAAGCTGTCACACGGCTGAGTGCTACAGCCAGGATTCAAACCCAGGCGGTCTGACTCCAGAGCCCACTCTGACTCCACTCACCACCAAGCTCCGTTACCAGGACTCACTTGGACCCTTAGCTCAGAAGACTGCCTCCAGATGGTTGACTCTGTAACAGCTGAAAGTCACACAGAGCTTCATTCTAACTTAATATTTAGCTCTTTTGTCCATATGGAGGCATTGTGCTTACTACGAATTGCTGCATGTGTGTATCTGTAAAAACCTAAAACTGCATTTCTTTGCCAAAAGTAATTTTTTCTTTTTTTGAGATGGAGTCTCGCTCTGTCACCCAGGCTAGAGTGCAGTGGCGTGATCTCGGCTCACTGCAACCTCTGCCTCCTGGGTTCAAGCGATTCTCCTGTCTTAGCCTCCCGAATAGCTGAGATTCCAGGTGCACACCACCACACCCAGCTAATTTTTGTATTTTTTAGTAGAGACGGGGTTTCACCATGTTGACCAGGCTGGTCTCAAACTCCTAACCCAAGTGATCCACCTGCCTCGGCCTCCCAAAGTCCTGGGATTACAGGTCGAAAGTAAATTTTAAAAGGATCAAAAAAAACCTTGTCAGTGGTTACTCTTTTTAACACATAAAGACATGCCTTGTCCTCACAACCAGAGGACAGATCCCCTTTCACTGGGATGTAAAAACCCAGAGTTCTAAGAAAGAGTAAAGACAGGGGGAGTTTCATCCTTGTACCTTATGCCCTTATAATGAAGACAGTGGTTTCTAAAATTCTGAGCTTATCAACAGCTGGTTTGTAAAAGCTCTTTTCTGGGCAGCCCTCTCAGGATGCTAGGCAGGAGCAGGTGTGATGGTGGACCCTGAATTCAGGGGCTGGGATGTGCCCCACGTCTGCAATCCACCCTGGCCTCAGTTCAAAGTGACCCAGCTTGGCTGGATGTGGTGGCTCGTGCCCGTAATCCTAGCACTTTGGGAGGCTGAGGCGGGAGGACTGCTTGAGGCCAAAAGTTCAAGAACAACATGGCCAACATCGCGAGACCCCATTTTTATATTAATTATAAAACTTAAAAAAACCAACAAAAAAACAGTGACCTAGTGACCCTTGGCCCGTTCCCACTCTGACTAACAGGTTCCTATGAACACCTCTTCTGGGTAGAGAAGGACCCGCTGAGAGTTCGCTTCTGAGCTCAGAACGGCTTTCTGTTTATAATAATGTCTGGAATAATAATAACAGCAGCAGCAAATTCTTCTGCAGCGCTTACGCTGTTCTAAGAGTCTTCACATGTTAACTAATTCAATGGCTGAGGATGCAAGGCTGGGAGGCCAACTACTGCCCACTCCCAGGTAGAACCAGTATTTGAACCCAAGGGCTCCAGGGGACAGGGCTCTGGCGCACGCCTCCATGTGGTATCCCTGGTGCCTAGAACACAGCAGTAGGTCAATCATTAGCTAAGTGAATAAATTTGGTGCTGCATGAGCTAGACTTAGGGAGGGTGGTTCATAAATGCTTGAATGAATGAGGGATCGTTGCCACCCCTACACTGGGTAGGGAGGCTCAGAACCTTCCTTTGAGAAAGAGGTGGAACAGGCCAGACTTGACATATGCACCATGGGGATCTGTGGGTCCAAATCCCACCAGGACAGGAGGCTGGGAGTGTGAGGGTAGCACTGGCCTCCATTCCTCCAGGTCCCGCCTCCAGCCTGGCCTCTCCCCCAGGCAGTGGGGCCATCACTCCCATCCACTCCCCTTCAGGTTTCTGTCACTACACTGCCACCTTCCCTGGATCAGAAGCCACTAACTGTCTCTTACATCATCATTTTTCTCCACTCCCACCACCACTACCCTCATCCCAGGCCCTGGCACTGTTGATCTAGGCCTCTGCTTATGCCCGCAATGGCCAGCCTCTCTGTCTCCAGCCAGCCCTCTCTAATCCATTGTCCCGGCTGCTTGAGGGCCTTCCTCAACAGCTGCCACCTGTCACTCCCTGCTCCATACCCTCCTGTAGCCCACCGCTGCCCCTTGGGGAACCTGTCCCCCATGTCTCCTGCTGAGTGTCCCCTACCCCAGCAGTCCCCACCCTCCCTCCACCACATCAGGCTGCCCACAGGCACAGCTCTTTCCTGCCTGGGGGGCTTGAAGAAGTTACTTAACTTCCCTATGCATCAGTTTCCTCATAGTAAAAAAGACAATTACTGTACCTATCTAGTAAGGTTACTGAGAGGATGAAATAAATTAACTTAAAGGAAGCTCTGTATGGGTTTACCATGATTATTAGTTGTATATCCAACTTCCTCAGCCTGGAAGGAAGGGTCTTCTCCCTTTTCTCTGCCTTGCGAACTCCCATTCCTTCTTAAAAATATATCCCGAGTGTCACCTCCTCCAGGGAGCCTTCCCAGCTCTCTCTCCCCACTCCCCTAGCCTTGTCTGGGTTGGCTGCTTGTCCCAGGGTGCCCTGCACCCACCCTCTCTCAGCCCCGCCACCTTGCTCTGTACCCATCCATCTGACCATCTGGCTCCCTGGCTGGTGAGTGAGCCACTCAGGGCAGGGACCATGTAGCAGCCACAGCAGCCCCGTGGGCTTATCTGTGGTCCCTGAACCACAGGCCCTGGGCAGGGTAGTAGGTGGTCAGAGAGGACAGTGGGGCCATCTCTCCAAGAGAAGTGGGAAGGGTGAATGGAGCTGCTTGGGGGTGGGAGGGTGTAAAATCGAGGGGGTAAGGGGAGTGTGATGAGGCAAGGAGGGTGGCAGTCCAGGTCAGGGGCAGCCTCGAGGAGGTGGGCAGGGTAGGGGCAAGGGGTTGACCGGGGCAGCTGAGACAGAGTGTGTGGGTGGCAGGCCCAGCATAAACCGTCTCTCTACCTGTTTTCTCGTCCGAGTCTTCCCCGTCCTCAGTTTAATATAGCGTGCAATCAACTCATTTCGGCCTAGATTGGGGTGAGAGAGAAAATGAGGAGTGGGCAAAGGGTGGAGCCAGAGGCTGGAGGCCCCCACCCCACCGGGAAGCCACTCCAGGACCCTCCCCAAAACACTGCTCTTCTGTTCCTCACTCTCTTCACCCCAAGCTGCACATGCAGGGCATGCAAAGGTGGCTGGGGAGTCACAGCTGCATCCTACCACCTCCAGGACCTAGAGGGGCTGCTCTTCAGGGGAGGGGTGCATGAGGGGCTGCAGGGTAGGAGGAAGGAGGGCCGAGCAGCACTAGGCACCCTGACAGGCTTCCCTGCAGACAGACCGGGTGGCTGTGGTACAGGTCAGCAGGACAGTAGCTGAGTAGGGCCTGTCCTGGCCAGGCACGCCCATCCTCCCAGCCCCCAGCAGTGCTTCCTGCCTGTGTCACCAGCTCCAGTACTCTTAGTGCATGGATTTGTGGGGGCGTGTGAATGAGCCTGCCCCAGGTGGATGTCCTGCCCTTGCTCTGTCTTTACCCTGGTCAAGTCCCTTCCCTTCTCTGGTAAAAGACCAGGAAGGACAGGAAGGCAGCACTGACCGCCTCCAATGTGCCTCCTACACTGGCGGCCTGTGTCAAGATGTGTCACTGAGCATGTCGCCATGTCCTTGTGCCTGTCACCCCCATGTCACCAGTTCCCAGTGTCTCTCCACCCTGTGAGAGCCTTGTGAGCCTTGGGGTGCGGGGTCTGTTCTGCACCACAGACCCTCTGAGGGCCCAAAAGCTGCCAGTGTCCAGGGACTTGGGCCTGAAAGGGGGATGCCTGGGCCACACGGCTGAGCCCAAGTCAGCATGGTCAAGGTGTACACCTCTACCCCCAAATCCAGGCTCTCTGCCCTCCAACCCAAGGCCTCCCCAGAATGGCCAAATTCTCCAAATTCCATTCCGATGACTGAACCAGCCCCATTGCTCCTCCCTCCCGCCAGCCCCTCTCCACCCCACTCTCTCCACCCTGTCTAAAAATACCCTGTGGGGCTCCCCAGCCTGGGAGGCAGCAGTGGGGGCAGACAGCACCCACCCTGTGGAAGGCACCCTGGACCATCTGCCTGCCCCCAAGGTGGGGCTCTGGGGCTGGGTGGGCGTGGCCAAGGGACACGGAGCGGACCTGATCCCTTCCCACAGGCGCGCCCTGGGAAGGGCTGGGCCTGCCTCGCTCAGCCACGGGCTGCTGGGAGGAATAGGGGAGCTGGCCAGGAACCAGGCCCAGAAGGGTCGAGTTATCCCAAAAATGCAGCTCTGGGAGAGCCCTCTCAGGGCTGGACAAGAGGGGACACTCCCTTCTGGAAATGGGCAAGATGGCAAAGAGGAGGGCCAACAAACCCAAGGAGTGGGGAAGGGGACTGAGGAGGGAACGCGTCCCCACAGCCCCAACGCAGGCCTTTGTCCCCGTGCGACCTCCCACAGCCCGCACTGGAGAGAACTATACGGGCTGTGGGAGTCACCGGGCGACTATCACCGGGCCTCCTTTCCACATCCTCCTCCGGGAAGGGACCCCGTTCCGGGCCTCGACCGGCGCAGACTGGGCTGACCCACTTTCTTGGGCCCACTGAGTCACCTCGAAACCTCCAGGCCGGTAGCGGGGAGGAGAGGAGGAGCAGGCGGGGGTGCCAAGGTGTGGGCTGCGCCCTGGTTAGGGGGCGAGCCCGGCTTGTTTATGAGGAGGAGCGCGGAGGAGGATCCAGACACACAGGCTTGCGCGCCCAGACTCGCCCGGCCAGCGGCTGGCGGCCTCCGACGTCACCAAACCGGTTGGGTGAGAGGGCAGAGAGCAGGGGGAAGGGCCGCAGTCCCGCCCGCGCCCCCCGGCACGCACCGTACATCTTGCCCTCGTCTGACAGGATGATCTTCCGCCGGCCGCAGGGCGGGTAGATGGCCAGGGCCTCCTGGAAGCTCTGCTCGATGTCCGGGCTCCACACGCCCTCCGCATCGTTGTCCAGCCCCTTGTCCAGGCCCTCGGGCCCATCCTCCCGGGCCTCCCCGGGGCTGCTGCTGGCGTTCCAGCTGTTGGACGCTATTGTGCTGGTTGCTCTGGGCTCTGGGCCTGAGCCCACTGGGCGGCTGAGCCTGGGGGACAGACAGACAGGAACTGGGACCAGGGTCCTCCTCGACCACAGCAATCTCCTATCCCACAGCCGCTGGCTCTGGAGCTCCGCCCCCAGCCCCAAGCCCACCCTAGGAGCAGGTGCTCCAGGTGGAACGGAGGTAACCAGAGGAACAACCACAGCTTGTTCAGAGCTGTGTGACCTGGGATGCACGCGCTACTTCACCTCTCTAGGCCTCAGTCCTGTAAAACGAGAAAAGGGTCTCCTTGAGGAGACCTCCTTGAGGTTGTGAGGGTTAAAATGTAAATGAGCTCATGACAAAGTACCAACCACATGCCCAGCTCATAATACTCAAGAAATAGGTAATCGGTAACAACAATGCCTCATACCAACACAGCACTTTTGTAGGGAAAAGGCATTTTCATATTCATTCAAACCTCACAAAACTAGGCCGGCGCGATGGCTCATGCCTGTAATCCCAGCACTTTGGGAGGCCGAGGTGGGTGGATCATTTAAGGTCAGGAGCTCAAGACCAACCTGACCAACATGGTGAAAACCCATCTCTACCTAAAAATATATCAGGTCTGGACGCAGTGGCACATGCCTATAATCCCATCACTTTGGGAGGCCGAGGTGGTTGGATCATGAGGTCAGGTGTTTGAGACCAGACTGACCAACATGGTGAAACCCCATCTCTACTAAAAATACAAAAATTAGCCGGGCATGGTGGCACGCACTTGTAATCCCAGCTACTCAGGAGGCTGAAGCAGGAGAATCGCTTCAACCCAGGAGGCAGAGGTTGCAGTGAGCCGAGATCACGTCACTGCACTCCAGCCTAGGCAATAGAGCGAGACTCCTCAAAAAAAAAAAAAAAAAAAAAAAAATTAGCAGGGCATGGCAGCATACTCCTGCAATCCTAGCTACTCAGGAGGCTGAGGCACGAAGATCACTTGAACTCCAGAGGCAGAGGTTGCAGTGAGTGGAGATAGCACCACTGCACTCCAGCCTGGGTGACAGAGCAGACCTTGTCTCAAAAAAAAACAAAACAAAACACACAAAAACAAACAAACAACAACAACAAAAAACACTAAAGCAGGGAAGGTAGGGAATAAAGCCCATTATCCAGAGATGAAAACTAAGGCTCACAAGGTCACGCAGCTGCCAAAGGCATGCTGAGGAGCACAGAGAGGAGGAGCAGAGGAGCAGGGCTGTGTTTCCTCAGCTCTCCCTGTCAGCTCCTCCTCCCCAGTGTCCACATCCCCAGTCAGGGACCTCCACCCCTCACTCTCGCCCCAGCATCAGTGCAACCCTGCTAAGGACCCCTCAGGGGACAAGGAGAGTCCCTGACCCAGAAGGGCACCATTTTATCTTCCCCCAAATCGATAACTAACCAGAACTCTGCCAAGGGGCCTAATGTAGGGCAGGAACTGCCCCAGGAATTACAAAAAGGGAACTGGTGAGGGAGCAGCAGAGAAGGTGCTTGGCCAACAGCCTGGCTCAACCTCACCCGCTCCTCTATCCCACTTCCTGTTCCCGCACCTCCAGGCCCCACAGCAGCCCGTAAACCACCAACACGCCCGCCCCCGCCCTGGCCCATCCTACATGTGGGCCAGGGCTCTGTAAACTGTGAGTGCCCTGAACCTGCCAGGCTATTAATTTGGACCACACCCCACCAGGCCCCCTATCACTCACAACCCCAAGACTCACCCCAAATCCCCTTCAGCCCCAGAACCCACATGTCCAATGTATTCAGGGTCCTGGAAACCTAAGAGCCCATGATGGCTGGATCCTGGGACTTAGCTCTGGGCAGCAGGGAAAGGGGAGGGGTGGAGATGTAGGGGACACCGTCAGAAGCCAGGGAGAGGAAGATGAATTCCAGGTCCTGCTGCTTGAGTCGGGGTGGACTCTCTCTGCAGAGCCACCTGTTTGCTTAGGGAGGCTTGAGGGGATCACTAGTAGAATGAGGTGGGGAGGGCCTGGGAGGTCTGAATGTCAGCCAGTTATTCGGTTATTTTTTTTCTTTTTTAAATTTTTTATTTGTTTTTTATTTTTTAGACGGAGTCTTGCTCTGTCGCCCAGGCTAGAGTGCAATGGCGCGATCTCTGCTCACCGCAACCTCCACCTCCTGGGTTCAAGCGATTCTCCTGCCTCAGACTCCCATGCAGCCTCCCCCCTCAGCATGGTGGCACGCACCTGTAGCTGGGATTACAGGCGCATGCCACCATGCCCAGATAATTTTTTGTATTTTTAGTAAAGACGGGGTTTCACCATGTTGGCCAGGCTGGTCTCAAACTTCTGACCTCATGGTCCGCCAGCCTCGGCCTCCCAAAGTGTTGGGATTACAGGCGTGAGCCACTGCGCCCGGCCCTTGATTATTCTAAACTATTATTCAGTTAGTTATTCAGCTATTCAACTAGTTATTGTAATTATTCTAAACTATTGAGTCTAGACTTAATATTACTACTACTAACAGTACCTGTCATATGCCAGGCACTGTTCTGGGATTTCACACACATTGACTCATTTAATCCTCACAATAACCCTATGGGGCAGATACTATTATTATTCCTAGTTTATAGATGAGGAACCCAAGAAACAGAGAAGTTAAGCAACTTGCCTTAGGGCACACAACAAGTAAGTACTAGGGCTGGGTTCTGAACCCAGGTAAGCTGGCTTCGGTTTTATAACCAGGAAGGTTATAGGGAGGGTGCTGAGAGACCCCACCACCTGAGAGAGAAAGGAGGTTCAGCTGTCACAGCAACTGCCCTAAGTCTGCCCAGGAGGTCCCCCTCAACCCAAGCAACTGGAGCAACTTGAAGACCCCCGCACTGCCGTACAGCCCTTTCTGTGATGCCTCCAGAGCCACCAGGAATCTCTCTCCCATGGCCAGTGGGCGGCCAGAAGGAGCTGTGCCCCTGACCTGTCAGAGGGGCCAGATGCCCTCATTCCCAGCCTGTCCCTCACCCCAGGAAACTGGATCCAGAGCCCCAGGCCCTACTCCTCAACGAGAGGGGAATTCTTGGAATAGAAATGTGAGGGGTAAACAAAATAAATATAAATAAATAAATAAGGAAATGTGGGGGGTGGTGGCTCACGACTATAATCCCAGCACTCTGGGAAGCTCACTTGAGGCCAGGAGTTCAAGACCAGCCTGGACAACATAGTGAAAACCTTGTCTCTATTTTTAAAAATTAAATTTAAATTAAAAAAACAAAAAGAAAAAATTAAGGGGACAGGGGTGTGCTAGCTGGGTGGGGGCACCTAGGGACTCCCCTGTTGAAATAGTTGGGATGCAGGGCCTGTCCACAGGTGTCAGTCTGACACTGCCACAGAGCTGTTAGAGGGGAGGGAGAAGAGGGGCTACAATGAGCTAAGGCCCCTCTTAACCCCTTTCCCGAGGCCTCCCTCGAGCAGCAGCGGCCCAGGCAGCCCCAGACTTTTAAAGCAACTTTCCTGCCTCCCCCAAGTCCCTGCCCGCCTCCCCTCAAGCAGGCTGTGGCCCCCCCTTCTTAGGGTGATGTCAGCCCCGCCCCGCCCCCCGCGGGAGCACTGTGGCCAAATATGGCGAACACAGCAGCAGGCTTGGGAGCTGGGACAGACTGGGGGGGCGGGGCAGGCGGCCCCTGGCTGGGACCGCTGGCAGCTGGTGAGGGGGAGGGGAGGGGGGACGGCCCAAAGGACGTGTCAAGGAGAGAATAGGACCACCGTCCCTCCCTTCGGCTGGCTCCTAGACGCATGCGAGACTCACTTTCTAGGAACGCTCCTGGGGCAGAGGCACCAACACAGGGGCAAGTGGCACTCCCCACACACAGCCATGCACAGGAGCACACTGTGCAGAGGGGCTGTGCGAGTGCTCGGGAGGACAACCACGTGAGAATGTGCACCCCCAAGCTGAGGCACACACATGGGCAGTCGTGGGCAGGCAGCTGCCCCCGTCTGGGGGCTGGACCGGGGTCTCAGTGGAAGGGAGTCTGCAGGAGGCGTGAGCACTGGCTGCTCTGTTCTCCTAGAGACCAGCATGTGCCCGCCTTCTTCTCCCTAGATCCTCTAACTGCTGGGACCCAGGCCGGGCTGAGAGAGGAGGCTATGGCTCCCTGGACAGGTGCGGGCTGGGCTGGGGCAAATGTGGGACTCTGGCTTGGTGGAGGGGTGGGACATCTAGAGAAAGCTGACTGCGGGCGAGAGGGCAAGCCCTGGGCTGCTGGCTGATGATGCCCAGGTATCTAGAAACTCTGCCTCGCTGTGCTGTGCCATGAAGAGGGGTAGGAGAGAGAGGAGACCCAAGTGAGGGTCAAGGGGAGGGAGACCAAGGCCGGGGTGGGGCCTGAGACAGACAGGAGGGGCAGGGGAGACAGGCTGGGGGAGAGTCTGGGGCAAAGAGAAGCTGAGGTGAACCCAGAGAGAAAACAGACCAGAGACAGGAGAGTCCCAGTGAGTGACAGACAGAAAGCCCAACCCAGTGGGGGACAGACCAGAGCCCCGCAGAGTGAAGGGAGAGACCCCAGGAGAGATGTGGAGGCAGGGCGGGGGAGTGCTGGACCCTCAGACCCACAGACTGACAGACAGAGCCGGTGGGGGGTGAAGGGAGAAGGGGAGAAGGAGGGCAGGGGAGGGGCACAGACAAGGCAACCAACAAAGACCTAGAAAGAGACACACAGCAGAGAGGGGTAGACCAGAAACTCAGATATGATAGGCATCGAGGGAGGGGCAGACCAGGAGGGGATGGGGAGAAAGAAAAAGACAGGGACAAGGACAGAGACCCAGAGGCCAAGGCAAAACAGAGGGAGGGAGTGACAAGGGAGGCCACTGCCAGGGGCTGGGGCTGGCCACCATCCAGGACACCCCCACTCCCATCTCAGGGGCTCCTACCCTCCACCTCCTCTCAGAACCCCTCCCATCTGCCTCTGCAGAGGAGTCCTGTTGTACCTGTCCTGCAAACCCGCCAGCAGGCTGCAGACCCCCAGGGGACTCAGTCTGCCTTCACCCTCATCCTGACCAGCCACACCCGCTTCCCCTCTCCCAGGGCCCTCAGCCTTTCAGGCTCAGAAGGCCTCTGGGTGGAGGCAGGGATGGGGGCTAGGAGGCTGGGTGAGCAGGCTTTGGGGCCCTGGGGAAGATAAGGGGCACCTTGCTGCCCACCCCCACCCTGGGGCAAGACCTGCTGGAAGAACTGGCTGGACAGCTCCAGGGATCAGGCTGGAGCTGGGGCCGCTGCAGAGGCCCTGGTCCCCCACCCCCACAGACCCTGCAGCCTCCAGACCACCCAGCCCTGTAGCTCCCTTTAGGGGCCCCAGAGCCACTGCCTTGGTAGGAGGCACAGAAAAAGCCAGTCTGGGTGAGTGGGCACCTCCTGTCTTACCCCTTCCCCTGCACCAGCCCTGCTGGGAGGACGAGCTGAGCTGTGACCTTCCTGGGTCTAGCAGCCAGCAGTCCACCCCTGCAGGGACCCCAGCCCCCAAAGCATTCTCACTTGGAGTGAGAACATCACTCAAAATGTGGCAAGATCAGTGAAATCAGCAGTTTCCTCCCAAATCTCTGCCCTCAAACCTGAGCTGGGCTGACCAGCCGGGGGGGTCGAGGATGGGGAGGGCAGCTGAGGAGGGCTAAGGGAGGCTCCCACCCTCTCTGCCTTTTCCTCCCTCCTCCCCTACCCGCCCCACAGCGGGCCAGCTGTTCTCCAGCTGCCAGAAGCTCCCACCCTAGAAGTAGCCATGCTCTGGGGCAGCAGAGCAAGTAGGGATGTATCTGTCTCCCCCACCTCCAGCCCAAGGACCCCGGAGGGACCCTGCCAAGCAGCCACACCCTGCCAGGCTGGGGAGGGCTTCCCTCCTTCCTGGAACAGGGTCTCAATTTTTACAGGAGGAAGCAATTTGCAGAGCCCACTAGGAGGGAGGTGGGGGCCCCTCCACTCTCTCCCCACCCCCCGCCCTGCTTATTAATGTGCTTCCAATTTGGGACTGGAGATTCTCTGCCCCTCCTCCCCACACTACTTGGGAAAGGGGCTTTCTCAGGGAGCAGAGGGGGTTGGGATAGTCCCCCCAGGCCTCCTTCTGCAAAGCTCATCTCATCTGTTGTCACGCTCCTGCTCCCTGAAGCAGTATAGCGGGTAGGAGGGTGGAGACTCAGCCCTCAAGTCCCCTGTAGAGAGAAGGGCCCAGTTTCCAGACCTCCCTTCACCCCCTCCCTGGGACTGACTTATCTCCTCATCTTGTCCTGGTCCCAGGGTGGGAATCTCAGGTATCCAGTGAGAGACAGACTATAGGGGGTCACTGGGTTTCTCAGTTCTCAGTTACCATGCCAGACTCCTGGTACTCTGGGTCGCCCACTGGGCTCCCACCAGCCACTCAGTCAGTGCCCTCATGAGAGTCACGGTGTCATCTAAGAACAAATAGGTTTCCTCTGCGCCCTTCCTCTCGCTCGCATACACAGTTGCGTCACAGCCACTGTCCTGCTCATTCACTGTTACCCGCATCTCTCTCCTGCTGGGTTTTTAAAAATGTCTTTATTGTGATAAAATATACATAACATCAAGTTTACCATTTTAGCCATTTCTAAGTGTACAATTGAGAGGCATTAATTACATTCCTTCTTTGTTTTTATCAGTGTCTTTCTCATTGTCTTCCACATAGATGCCACACGTCAGGGACCACAGGCCCCCAAAAGCATCCCACAGAGCCTCCTACACGCCCTGCCTGGCACAGCCCTGGGGGTGTCACCCACACTACCCGAGAGTCCCAAACACGCTCAGATAGTGACCACCCACCCACAGCGCCAGCATCAGTCACGCCCCACGGTTTCTCTCACATACGGTGTCGCTTTCTGGTGCTCAGTGTCACCCACACACCGCATACCATATTCATGCTTGGCACATGTCGGATGGGGCCCACCTTGCTGGTACACACATCATACTGACACAGAGCTGGTCATGTTGTTTTACTCGCATGTAGTGTCACATGTAAGTCACACACAGACAAACCTGAGGCCATCTCACATGCTGCGTCACAACATGCAGGTCACAAGTGGTCACACCACAGCGTAACACATCACACAGATCGCCACTCATCCGGCTTCTCACGCACACGCGCCCGCGCGCTCACATACACACAGCATCGTGCGAGTGCGGTGTCCTTCACACGCAGGTCACTTGAGCATCAGAGCCACACCCAGTGTCATCTCCAGGTACACACAGATGGCTAGGCAGCCAGCTTCCTTCATCGGCACATCCTGGGTGATGCCCTGGCACACACAGAACATCCCCCATGCAGGTTCTCAGGTACAGAGGTGGCGGCACACCTGGACACATGAAGAGTCACCCAGTTTCTCTTATGGACGTGTATATCTGTCACACACACGAATGTCACAAAGCCACAGTTTCTCTCCTGCATACACCCAGCCCTGCACAAGTTGCTCTGACCAAGGTTCTCTTCCACACACATCCAGCCCCACAGAAGACAAGTCTCACCCACATAGAATGTCCCACTCATGGCTTCTCTCACACACATCCAGCGTCACACACAGTTGCATTCTCATTTCCCTCTAACACTTCCTGCCCTTTCAGGCCTGGCAGGGAGCACAGGAAACAATCGGCACTCTAGGAAACCCCAAGGGCTGAGGCTTTAGGGATGTGCAGGGGGATGAACCTCTCTGGCCCTAACCTCAACCTCCTGTGGGTCGGGGAAGACAGGCAGAGCCCTTTCCCTGGCAGGGTTCTCCCTGGAGGGAAGTGGCCCCTTCTGCAGACAGCCCAGGGCTGGCACAACACCAGGAGGGGAGGGGAGGGAAGGCAGGGCAAGGCCCCAGGGACAGTGCCGAGTGTGACCTGCTGACCTCCCCAGCTCTACCCAGAGGCAGATCCTCAGGGCCACCCCTGGGACCCCACAGCTTCTGCAGCCCCCATGTGGGAAGAAGAGGCTGCGACCTCCTAGCCCCTTCACAGAAAGCTGCAGCGTTTAGACCCCTGGGCTCCTCTCCCCATCCTGGGCGGGGAGGAGGAGGAGGGCAGGACCAGCGATTTCCACACTGAGCCCTGGGACCCCCACAGGTGTCTGGGAGTGGGGCAGAGGGTAGAGCCACCCAAGCGGCCTCTGAGCACCCTTTGTGCCATTCAGCCCTAACAGAACCCATGACCACTTCAGAGGCAAGATCCCCCAATCCACCAAGCCCCCCTGTCCCTTGACACCTGCCCCCCGCCACCTTTTCAGCCCTGTTCATCTGGCTGAGCTACTCCTCAGTCACCCCTTGGTTTGTCCTTGCCTTCTTCTTTGGGCCACTGGATCACCCACCCGCCTCTCCAGACCCCACCAAGTTCAGGTTCCATCATGGGAGAAGGAAGGCAAACTGGGAGACAGACTCTGGGAGGAGCTCAGAGAAAAGGGACTTGAGAAGTCATTCATTCCAAGCAGGGAAACTGAGGCCCAAAGGGGCCTGCCAAGATGGCGCAACTGGTTAAAGGTCCGGAGGGGACCAGATCCCTATTTCTTGACCACCTCTGTTGAGATATCTTCTCCTTTGATATTGTTGAGAATATCAAATCCTCCCGGTTTTAACATTCCTTCAGTTGGCAGAAAGTGCCAGGGTCTACAAACCTTTGGGTGAGGATGGGAGCAGGGCTCAGGACCCATGTGATGCTTCTGTACACTTAATGTGCTGCTCTGTCCTGGCAACCACTGACCACTCTAACAAGCCATTCCCCAGCCCAGATGCGCTCATTAGCATTAATGACGTTCCCTCCCTGGGGGGGTAGGGGAAGGCCCAAGAGCTTGGGACTCATACTGGCTCCTACCCTCTCCCTGAGGAGGGGGCATCCAGGGCCCCTGAAGTTACCCTTACTGGACAGCCTTGTCCTGGAAGATCTGTGCACTCTGCCCACTGGGTGAGCAGGGACCCAGAAGACCACAGAACCACATCCTTTAGGGAGTGCCCCTACGAGAGGGGTCTTGGTGGGAGGGGGGCTACAGGAGTCTAGAAGGGAGAGGACATAATTCCCCCAAATCTCCAACTTTTGAGGAAAGCCTCCCCTCCTTGCCCCAGGTGGCCCCAGCACTGGGGTGGAACATGTGTACAGAGAACCAGGCCACAAGAGACTGGATACGCAGAGCCGCTATGGGCACCAGCCCCTCTGAGCTGTGTCCAGCCCCTACCCCTATGCCCTGTTCTTCCGGACAACAAGTCCAGGCCTGACCTGGTTCTGCCCCTACCTGGAAAGAGGGAAGACACAGAAGAAGACAGCCCCTGAGAAGTCCGCCCCAAGGCCTCCTTCCCCCTCGCACTGAAAGAATCTCTCAGCCCTGGATCAGGGCCCCTCACCAGGAAAGTTGACAGAGCGGGGTCTCAATGACACTGCCCCAGGGCCCAGCTGGGCTGGAAAACAGATCCAGACCAGCGCTCCCAGCCCTCCCTCCCCTAGCAGGAATAAAGGGCATGACAGACAATGGTGGGGACCGGGGTAGGAAGCGGGAGACCAGCCACCCTCAAACCTTGTCAAGTCTAAACAAGGGCCCTGAGCAAGTGTGGGGAAGAAAAGGCCCCAAATCCAGACCCCTCCGAGCCAAGCTCACAGCGCTCAGGGCTGGAACTCTGAATCAGCACCCCGACGCAGGCGGCAGAACTGAAGGGAACGTGAGCCCCTCCCTGCCTCTCAGGGGACACACGGCCGGGGCGCGCGGCTTTGGTCCCAGACACCCTCCACAACCCAGCGCAGCCGCGGCACCGCGCGCAGAAACCGGCCTGGGCGCTGGGAGGCCGGGCCCGAGGCCTGCGTGGAGCTGAGGCCGGGCGGGCTCCGGGAGCGCGCGGGCCGGGAGTCCAAAGGGCGGCGGGGCCCGGGACTGGGCGCCCCGGATATGAGCTCCAGGGTGGCAGGCAGGCCCTCCACACTGTGCGGCCCCCGGATCCCCGCCCCGACCCCCCAAGCACGGACGGCGGGACAGGCGACGGCACAGGGGACACGGTCTCCCCGGCTTCCCCACCTTCCCGGACCAACTCGTCCCCGTCGCGGGGGGGTGGGGAGGGCGGGGGGCGGGGCTTCCCGGAGAGATTTTCCCCCTTCCCTCTAAACTTCCCGGCACCCCGATCCGGGGCTCCAGCTCCGGCTGGACAATAGCTCGGGGACCCAGTCCCCCTCGAGTGTCGCCCCCCCAGCCAGCCCAGCCGACCAACCAAACCACCTCTCCCGAGCGGGGCCTCCTCCCGGCGTCCGCCCGGCTTACCTGGTCCGAGCTCGCGGGGGCGCTCCGGCCGGGCCGCTCCGCCGGGCCCGAGGGAGCCGCAAGGGGGGCCGGGGAAGGGGGGTCGTGGGGAGGGGGCTGGCCGGAATGTGCGGAATGAGCCGGGCTGGAGCGGGAGGCGCCGAGCGCGGAGGAGGGAGCGAGCGGGACGGAAAGTTTGTGTTGAGGAGCCGGGGCGGGGGTGGGGGCTGCGGGAAGGAGGGGGCGGGGCGCGCAGGGGGCGGTGCTGGCCGGGAGGGGCGGGGCCGTCCAGCCGCGCTCGGGCCGCCTACCCCGCGGCCTCGCGACCCGGCCACCCCGGCTGGCGCGCGCCTGGGCGCCCCGCTCCTCGCCCGCCCGTGCGGAGCTGCCTTCCTCCCCCTGCGCTCCGGGCCTCGCCCCGCTCCCGGGCACCCGCCGGAATTTGGGGCTCCGGCCTGGGGCGGGGCCGAGGGCGGAGCCCTCGCCTCGCGGGCAGGGCTCCCGTCGGTGCCGGGGGCCGTGGGTGCCGCGTCACGAGGAGCCCGGCAGAGCCGGAGCGCACGGGCCCCGGGGCTCCCGGCCCCTCCACCCTAGTCCCGAGCCGCCAAGGCGGAGCGTACCCTCCAGCTCGCGGGCCTGCCCCCCACTCCCGGGGCCCCAGACCCGGCTCCGCCCTGGCGGCTGCGCCCGCCCTGCCGGGACCCGGTTTGTCTGGTTCTCCCCGCGTGGCTAGTTTCTCGAATTTCTTCTCCCTTTCTCCCTCTTCCCCGACCTCCGGGACCCTCCCTTTCGCCCCGGCTCCCCGGGCCCCCACGGGGGGCGTCTCGACGCTGTGCGGCCGCCGAGTTTCGGTAGGACCCGCGACGGGCGCGGGGAGGGGACGCGGGAGCGCCCGGGGCCTGGGCAGGAGTGGGACGGGGGTTGAGACTTCCAGCTCGCGCCTCGGACGCCTCCTGCCGCCTCGTTCTCCGCACGCGCTGAGGAACCACCGCTCCGCTTGGCCAAGGACGCGGCTTTATTGGGGATGTGGGTGCCTGGCCCTCGTCCCCCATCACCTACCCCCTCCTCCTAGCCCGCCCCAGCTCCTCGGAGCCCTAGCGCGGTCCCGGGGAGAGGGGAGGTTAAAACAACAATGACTACTGCTCCCGGACAGGAAGTGACTGGGGCGCGGGGAGGAGGGGGGCACAGCGGCGCAGGCGAGCTCCGAGACCAGATGTGCGGCTCCAACTCCAGATGTTCTTCATCTCCGTCCTACCCGCCGTCCGGGCTCCTCCTGCCTCGGCCTGTGCCAGGCTGGGGAGAGGACGGAGGTCACCGAGAGGCAGTGAGAGGTCAGCCCCGACACAGGAGCAGTTTTCCGCGGGAGCTTTGCTGGAGGGACCCTGCCAGCCTCCACTGAATCCTTTCCCCCACGCTGACGGGCTCTGGGGGCGCTGAGGGGCTGCTGGGGTCACTCGCAGGCCAGCTTCCCGTCGAAACTGGAGAGGGCGATGGCGAAGGCCTGCAGGGCGCACAGCGGGTACCGGTAGTCTAGGGTGAAGGCGTCCTCCGCCACGCGGCCGAACTGCAGCACGATATAGTCGGCTATGGACACAAGACGGGGTGGGGGCGGCCCGAGACCTCCTTGGACCCCCATCCTGGCAGACAGTGCCCTCAACCTTGGGGGCAGTCTGTCCCTTGCCTTGGGGCTCCAACCCTCAGCCACCATCTCAGTTACTCAACACCCATCCCTTCTTCTATCTCACTCCACACCAGCACCACGTGGCTTTGCAGTCACACTATAATCTCCTGGGGGCAGGGACCTTGCCTTTCTGCTGCTGCCACAGGCCATGCCTAGAGCCCGCACCTGATTAACTATAGGACCCTGTCAAATTTATCCAAGCCCAGCATTCTTCCTTCCCAAATTCTCTGTTGTTTCTGGCCACAGTCTTTCCTCCTATCCCCAGCCACGAAGTCCCACCTTAGACCCCAGCTCCACCCCTTGACTAGCCCCTGGTTCCCTTCCTCAGCCTCACTGGGCACCTCTCCCTTCAATGATCCAGGTTCCCAGCCCCAACCTCAGCACCTCCCCCAGGATCCATAGGGACAGGAAGTTGCTAAAAATACCCCCAAACTCAGGTGGACGAGGCTCCACCAGAAACGTGATCTGGAGAGCAGTCCCACAGCCACAGGACAGGTGGCACTGGGGGCACATCCCTAGGATGCAGTTGGGGCTCGCTCAATGTTGGTCCAACCCTGTGAACCCAGAGACTTATGGGAGATACCCTTCCATCCCCAAACTTCCTCACCCTAGTGGGAAGGAAGCCTTTCCAACCAAGGCTTGTAACAGGGACACCTTGTTTCCCTGAGTCTTCCAGGGTAGTCCTTTGACCTCACTTGAGAGAAGACACAGAGTAGGCACTCAAAAATGCTTAATATTCCCTGCCCCTAAAAGGCAACCATCTTGAAGAGATTAAGAGCATGGCCACTGGAGATCCAGACTGTCAGCTCTACCTCCTACTAGTGATGTGACCGTGGGCAAGTTGCTTAACCTCTCTGTGCCTTAGTTTCCTGCCAAATAGGGATAATAATGGCACTCTTCACAGGGACGTTGAAGGGATTTAATGATTCAGTTATCTGTAAAATCCTGAGAACAGTGCCTGGCACATAGTAAACACTGTGTAAGTTTTGTGAAATAAATTTCGAGGGCCAGTGTAACTTCCTGAAGTTGCTGAGAGACTCTGGGCAAAGGGCTGCCCTCTCTGAGCCTCAGCACTCTCTTTGAACAAAGAGGAGTTGGGCTGTCCGTGGTTTTCAGACTCTAGGAGCCAACCCTCCCTTCAACACAATCTTATCCAGAATGTCCCAGTATCTAACCCACTGCTCTGGCCAATGCTGGAATGGGAACCTGAAGTGATGAGCCCCAAGACACCTGCTTAGAATATCTGAGGCTCCTGAGAGCACAGTGTCAGTGCCTATGGAGGAGAGAGTGACCCTGTGGGATGTCCCAGCTCTCGGGATAAAGGCTGGTGTGTGTGTGTGTGAGGGGGTGAGGGGAGCTTGAATGAAGGTCAGCATCCTGGGGGTGGTGGAGAAGAGCCAGACCTGGGCCCTCAGGTACTCACGGTCATCAGCGTGGACAATCTGGAAGTTCTTGACTGAGGCCTGGGTGACCCGGCCTTGGAAGTTGAGGGTGTAGGAGCCACTGTCATCGTTCCAGACAGGTGGCTTGTTGTGCAGTTCTATGAGGCTCTCCAGCGTCTTGTTCTGCCAGCGCACCAGCAGGCCGTCACTAGCCTGGGGTGCCCCAGGGGAGTAGACAGGGAGAGGACAGTTAGAGATGGCTGAGATGGCTCAGGACTGACCGGAGAAGGGGCCTGGGCATGTGTGCACAGGGGTGTGGCCTGGACATCTTCATCCATTAGGGTATCTGAGAATAGGCTTGGCATCTGTGGCATCCTTGTGGACAGGGTTCACATCTGTGAGAATGGGGCTTTGTCTCTGGGATGTCAAAGCGGAGGGCTGGAAAATGGCAAGGGGCATCTGGCACATAGGCGCTCCATGCCATTGGTACCCAGGTGGTCTTAGGAGACAGACACACACCAGTACCTAATGACAGGATGAGCCAATCTTGGACCTGCAAAGGGCACACAGTTGAGCTGGGGAGATGGATAGGTAAATTGCAGTTAAGAGAAAGTGTACTTGGAGGAGAGTTTCTGAAAGGAAGGAGCAGGGTCTGTATAATGTGCCCTTAAGATCTTTCTTTCTTGAGTTTCCTTGTCGCCTGCTCACGTTCATGGATTAGAGTGAGTCCACTCAAGATCACCTCCAAGAAGCCTTCCTGACCCCCCATCTGATTTAGATGTCTCAGCTCTGAGTTTCCATGACACCTTGCTCTTACCATTCCTCCCACTGCACTGTAATTGGCAAAAGAGAGACCCGAAACAGCACCAGGCATTTCTTACTGGGCCCAAACAAGGGCAGGAGATGCTGCCTCTGGGGGATTTGTGTGTTTATTCCAGGCATAGGAAGGACAACTGTGGGGCCCACAGGCTGAGTGAACCCTCAAGACTGAGCCTCCCATGACTGGTGCCCTGCAGATCAGCCTGGGCCGTGACTTTCCAGCAGGGAAGGATGTGTGATCAGCTGACGGGGTATTATCTTTCATTGTAAATGAGTAAAATGACATCAGTCTCCTGTGAGGATGGGGCATGCGAGTCACCCAGAGTCTCTTAAATCCTGGACTCACTGGACCTGCAGTGCTAAAGAGCAGAGCACGGGACTGACACGTCTCTCCAGAACATCTCTCCATCTTAAACTCACACACACACACACGCAAAACAACTTTTGCTTTTTAAAATACAAGTCATGCCAAGCACAGTGGCTCACGCATATAATCCCAACACTTTGAGAAGCCGAGACGAGAGGATCACTTCAGGAATTTAAGACCAGCCTGGGCAACAAAGTGAGACCCTGGCTCTACAAAAAACTAGCCAGGTATGGTGGCATGTGCCTAGGGTCTCAGCTACATGAGAGGCTGAGGCAGGAAGCAGCACTGTTTGAAGCCAGGAGGTCGAGGCTGCAGTAAGTCATGATCATACCACTGTACTCTAGCCTGGGCTGGAGTGAGACCCAGAGTGAGACTCGGTCTCAGAAAAAAAAAAAAAAAAAAAAGGCTGGGCACAGTGGCTCAGGCCTGTAATCCTAGCACTTTGGGAGGCTGAGGCAGGTGGGTCACTTGAGGTCAGGAGTTCAAGACCAACCTGGCCATCATGGCAAAACCGCGTCTCTACTGAAAATACAAAAATTAGCTGAGCATGGTGGTATGCACCTGTAATCCCAGCTACTCGGGAGGCTGAGGCAGGAGAATCTCTTGAACCTGGGAAGTAGAGGTTGCAGTGAGTTGCGATCAGGCCATTGCACTCCAGCCTGGGTTACAGAGCGAGACTCCGTCTCAAAACAAAAACAAAAACAAAAACAAGTCATGTCACTCCTTTGCTCAAAACCCTGCTGTAGCTTCCCATTTCTCTCAGAGCAAAAATCAGTTTTAAAGACCCTGTCTACCCCTCACTTCTCTGACCTCCTCTCCCCCCAGCCACACTGGTCACCTGGTGGTTCCTCCAGTCCACCAGGGCCCCTCCTGCCACAGGACCTTTGCACTGGCTCTTCCCACTGCCCAGGTGCTCTTCCCCCAGATATCTGTAGGCTCACTCCCTCACCTTCTCATTGAGGTCTGCTTTGACAACCATATTTAATATTGAGACTTACACACTTATTATCTACCTTCCCCTGTTTGACTTTTTTCTTTTTAAATTTTTTCTTTTTATTTTTTATTATTTATTTATTTATTTATTTTGAGATGGAGTCTAGCTCTGTCACCCAGGCTGGAGTGCAGCAGCGTGATCTTGGCTCACTGCAACCTCCGCCTCCGGGGTTCAAGTGATTCTCTTGCCTCAGTCTCCTGAGTAGCTGGGATTACAGGCGCCTGTCACCATGCCCAGTTAATTTTTGTATTTTTAGTAGAGACGGGATTTTACCACGTTGGCCAGGCTGGTCTCAAACTCCTGACCTCGTGATCTGCCCAGCTTGGCCTCCCAAAATGCTGGGGTCACAAGCGTGAGCCACCATGGCTGGCAACATTTTTTTTTTAATTTTTGAGACAGAGTGTCGCTCTGTTGCCCAGGCTGGAGTGCAGTGGCGTGATCTTGCCTCACTGCAACCTCTGCTTCCCGGGTTCAAGCAATACTCCCTGCGTCAGCCTCCTGAGTAAACAGGTGAGATTACAGTTGCCCACTGCCACGCCCGGCTAATTTTTGTATATTTAGTAGAGACGGGGTTTAGCCATGTTGGCCAGGCTGGTCTCGAACTCCTGACCTCAAGTGATCCGCCCACCTTGTCCTCCCAAAGTGCTGGGGATACAGGTGTGAGCCACTGCACCTGGTCTGACATTTTTCACCATAGCACTTACCACCTTCCAGTATGCTCCATAATTTACTTATTTATCACGATTATTGTCTACTGTCACTCTCCTCCCACTAGAATGCCAGCTTCAGGGGGGCAGAGCTTTGGTTTTTTTGTTTTGTTTTGTTTTGTTTTTTATGAGATGGAGTCTTGCTCTGTCGCCCAGGCTGGAGTGCAGTGGCACCATCTCGGCTTACTGCAAGCTCCGCCTCCCAGGTTCACGCCATTCTCCTGCCTCAGCCTCCCAAGTAGCTGGGACTATAGGCGCCCGCCACCATGCCCGGCTAATTTTTTTGTATTTTTAGTAGAGACGGGGTTTCACCATGTTAGCCAGGATAGTCTCGATCTCCTGACCTCGTGATCCGCCCATCTCGGCCTCCCAAAGTGCTGGGATTACAGGCGTGAGCCACCGCGCCCGGCCCAGGGGTGCAGATCTTTGTTTTGTCCACTGATGTCTTCCAGGTGCCTAGGATAATACTTGGCACTCAATATGTGTGGTCAATGAAGATATGAATGGATGTAATATATGAATTTGATGTAAACTCCAAAAACAACCAAAAAGCCCATTGTGGTTTTTCAGTGAATTCAATTACAAAAAGCCCAAGTCCATTCCCTAGGTGGCCAGAATGAATTTGTGTTGGAGGGTGATGGATGTGCTCAGGGAGTTGGCTATTTCCTAAGCTGAGCCCCGACTCCTGTTTCTCACATAGGGAGCCAGGGGCCAGGGAGGTGCGGGGCTCACATTTCGGGGCCGGATGGGGACCCTCTCGTTCTCCGCACTCATGCCAGGAATGATGACGGTCATGCGCCGGGGGCCACGGAAGCCCAGCACGTTGGTTTCCTGGGAAGGAAACAGATGCCTGTGAGGCCAGCCCCTGTAAGGGGAGCAGCCTGGCATGGGGGACAGGTGGAGTCCTCACATAGATCACAGCTGCCAGCTCCTGCCGAAGGCTTGCCACATTAGTGCTGTACCCACGCTGTGGGTTCTGCCCGTTGTCAAAGACCGTGAAGCGGTTCCCCAGGAGGTTGGACCTGCAAGCAGGGTAGAGCTTGGGGTGGGGCTGAGGGGATCCTACATCCCTGCCCCAGGCCCCTTCCACACAGCCAAGCAGTTTAGAGAGCTTCCTACAAGGGTGGGGGTGAGTTAGGACTGAGCAATTCATGTCCCCTGCCCCAGGCTTCCCCCTATGCAGAGGTCTTTTTAAATGCTGGCCCAACCCAGGGCATGGTGGCTCAAGCTTGTAATCCCAGCACTTTGGGAGTCAGAGGAGGGAGGATCGCTTGAGTCCAGGAGTTGGAAACCAGCCTGGGCAACATGGCAGACAACGCTGTCTCTACAAAAAACACCCGCCCTCTGCCCCCCACCTGCCAAATTATCTAGGCACGGTGGCATGTGCCTGTAGTCCCAGCTACTCAGGAGGCTAAGGTGGGAGGATCACTTGAGCCTGGGAGGTCGAGGCTGCAGTGAGCCATGGCCTTGATCACATCACTGCACTCCAGCCTGGGCGACAGAGTAAGACCCAGTCTCCAAAACAAAACAAAAAAAAGGGCTGAATCTACAAGGAGACTAGGCAGTGTTAAAATCCCAACTCCATCTCTTACTATTACTAGCTGTGAGATCTTAGGCAAGGTATTTAAACTCTCTGAGCCCCAACTTCCCCATCTATAAAATGGGCTGAGCAACAGCATTTCCCTCATTTGGACAATAAGAGGATTGAATGGGTTAACATTTGGAAGTGACTTTTTTTTTCTTTATTTTTTTCAGACTGAGTCTCACTCTGTCGCCCAGGCTGGAGTGCAGTGGCATGATCTCTGCTCACTGCAAGCTCCGCCTCCCGGGTTCACGCCATTCTTCTGCCTCAGCCTCCTGAGTAGCTGGGACTACAGGGCCTGCCAGCACGCTGGGCTAATTTTTTTTTTTTTGTATTTTTAGTAGAGACGGGGTTTCGCTGTGTTAGCCAGGGTGGTCTTGATCTCCTGACCTTGTGATCCGCCCGCCTCAGCCTCCCAAAGTGCTGGGATTACAGGTGTGAGCCATCACGCCTGGCCTGGAAGTGACTTAGAATCACACCTGACACATAAATAGGCCTTATAAAAGTTTTGTTAAATACATACATTTATTTATTCATTTATTTTTGAGGCAGGGTCTTGGTCTGTCACCCAGGCTGGAAGTGCAGTGGCATGATCCCAGCTCACTGCAACCTCCCCGTCTTGGGTTCAAGAGATTCTCCCACCTCAGCCTCCCAGGTAGCTGGGACTCCAGGTGCATGCCACCACACCTGGCTAATTTTTGTATTTTTAATAGAGACGGGGTTTCACCATGTTGGCCAGGCTGATCTCGGACTCCTGACCTCAGGTGATCCACCCGCCTTGGCCTCCCAAAATGCTGGGATTACAGGCATTAGCCACTGTGCCCAGCCTAAATACATACATTTAGGAAATAAGGCCTGACTCAGGCATCCCCTTCCTTCAGCTCTCAGATTTGTGGTGAGGATTAGATGAGATGTATGGGAAGACAGCACAGGATAGTGCTGAATATATGTTCATTCACTTGATCAGTAAATACTTGTTGAGTAGCTAATATGTGTTCAGTGCTAGGAATTCAGCCCTAAACAAGGCAGGCACAGTGCCTGCCCTCGTGGAACTTATGCCCTGCTCCAAGTGAGGCCCTGGGCTGGCAGCAGTGTGGGCATCGCCTGGGTGCTCATTAAAAATGTAGACTCCCGGGCCCACCCCACACACTCAACCATTTTAACAAGCTCCCCACATGATCTATGTACATCAAAGCGAGAGGCCCTAGGCTAGGGGACGTTTCCAGGGTGCCCACTGTGGTGGGTGCTCTACCAGGCACAGCAGGACAGAGATGACGGGCTATGGCCTTTTGCTGACCCAAGTCCCCCCAGCCCCAGGAAGCCCAGCCCCACCTCAGCTTCCCGATGAAATTCTCCCCTCCTCGGGACAGATTGGTAGGGTCGATGGAGATGAGGTAATTGGCTGTCTTGCTCCGTTTTCGTTTCCTGCCAGCCAAGAGGAACACCTGGGGAAAAGGGGAGACAGGTGAGAGGATGGGAAGAGAAGGTGGGAAGGGGTGGAGGTGAGCTGCAGGGAGAAATCAGGCCCGTTTGTCCCGTGGCCCCCATGCCGGATCCCTCCACACTCCCTCCTCTGCTGCCTCTCCCCACCCACCTTCTTCTCCGTGTCCAGGTGCAGGAAGTAGGAGGGATACATGCCTCGATCCATGCCCTTTTTGTCCCGGGTCAGCCGGCAGCGCACCGTGCGGCCCTGGGGGGCAGGCCGGAGCACAAACTCCCGGGGTTCGTCCACCTCCACGGGGGGAGACGGGGCCCTCTCCTCCTTCTGGGTGGGGGCAGAGGGTACATCAGCCCCAGAGCACCAGCTCCCCCGCTCCCAGCAGGTCCCAGTGCTGAGACACGGGCAGCCCGGCAGGACAACTCACCGCTTTCTGTGTGCGGAGAGAACAGAGAGGCTGGCTAGAGCAGGGGCCGCATCCCTGGAGGCGGGGAAGCCACTGCCCCTCATGCTCCCTGGCAGCCCGGCACGGCCAAGTTAGGAGGCTCTGGGGAGCTCTGTGATTTATTTTGATTCTGCTTAGCTTGTGGATAGGAGCACACACTCTGGAGCCAGACTGTCTAGGTTCAAATCCTAGTTTCACTACTAACTGTCTTCACTGTTAAGTTTCACCACACTGTAACTCAATTTTCTCATCTGAGAAGTAGGTATAGTAGGGGTGGATACCTGGGACAGACCTTACCTATGTATTTAACACACGCTTGCATAAATTCTATCAGGGTGCCATAGTTTCAAGTACTTTCGAAATATTTACTCATTTCATCCTCTTATCACCCCACTGCGATAGTCATCCCCATTGTATAGATGAAGAAACTGAGGCTTAGAGAAGTTAAGTCACTTGCCCAAGTTCACATAACTAGTAAGAGGTGGGGCTGGGGCATGAGTTTTGTCCAATCTCCTATGAGGTCCAGAGCCTTTAGAAAGACCTTCCCTCCTTTGCACACTGTCTCAGGCAGTGAAGTGGGGCTAACAGAATGGACTGCTGTGTTCTAAGCACTATGGAAGTGTTAGCTGCTACTCTTATTGTTAGCGTATAGTAAATAATGAATACCATAGTCAAGATGATATTCATTATCATAAGATGGCACCCAGTGATCCTTGTCTCCTGGTATTTGTGCCTTTGTGTAGTCTCCTCCCACTGCATACCAGGGTTGGTCCCTGTGACCAGTAGAATATGGCAGAAGTGATCATGGGCCACTCCAAGGTTAGGTCATAAAAGATATTGTGGCTTCTATATGGCTCTCTGTCTCTTGGACTTTGGGAGAAGTTGGCTGCCATGCCATAAGAACACTCAAGCAAAAAAAAAAAAAAAAAAGAACACTCAAGCAGCCTCCAGGAGAGGTCCCTGTAGGAAGGAACTGAGATCTCCAGCTAACACCTACCACAGGGAACTATTTTAGAAGTGGATCCTTCATTTCCAGTGAAGCCTTCAGAGTGACCGAAGCCCCAGCTGACATTTTGACTGCAGCTTCCTCCGAGACCCTGAGCCAGAACTACTCTGCTAAGCCACTCCTAGATTTCTGGCTCTCAGAAATTGAATAAGAAAGTAAATGTTGTTTTAAGATGCTCAGTTTGGGGTGATTTGTTACATAGCAATGCATAGTTAACACATGAATGAATATGTAAGCTCACTTTGCTCATTGAGAAACTCCTAAGAACAATTTGGTGACATAAAGCCCTAGGGTGGCCTGGTGACCCCACAACAGCCCCTTCTGTTCTCACAAACCTGGTGCCCTTTGTCCTCATGTTCTATCCCTCACAGGAAGGGAGCCAAGAGTCTAAGCCCAACTTTTCCAACAGAGGCAAGCATGGACTGCCAGCCTGGGTGTGTGCATTTGAGGGTTCAATGCTATTTGGGAGCCACGAAGAATCCACAAAGATGTGCTGTGGTTGGCCATTTTTTAAAATTTATTTTTTATTTTTTTGAGATGGAGCCTCGCTCTTGTTGCCCAGGCTGGAATGCAGTGGCGTGATCTCAGCTCGCTGCAGCCTCCACCTCCTGGGTTCAAGTGATTCTCCTGCCTCATCCTCCTAAGTAGCTGGGACTACAGGTGCGCATCACCATGCCCCGATAATTTTTGTATTTTTAGTAGAGATGGGGTTTCACCATCTCTACTATTCGCCAGGCTGGTTTGAACTCCTGACTTCAAGTGACCCATCTGCCTCCTCCTCCCAAAGTGCTGGGATTACAGGCATGAGCCACTTTGCCTGGCCATGGCTGTTTTTGTTGAGCACAGGTTTGCAGTGTGTTTGAGGGAGGCTGATGTAGAGCAGTGAACCCTCAGCTCAGGGACAAGTGATCACCTGTTCTCTACTCTAGGTTGTTCCAGAAGAAACCTGGGAAACAAAAGACTATGTTTGGAACACGATGTGGAGAAAGCCAGAACTTATTCAAACACTTCAGCAGCTGCAAATTTCAAGAGCCTACTGTACTGAAGGCTGTTCTGCAGTTACATTCCCCTCTGGGAGACAGTAAACTGGCCTTTCAGTTTGTACATCAGCATCTGGTGATCTTGGTTAATGTGAATCAGTCCCCCTAGACCTGACCACTCCTGCACAAACTAATAAACCTACAAAGCTAAAATCCAGGCCCTGTCCTCGTGGTGATCTTCCCACTGGGAGAAACCTGTTCCTTGAAGACTTTTGTTACTTTCTGTCAGTTGGACCTCCCTCTCCTGCTTACTCCAGCTTTTGTGTGTTGGTGTCTGAGTCCTGTTTGGGAGCAGGGGCAATATTCAAAATATTTAACAACCTGTTCGCCATGGAGATGCATACTGGTAAGCTTGGAGGAGAAACAGGGAGGCTCCTGATGGGCAGTATTAACCCTTTCGTTGCTGGAGTGTTTAGTTGCTGGGAGGTTGGGAGGTCCTGGGTAAGGTGAGTGAAAGCGCCTGGGGAGCTCAGGGCTGTAGGGTGGAAACATTTTAACAACCGGTGCAGCTGACTGTCAGTCAGTACTCATCTGCCTCTCTGCCTGTGTGCTCCTCCTCCCTGGCACAGAAAACATGGTGGGGGCGTGGGGACATCTCTGGCTGTCTGATGGTTATGCTCCAGAGGGGAGGCCTCAGAGAGCCCAGATGACATAAGGCCCTTGCATGGCCAGTCCTAGCCTGGTGACCCCACAAACGCCTCCTCTGTTTGCACAAATCTGGTTTCCTTTGTCCTTATATCCTGTCACAAGAGGGGGAGCCAAGGTTCTAACCTCAAGTGGCTCCAAGCCCCCACCCTCTAGGCTCCCAAGTCCAGGCCCCTGCCTCTGCTCCCTGAAGGGACCTCAGCCCCCTGCCCCTCTGGGCCCCAACCTTTTTGCCTTTTCCTTTGGCTTTGCCCTTTTGATTGCTCTTCTTTATCACCGTAGCTGCCTCCTCCTCCTCTTCTTCCTCCTTCCTCGCGCCTTTGGGAGTGCCTGAGCGTGGAGGGGGAAACAAGGCTGTGAACTCCTCACCCTGGTTTGCAAAGTGCTTCCAACACCCATGTCTCACTTGGATGCTCCCCACAACCACAAGAGAGTCGACCCCATGTTATTATTAGAGCCCAAAAAGGCTAAGACACCTGCCTGAGACCGCATAGCTATCAAAGCGGGGGTCAAGATGCCCTGCACGTTGTCTGACTCTAGACCTGGCAAACTCCTTACCTAGCACTGTCTTGTATGCTGTAAGGACCCTCTAGCTCCCCGCCCCCAGGACCACCTCAAGATGTCACCACACCAGAAGCCCTTGCCATCCACCTTTCTTCTTCAGGGCTTTCTTGTCAGGACTGCCTTCCCCAACCAGAAACATGGCTGCTGGGCTCTTCCTCGCACTGGCTGGGCTCCCTGAGGGGTCCTTGTCGGCCTCCCCAGACCCTGCATGTGTGGATGTGAAAGCGTCACAACCCCCACCGCAACTGGAGTCCCCTGTTCCTCCCTAGGCTGGGCTCACCTTTCTTCTTGGTCTTTCTCATCTTGGTCCCCTCCCCTGCTGGAGCTTCCTTATTCCTAACACGCAGAGGTTTCGGTGGGGGGTCAGGGCTTCCCAGGTCTCCTGGAAATGGAAGATGGGGGTCAGGCAAAGAAGGTGTCTACTGGGGCTGAAGGCTGCCTTCCAACCCTCTTGTCCTGCCTATAGTCCCCAGGGAGGCTGAAAGCTTGACAGGGGCCCACAGCCTGCCTTCTTTTTCTTTTTTTTTTTGAGACAGTCTCACTGTTGCCCAGGCTGGAATGCAGTGGCAGGATCTCGGCTCACTGCAACCTCCACCTCCAGGGTTCAAGTGATTCTTGTGCCTCAGCCGCCCAAGTAGCTGGGATTACAGGCGCGCGCCACCACCCCTGGCTAATTTTTGTATTGACTTCTGCTCATTTTGGTTTTTCTTTCCCTGAGGCCAAAAAAGCTCTGGACAAAGACCAGGAGCTTAACAAGCAGTTCCCGAATGAATGAACACCAGGCCTTCTAACCGAGCCTCTGAATCCTGCCTTTTGTCCCATGTCCTCCAGGAAACCTTCTCTGGTCACCACTACAGAGTGTGCTATCTCTGCTTCAGAGGCCCAAGGTCCTAGCTCTAGGCCAGGCTGCTGGTCCCTAACAGGTAATGTGCCCAGGCCAGGACACCATCACAGCATTGATTCATTGATTTCTTTTTACTGTAATCACTTTGATACTTTTATAAAAATGATAACAATTTCCACTGAGTTAAAACAAAAACTAAACAAAAATCACAAAGAAAACTAGAATCCTCTGTCCTCCTCTGCCTCACAGAGCTCAAGGGGCAGGGGCAGTGGGGCCAGGGGTGGAGGCATATATTGGTCTATGTCCTTAAGGACCATCGTGGGGAGAAATTATCAGAGGAAAAACCCTCCGGTCACAGCACTGGGTTCATTTTGAGGCCTCAATCGCTGTGTCTCAGTGAGACGCCAAGCCCTCCAAGGACAGGGCTGTTCTGCTTCCCTGTGAGCTCTCTCAGCACCCTCAGCACCCACCCCTTGGGCCCTGGGCCTTGGCCCTCCTCTCCTTCAGGTCTGCGGAGCTCTTCTCTCTCAGGGGCTTCTTGGGAGGCAGAAGGATTTTCTCTTTCTTTTCCTCTGCCTCCTCTTCCTCGTCCTCCTCGTCCTCCTCTTCCTCCTCCTCCTCTGCAGGTAGAAACTCTTCATAATGGGGGTTTGAGCCGGGCCCTCCTTATCTGGGGAGCCCAGTTCCTCCAGACTGCTGGGAAGTGGTGCATGGGCACCAGAAGGGGAGCCTGCCCTTCTGAAACAAGAACCGGAGACCTGGCACCTTCCCAGAAGAATGAGGGTGACTGGCAGCCTTCAGGGTCTGCAAATCAGGGGAGTGGCTGGGGTTGGAGGAATCCTGTCCTGGGGAAATGCCCTCCCTCTCTCCTCCTGAGACCCTCCTCTCCTTACACGCTCGCCTTGCCTCCTTTCCCCATCTCCCTGCATCCACTGTGCTTCTCCCTGACCTTGTCTGTTTCTGACCTTGAGTCAGACCCATCTGGGCTACTTCTGGCTCCTAACTGCTGGTTAAGGCAAAAACCCTTAACGGCTCTATGACTCAGTTTCTCCATCTGTACAATGGTGGAGGGGGGGAACAAAGCACCCTCTCATAGTTGGTGCTTAGCACAATACCTGGCTCAAAGATAAGGCCAGAAAAGTGGGGGCTATTTGACTACAGTTGTTTTCTGCCTCTCTGGGCCGTTCCCGTCCAGCCAGCCCCTTCTCTCCTTAGCTCCACCGCCCCCTCACCCGCGTCCCTGGGGCCCTCTCTCACCGTCCTCCGCGTCTGGGGCACGGGCTACCAGAAAGGTTTCCCGGGGGTCGCGCTTCTTGGCCTCGGGGTCCCTGAGGAACCTGGCGTAGACCGTCTGCGGCGCCCGGGCCTGGGCTGGGTCTGGGGAAGGCTCCTCCCGCGGCCTCCCCGTCCGCCCAGCTGAGCCGAGATGCGGGGTTCAGACAGGGTCCCATCCGCGGGTCCGCGAGGCAGCGCCTCTACCCGCTACCCCCAAGCCTGGGCGCACCCCCTCGGGCTCCTCACCCTAGGGATCTCCCCTGGGCTTGGGTTTCCACTTTCAACACTTCTCCCCGGCTTCCATTCAGCTTCCCACCCCCTTCTACCCCAACGCCACCCCCTTCTACACCAACCCCAACCCCAACCCCAACCCCAATCCCTCCCCTCTCATCACTCCCCGCCCCCTCCTCCCCCACCCCGTTCCAGGGCTCGGCGACACCCGCGCCGGCCCTCAAGCCCCTCCCTTCCGCAGCCCACACCCTGGGGGTCCACCCGGGCTCTGCACCCCGCCCACCTCCGGGCTTCCGGGGCTTGGATCCCGTGGGGCAGGGGGATTCGGGGGCCTCCGTCCTCTTCTTCCTTAGCCTCTGTGCCGGGGCGGGTCGCTGCGGAACGGGGGTCAAGAGGAGGTCGAGGAAGGAAAGGGGGGCGCTGAGGCCCGCCCATCCCCCTCTAATCCCTTGAGCCGCCAGAAATAACCGCAGATTATCCGGGGGGAACTGCAGCCCCCTTCTTGGAGTGAGGCAGGATGACCCCTTCCATGCATCGTGGCCATATCCAATGCTCCAAAGTCCCTATTCCTTCCCTGGAAACCCCAAGTCCCCAAACAGCCCTTTCTCCCCCCAGATCTCCAGACATGCAACCCCCAGACCCTGCTAAGGGGGACCTGTCCCACCCCTAGACCCCCTACCCTGCGTGGGTTTACGCACAGCGGGGACATCTTTCTGCTTCCTTTCCAAGTGGGGTGGCATACCTGTTTGGGGCGCCGCGGGGCCTCCGGGCTCAGGCTTTCTTCTTCATGCCCACTGAGGGTAGCAAAGGGATCAGCCTGTCTCCCTTCCCCTTCCCTCCCCATCCCACCCACTCCCCATCCCTCCATCTAGGCCCCCCAGGGTTCAGGTGCCACGAACTGGGGGCCTTCCAGACCTGTCAGAGGCCCACACCTCTCGGAGGGTTTCATCCCGCAGAGGCATGGTGCCTTTGCCTATCGCACCCCTTTCTCTGCAGGTCTAGGAGCCTCCCTCCCGACTCCTGCTAATCTCGGCTCAACTTCACCCCCCTTCCCCCTGCTCAAGGAGTGGAGGCCTGGCCGCGCTGTGGGAGGTGCTACAGCCCACGACCCTCCCCTGCTAGGCCCAGGCCACTGGGGGAAGAATCTCAACTCCAGTTCTTCTCAGATCCCCAGCAGCCTGCAGGATGGCCACCAGCTCCACCTGCCCCGAGAAGCCCCCAGAAGCTTGGGGTGAGAGGGGCCGATTAGTCATTTGTCAATGGGATGTGGAAGAAAACATTAGACTGGATCCTGTATTTATCTTTATTTCTCACAAAAAATAAGAACTAGAGCCAGGTGCGGTGGTTTACACCTGTAATCCCAGCACTTTGGGAGGCTGAGACAGGTGGATCATTTGAGGTCAGGAGTTCGAGGCCAGCCTGGCCGGCACAGTGAAACCCAGTCTCTACTAAAAATTCAAAAATTAGCCGGGTGCGGTGGCTCACCCCTGTAATCCCAGCACTTTGGGAGGCCGAGGCAGACGGATCACAAGGTCAGGAGATCGAGACTATCCTGGCTAACATGGTGAAACCTCATCTCTACTAAAAATGCAAAAATTAGCCGGGCATGGCGGCAGGCACCTGTAGTCCCAGCTACTCAGGAGGCTGAGGCAGGAGAATGGCGTGTACCTGGGAGGCGGAGCTTGCAGTGAGCGGAAATCATGCCACTGCACTCCTGCCTGGGCAACAGAGTGAGACTCCGTCTCAAAATAAATAAATAAATAAATAAAAAATTAGCTGGGCATCGTGGTGGGCACCTGTAGTCCCAGCTACTGGGGAGGCTGAGGCAGGAGAAGCACTTGAACCTGGGAGGCGGAGGTTGCAGTGAGCCGAGATCTTGCCAATGCACTCCAGCCTGGCCAAAAAGAGCAAGACTACATCTCAGAAAAAAAAAAAAAAAAAAGAATATGTCTGTATTGGAGGTATACCCTTAACTCTTTTTCTTTTTTCACTGATAGGGGACATGCTTTTGTGGTATTGTTTTGTTTTGTTTTAGACAGAATTTTGCTCTTGTCACCCAGGCTGGAGTGCAGTGGCACGATCCTGGCTAATTACAGTAAATCCATATCAAATGGAACTTTCTAAAATACTATTTCTTCGGTTGCCACCTTTGTTCAAAAACATTCATTGGCTCCCTACTGCCTAAGGATTAAGTTTAAATGTGTTGGGTTGACATTCAAGGCTCTCCCTGATCTGGCCCCAGTCTGCCTTTCTAACCACAGGGTTATCCCAAGCCATACTCTTCATCCAGCCACAGAGGTTTCCTTACTGCCTTTACAGTTCTGTCCTCCATGCCTTTGCTCAGGCTGTTCCCTCCCGGAACGCCCTCCCTATTCCATGAAACCTATCCAACTCTAAACAGTCCTCAAGTCGCCACTTCGGAGAGGCCTCAGTCCTCAGTTGGCTCTGACCATATAATAATAATAGCATTTATTGTCCACCTACTGTGGCTTGCTCCCATTCTGACTCCACCCTCACAATAATATTTATGAGACAGACATTAACACCCTGATATTAGGGCAAGGAGCAGTGGCTTATGCCTGTAATCCCAGCACTTTGGGAGGATCACTTGAGCCCAGGAGCTCAAGACCAGGCTGAGCAACATAGTGA